>NC_000016.10:47289772-47592803 GCF_000001405.40 Homo sapiens
TATGTTAATCTTTTCAAAAATCAACTTTTGCTTCATTCATCCTGTTGTTTTGTAGTCTCAATTAGTAAAATTTCTGCTCTGATCTTTATTGTTTCATTCCTCCAACTAACTTGGGGTATAGTTTCTTCATGATTTTCTATTTTTGACATGCATTGTTAGGTGGTTTATTTAAAATCTTTCTAGTTTTTTAATGTTGGTGTTTATATCAGCTTTTGCTGTATCCCACAGGTTTCGGTATGCTGTTTTCCTATCTTCATTTGCTTCAAAACCCATTTAAGATACCTTCTTCATCTCTTCATTGACCCATTGGTCATTCAGAAGCATACTGTTTAATTTCCATATATTTGCACAATTTCAAAAGTTTCTTTGGTTACAGATTTCTAGTTTTGTTGCATTGTGGTGAGAAAAGATATTTAATATAATTTTAATTTAAAAAAATTTGTTGAGACTTGTTTTGTGGTCTGCCATGTGGTCTTACCCTGGAGAGTGCTGATGGAAAGAATGTGCCTTCTCTAGCTGTTGGATAAAATGTTCTGTAAATGTCTGTTAGGTCCATGTGGTCTAAAGGACAATCTGAAAGCAATGTTTTTGTTGGTTTTATGTCCAGATGATCTATCTAATGCTGAGAGTGGTTACTGACGTCTCCATCTATTATTGTATTGAAGTCTACCTTTCCCTTTAGATCTAAGAATATTTGCTTTATATATCGCAGTGCTCTGGTATTGAGTGTATTTACATTTAGAATTATTATATCCTGTTGCTGGATCAGTTCCTCAATCATTATATAATAATTACTTTGTCTGTTTTTAGAGTTTTTAAAAAGTCTGTTTTTTATAAATAAATGTAGCGATACCAGCTCAATTGGCTTCTGTTTGTGTGGAACATCTTTTACCGTCTCTTCACTTGCAGTCTATATGTGTATTTACAGGTAAAGTGAGTATCTTGTAGTAGGTATAGATGGGCCATATTTGTTTTTAAATCCATTCAGTCAGTCTGTATCTTTTAAGTGGGAAATTTAATGCAGGTACATTCAAGGTTATTACTGATAGGTGAAGACTTACTCCTGTCACTTGGCTGAATGTTTTCTGTTTTTTCTCTATATACTTTGTTTCTTTATTCCAATCTTGTTTATTAATGTGGTTTCACAGTTTTTTGCAGCGACAAGGTTTAATTCTTGTCTCTGTTTTCTTTTAATATCTGTTCTATTATCTTTCTCATGTTTTCATGATGGTGAATATTGTCCTGTGGCCTGCTAGATCTCGGACTACCTTGACTATTTCTTGTAAGGCTGATCTAGCAGTTATAAATTCTCTCAGATTTTTTTCTAGGAAAGACATTATTTCTCTCTCTCTCTGCTGAACTACAGCTTTGGTGGTTATAGTATTCTTTGGTTTTTACAGTTACAGTATTCTCGGTCGTATCATGTAAAACAATTATTTTTTCTTTCAGCACTTTGAATACATCATCCCACTCATTCATAGCCTGTAAGGTTTCTGCAAGAAATCTGTTATTCTAATTGGGATTCCTTTGTATGTGACTTGACTGTTTTGCTGTTCTTTTTTGCTTTTTCTCCTCATTCTCTTGCTGTTTTTAAATTTTTTTCCTGTCTCTGCCATTTGACCATTTAATTGCAATATGCCTTGGGGAGGACCATTTGCAGTTGATTCTCTTTGGAGACCTTTGAGATTCCTGAATTGAAACGTCCATCTCTCTCCACCGACATGGAAAGTGTTCATCTACTATTTCATTAACCAGATTTTCTATGTAATTTTCCTTCTCTTCACCTTCTGGAATTCCCATAAGATTACTATTTGTGTGCCTATTGATGTAACTTAAGTTTTGTAGGATTTCTCTCACTCTTTTGCATTCTTATTTCTTTTTATCTCTGTCTGGGTAATTTGAAATGACAGATCTACATATTTAAAGGTTCTTTCTTAAGTCTGATGAAGTCTGCTACTGCAGCTGTCTATTTTATTTTTTATTTCATTCATTGAGTAATTAAGCTGCAGGATTTCTGTGTGGTTTTTATTTTTTTATTATGATTTATACCCCTTTGTGAATTTCTTATCTAAGTCTCGTATTGTTTTTATGAGACTGTTGAATTGTCTACATGTATTTTCTTTTGTCACACTGAGTTTCCGTAATATCATTATTTTGAATTCCTTTTCTGGTAACTGTTGATTTCTTTTACACTGGGATACATTATTAGAGATATGATATGGCATTCATGATGCCATTTTTCCTTGCTTTTTTTTTTTTGAGATGGAGTTTCGCTCTTTCGTCTAGGCTGGAGTGCAGTGGTACAATCTCGGCTCACTGCAACCTCCACCTTCTGGTTTCAAGAGATTCTCCTGCCTCAGCCTCCCAAGTTGCTGGGATTACAGGCGCCCGCCACCACACCCAGCTAAGTTTTGTATTTTTAGTAGAGATCGGGTTTCACCATGTTGACCAGGCTGGTCTAGAACTCCTGACCTCGTGATCCACCTGCCTTGGCTTTCCAAAGTGCTGGGATTAGAGGCGTGAGCCACCGTGCCCAGCCTTTCCTTGCTTTTTAATGTGTTTTTCTGTGTCCCTATATTGATGTCTCTGTATTCGATGAAATAATCAGTGATTCCAAATTTCCTAGTGTGCCTGTTCTAGAAAAAGACTTTAGAGTTTCATTTTATTGTGCCAGTTGGGAATAGTGTGGTGATTTTGCTTATGGATGAGTGTAGTAATATAGGCTCTGTGCAGACTTTTCTCCCTTTTATTTACTCATGAATACTCAAGGCTACAAGTGCAGTTTTTTTTATGTTGCACAGTGGTAAAGTCTGGGACATTAGTGTAATGATCACTTGAATAGTGTACATTGAACCCATTAAGTAACTTCTTATCCCTCAACCCCCCTCACCCTCCTTCCCTTCCAAGTCTTCAGTGACTATTATTTTACAATCTATGTCCATTCTGCACACTAGAAACTTGACTTTGTTTCTGAATTGTTTAAATTAAGATAATGGCCTCCAATTCCATCCTTGCTGGTGAAAAAGACATGACTTCATTCTTTTTTATGGTTGAGTAGTATTCCATGCTCTCTCTCCCTTCCAAGTCTTCAGTGACTATTATTTTACAATCTATGTCCATTCTGCACATTAGAAACTTGACTTTGTTTCTGAATTGTTTAAATTAAGATAATGGCCTCCAATTCCATCCTTGTTGGTGAAAAAGACATGACTTCATTCTTTTTTATGGTTGAGTAGTATTCCATGCTCTCTCTCTATATATATATGATATATATATCATATATACAAATACACATATACATATATATGTATGTGTATATATGTATATACATATGATATATATCATATACAAGCATGATATATAATATATATCATATACAAGCATGATATATAATATATATCATATACAAATGATATATATTATATATCATATATAAATATGATATATAAATGTGATATATATATTTTCTGTATGCAGTCATCTGTTTATGAACTTAGGTTGATTACATATCTTTGCTAGTATGAATACCGCTGCAATAAATATACAAGTGCTGGTATCGTTTTGGTATAATGATTTATTTTCTATTGAGTAGATATCCAGTAGTGGGATTGCTGCATCGAATGGTAGTTCTATTTTTAGTTCTTTGTGAAGTCTCCAAACTGATTTCTATACAGGTGTACTAATAAACATTCATACCAACAGCATATAAGAGTTCCCTTAATTCTGTATCCTTGCCAAAATCTATTATTATAGAGTTTTTGGTAACAGCCATTCTGATTGGTGTAGGATGATGTCTCATTGTGGTTTAGATTTGCGTATCTCTGAGGGTTAGTAATGTACATTTTTTTATGTGCTTCTTGGCCATCTATATGTCTTCTTTTGAAAAATGTCTACTTGAGTCCTTTGCCCACTTTTAAATGGGGTTACTTGTATTTGTTTTTTTTGGTTGTTGTTGGATTGAGTTATTTATAAATTCTGAATATAAGTCCTTAATCATTAATCAGATCTGTAGTTTAAAAATATTTTCTCCCATTTTGCCAGCTGGTCTGTTCACCCTGTTGATTATTTCTTTTGCTGTGCAGAAGCTTTTTAGTTCAATTAAGTCCCATATGTCTATTTTTGTCATTGTTGATTATGCTTTTGAGGCCTTAGTCATGAATTAGCTGCCTGGTGGCCAGAAGAGTTTTCTTTCCAGGATTTCTTCCAGTATTTTTATTATTTCAGATCTTATATTTCAGTTCTTGATCCATGTTGAGGTAATTTTTAAATATGGTGAGATATAGGGGTCTAGTTTTCATTATTCTGTATATGGCTGTCCCATTTTCCCAGCAGCATTTACTGAAAAGATTGTCCTTAGTGATTGTTGTTTTTGTCTTAACAAAGATCAGTTAACTGTAGACTTTTGGCTTTATTTCTGGTTTCCACATTCTGTTTCATTGATCTATGTGTCTATTTTACTTAATACCAGTACTATGTTTTGGTTACTATAGCCTTGTATTATAATTTGAGATAAGATAATATGATGACTCCAGGTTTGCTTTTGCTCAGGAGTGCTTTGGTCATTTGGGCTCTTCTTTTGTTCTATATAAATTTTAGGATGTTTTTTCTAATTCTGTGAAAACTGACATTGGCATTTTCATAGGAATTGCACTGAATCTGTATATTGCTTTGGGCATTATGGTCATTTTAATGACATTGATTCTCCTGCTCCAGGACCATGGGATGTTTTTCCATCTTTTTGTGCCATCTACAATTTCTTTCATCAAAGTTTTGTAGTTTTCCTTGTAGAGATCTTTCAACTTATTAGTGAAATATATTCCTAAGTATTTTATTTTGTCTTTTGTAGTCAGTGTAAATGAAACTGCCTTCTTGATTTGTTTTTCAGCTTGATTTGTATTGGTGTATAGAAATGCTACAGAGTTTTGTATGTTGATTTTGCATCTTGTAACTATACTAGATTTGTTTATCAAAACTAAGAGTTTTCTGGAGAGGTCTTGAGGATTTTTCTAGGTGTTAGACCATATCTTTAGTGAATACAGATAGTTTGACTTTCTCTTTTCCAATTTGCATGGTTTTCATATCTTTCTATTGTCTGATTTCTCTGGTTAGGACGTCCGGTATTATTTAGAATAGGAGTGGTGAAAGTGGGTATACATGTGTTGTTCCAGTTCTTCGGGGAAGAGCTTTCAATGTTTCCACATTCAGTATGATGTTGATTGTGGGTTTGTTGTATATGGATTTTATTATTTTGTGGCATGCTCACTATGCCTAGGTTTTGATGATTTTTATCATGAAGAGATGAATTTCATCAAATGCTTTTTCTGCATTTACTGAGATGATCATACAGTTTTTAACACTGTTTATGTGGTGAATCACATTTATTAATTTGCATATGTTGAACCATCTTTGCATCGCTGGAATAAATCTTGCTGTGCTGTTGGATTCAATTTGCTAGTATTATGTTGAGGATTTTTGCATGTATGTTCACCAGATTTTCTCTTTTTGTTGTGTACTTGTCTAACTTTGGTATCAGGGTGATAACAATTTCATATAATGAGTTAGGGAAGATTCCCTTCTCCTTGATTTTTTGGAACAGTTTCAGTAGAACTGGTACCAGTACTTCTTTGTACATTTAGGAGAATTTGATTGTCAGTCCACACGGTCATGCAGCTCTTTTGTTGTTGTTTTGGGGAGATGTTTTTATACTGATTTAATCTCACCACTCATTATTGATCTGTTCAACATTTATATTTCTTCCTATCTTGAGAGGTTACGTTTCCAGGAATTTATCCATTTCCCCTAGGTTTTCTAGTTTGTGAGCATAGAGTTGTTCATAGTATTCTCTGATGATCTTTCATATTTATGTTCTATCAGTTGTAATGTCTTCTTTTTCATTTCTGATTGTATTTATCTGAATCTTCTGTTTCTTGGTTATTAGAGGGAGTGGTTTATCAATTTTGTTTACATTTTCAACAACCAACTTTTTGTTGTCTTGATTCTTTGTATTTCTTTGGTCTCAATTTTATTTAGTACTGCTTTAATTTTTATTATTTCTTTTCTTCTGCTAGCTTTGGGTTTGGTTTGTTCATATGTTTCTAGTTCCTTCAGGTTTGATGTTAGTTTGTTAATTACCTTTGTTTTGGGAGGCAGGGCCTCACTCTGTTGCCCAGGCTGAAGTGCAAGTGGCACAATCGTGACTTATTGCAGCCTGGACCTTCTGAGCTCAAGCGATCTTCCCACCTTAGCCTCCCAGGTAGCTGAGTCTACAGGCATGCATCACCATGTCCCGGCTAAGTTTTTATTTTATTTTATTTTATTTTATTTTATTTTATTTTTAAATTGTTCGTAGAGGTAGGTCTCGCTATGTTGGCCAGACTGGTCCTGAACTCCTTGGCTCAAGGGATCCTCCTGCCTCAGCTGCCCAAAGACGCTGAGACTACAGAGATGAACCACCAAGTACAGCCCTTTTTTTCTTTTTTTTTTAATGTAGGCATTTAACACTATAAACTTCCCTCTTAGCACTGCTTTTGCTATATCCCAGGGGTTTTAACATATTGTTTCCATTTTCATTCTGTTCAAAAAAATTTTAATTTCCTTTTTAATTTCATTGTTGATCCAAAGACTGTTCAGGAGTGTGTTGTCAACTCTGTCTATTTATACAGTTTCTTGTTTTGTTTCTTTGAGATGGAGTCTGGCTCTGTCGCCCAGGCTGGAGTGCAGTGGCACAATCTCGGCTCACTGAAACTTCCGCCTCCCGGATTCAAGCGATTCTCCTGCCTCAGCCTCCTGAGTAGCTGGGATTACAGGTACACGCCATCACGTCCAGTTAATTTTTGTATTTTTAGTAGAGATGGGGTTTCGCCATGTTGGTCAGGCTGGTCTCAAACTCCTGACCTCAGGTGATCCACTGGCCTCGGTCTCCCAAAGTGCTGGGATTACAGGCTTGGGCCACCGCGCCTGGCTATTTATATAGTTTTGAGAATTTCCGTTGGTATTGATTTCTAGTTTTATTCTGCTGTGATCTGAAAAGATACTTGACATGAGTTTGATTTTTAAAAATTTTTTGAGACTTGCTTTGTGGTAACATATGGTCTATTTTGGAGAATGTTCCATGTTCCGATGAGAAGAATTATATGGTTAGAATGTTCCACATGTGTCTATTAAATCCATTTGGTCTAGAGTCCAATTTAAGTCTAGTGTTTGTGGTTTTTCTGTCTCAGTGTTCTGTCAGTTGCTGTGAGTGGCATGTTGAAGTTCCCCACTATTATTGTATTATTGTCTATCTTTGTCTTTAGGTGTAGTAATATTTGTTTTATGAATCTGGGTGCTCTGGTGCTGGGTGTATATATATTAGGATTGTTATATTCTCTTGTTGACTTGATTCCTTTCTCATTATAAAATGACATTCTTTCTTTTTTACTGTTTTTGATTTAAAGTATGTTCTATCTGATATGAATATAGTTACTCCTGCTTGCTTTTGGTTTCCATTCATGTGAGGAAAATCTTTTTCCAACTCCTTTACCCACAGTCTGTAAGTGTCTTTACCAGCTGAGAGGATTTCTTATAAGCAGCATGTAGATGGCTGATTTTTAAAAACCCATTCCATCAATTTATATCTTTTAAGTGGAATATTTATGTCATTTACATTCAAGGTTAATATTTTATACTTTCCCGCACTTTTATGGTGGTAAGTACTAACCCTTTGTTTCCATGTTTAGAATTCCTTTGAGTATTCCTTGTAGGTCCAGTCTATTTGTGACCACTTCCCTTGATGTTTGCTTTTGTGGCAAAGACTTTATTTCTACTTCATTTATCAAGCTTACTCTACCAGGATATAAAATTCCTGATTGACAGTTTGCTTTTTTTTTTTTTTTTCTCTTTAAGAACTCAGAAAAAAGGCTCTCAATCCATTCTGGCTTGTTAAGTCTCACATTGAGAAGTCCACTGCTACTCTGATAAGGTTTCTCTTATAGGCAACTAGACATCAGATTTTTTCCTACATGTTGACTTTATACAGTTTGATGACTATATTTCTTGGTGAACTATGTCTTGCAATGCACTTTTCTGGTATTTGCTGGGCCTCTTATATTTGAATGTGTAAATCTTTTGCAAGACTAGGGAAATTTTAACGTAGTATTTCCTTAAATAGGTTTTCCAGTCTTGTTACTTTTTCTTCTCTTTTGGAAATACCAAGGATTCATAAGTGTAATCATTACTATGTAGTACATATTGAAGTCTTTGTTCATTTTTTTCTTTTTTTCTGACTCTATTAATTTAAAAGATTTGTTTCAAGCAGTGAGATTCTCTGCTTTGCTTGCTCTAGTCTCTTGTTGAAGCTTTCAACTGTCTTGTTTAATTCCTTCAATAATTTTTTATTTTCTAGCAGTTCTGGCTTTTTTAGAAATAATGATATCCATCTCGTTGGTACACTTGTCATTCATATTCAAAATTAATTTGTTGATTCATCAGTACTGGTTTTCAGATTTGTCTTTTTATTTCCATGAGATTCTTTACAATCAATAATTTAAATTGGTATTTTGATTATTTCTTTTTGGTTAGGATCTATTACCGGAGAATTACTGTTTCTTTGGGGATGCCATAACCCTTTGCTATTAAATACTTCAGCATTATTACACTGATTTCTTTACATATGAGAAAACAGTTGCTTCTTCTTGCTTTTGAATTTACTTTCTTTGGGGGGAAATTTTTTTTTTTCTCTTCAGGATGTGACTATGATGTTATGTAGGGCTGTTTCTCTTTGCTTCTGGGTATGTTCAGTAGCAAAGACTCTGTACAATATTAGTTAAAAATAGCTTTAATGTGGTGGCTTTATAAAATGGCAGTTGTAGTAGCTGTGTACTGGGTGGATGAAGAAGCCACTTCAGAATACTGAGAAGCCAGGGTGGCATGGGTGATGGTGGATGCAGAGGTCACATGAAGCCTGTCTCCTTCCTGAGTGCTGTGCATCTTTTTCAGCAGATTTGCCTTGTGTTTTGGAGGCTGACCTGGTCAGTAGGTGGTACATGCCAGTTAGAGCAGGCTGCCATGATAGCAGTAGGGTTTATATGTGATCTTTGTTAACATCTGTAGAAGCGCTTTCAGTGTCCCAGGTGGTGGGTTGGGCCCTGGAGTGCTCAAGGGCTTGAGTCACCTTCTCTCTAGGATGGGGTGGTAAAGCTGAGTAAAGCCAGATTGGGGAACCCTGCACTCAGGCCCCCCATGGCAGATGTACACACCAGCCCTGAGAGGGGTGGTGGGGGAGTCCTCAGGCCCCTGGTGAAATCTGCTGAGGTCTCCGCTTGGGGAGTGAAGGGCGGTACCAGCACCATGGCTTTGACAGGCAGGAATGAGATCTGCTACCTTTACTCGCCTTTGTCTGACATTCAGAATATTCGGTTAGGTTAGACAATGCTGTTTCCTTTTAGGCTGCAATGCTGTTTACTTATAGGATGAAACTGTATCAGACTTTGTAGTGGCTGTGCATGTTGATATCCTGGCCAGTAGGCAGTGCGTGCAGGTGAGAGCCAGCTGCAGTGGTGGTGTTACAGTTAAGGCTTGACCTTTGTTAACTTGGTGATGTACTTGGGTTTCCCAGGCAATGGGTTGGGCCACGGAATTCTCAGCGGTCTCAGTCCTGTACTTTGCTTCCAAGGTGGGAAATAGGGGGGAAAGCTGGTGGTGTTGGGTAGAGGAGAAAGCAGGGTGGGGCTGAGATGGGCAGGTCTATACCTGGTCCTCCTAATGGCCAGTACAAGTGCCAGCCCTGATGGGGGTTGGAGGACAGTTCTCAGGCCACTGGAGCAATAGTTCAGGGAGAAGTGGAGCAACTCTTTCTGTTCCAACTAACCAGCATGGGGAAAGTGGGGTGGCTCGGGTTCCATAGCCTAGCAGGTGGTAGTGAGACCTGCCTTGCTCTCATGCTCTCAACCTAGCGGGATACCATCCTACGGCCTGCCACTGGCATCGAGCTGAGGCAGCCAGCCAAATCACAAGCAGTTTGTCTTTGGACTGCAATATAACCCCAGGCCATAAAACTGTGGCTCCCAGGTGAAACCCCTCCCAGCCCAATTCCAGGATGGGGAGGTTCCCGAATCCCATAACCTTGGCTGGAGCCAATGCCACACTTGCTTATCAGTTCTGGCCTCGTTCCTGGGACTGTGCATAGTCTGCTAAAAGGTAGGATAAAGAGTGGTGTCTTATGGTTGCCACTTGTGTTTCAGAAAGGGCATGGGATGTTCTTTCCCTGGAGTAGTTCCTTCTCATAGTCTCCTGGCTACTCCCTAAGTTAGATTCAGGACTTGAGAGGGACATAGTACTCTCCTATGGTCTGGATTGTATGATTCCCCAGTGGGAAAGTGGACTGCAGAAAGAGTTTCATTCACCTTTTCCTGTAATGGGGAATCACTCCCAGTTCCTGGCCCACTCTGGTCAAATAGGCTTCCTGTTTTCCTTCTGCTTCCTATTTTTTTCTTGTTGCTTTTCTGTTGACTTCCTCATGTTCCTTCTTGGAAAATCTATTCTAACTGTAATTGTCTACATGCTATTTTGCTCTTTGAAGTATGAGGTGTGCTTGAAATGCTTCTAGTCAGCCATCCCTACCACTTGGTCACAACGGTGTGTTGGAGACCTCTGACATGAATGGCTGAGAGAAGGTCCAGTTCTTCACACCCCTGAGGGCAGCAGGTAAGGAAAGAAGGATAAGGTTCCTGGGCAAAGAAAGACCTGGAGGAACTGGAGACTATCCCACCTTTCCTAGAGTGACAGTTCTGAATTCCAGTGACTGTTACTTGGTGGTAAAATGATGTGTTTGGATAGCCATGGAGGCAAAAACTCACAGCTGAAGGGCTGCTGTCTATGCATCTCCAAGATTTTAACAATAAATTTGGCTTTAATGATTCTTATAATATACCTTAAAATAGAAGGCAGATGGCTTAAAGAGTTTAATATAAAAAAGACATCTTGAAACACTTGATGGAATTCTGAATACAGAATGTTAGTGCTGGTAGCGAGTACCGAATTTCAGTTACTTATTTTCAGATTCTAGCATAATGCTCCTTTGTAAGTATAGACAAATTATTGGATAAATACACAGCACAGTAAAAAAGATTATGCAATGAACTGGATCTACTTCTAATTGAGTGATCCACTCAATTCTACTACTAAGTGAGTGATCTTAGATAAATCACTTAAGTTCTCTGTGCCCTAATTAATTCATAAATAAGTAGACTATATGATTTTATATTTCCTTTCAGCCCTAAAAGCCCAGGAGTATAATTTTTAAAAAGTATTGAAACACAGAAATCTATGTGCCTTAATAAAAGTAAATAACATTCATGACTAGAGAGATTTACTAAAAGACAAATGAGAATAAAACACACAGATCAGTGAACAAAACAAGCACCATTAGGCAATCCTCCTTCCCATAGGAACAAAGAGTTCAAGATGATTCTTGGTGCAGATTTTCACTGAGAGACAATGGACTAAAAACTAGAGAAAATGTAAATTAATGTATTATAATATAAAAAGGTCAAACCTGCAAGTGCCTTACTGAGTCTGTGTTGATTTACAGTAAACATGAATTCTATTTCAAAACTGGCAGTATTTCCAATTTTTCTTTTTCTTTTCTTCTTCTTCTTCTTTTTTTTTTTTTGAGATGGCACTGTCGCCCAGGCTGGAGTGCAATGGCACGATTCAGCTCACTGTAACCTCCGTCTTCCAGGTTCCAGCAATTCTCCTGCCTCAGCCTCCCGAGTAGGTGGGACTACAGGCGCCTGCCACCATGCCAGCTAATTTTTGCATTTTTAGTAGAGACAAGGGTTCACTATGTTGGCCAGGCTGGTCTTGAACTCCTGACCTCAAGTGATCCGTCCACCTCAGCCTCCCAAAGTACTGGGATTACAGGCGTGAGCCATCGTGCCCAGCTATTTCCAATTTTTTCTAGCTAAATATTTCATGACTGACAAATGACAATAATATAGGGAATGCCTGATTTGACAGAGAATCAATTATAAAACGATTTCATCTATATCTGGTGCTTATTTCCAACAACCTATTCAAAAGTCCTACTTAAAATTTTGTTTAACAGGACTCATTTTATTGGTTGATCAAAATCAACCAGGTTTTTTGTTAGACTACAGCACTGGACAAACTCAAGACTTGGCCCACTAACTCACTTCATTAGGTATTTTCTCATGGATGCCAGATACTGAAGAGGCAGCCAACCATATAGATGTGACCTTGTCTAGTTTCCCCAATGAGTCTTCAAAAAAAAAAATCTTTATGTTTCTGAGGTTTCTGATTATAAAAGCAATGCTATGGTGTGGTAAATTTGAAAAGAAGCACAAGAAAAAATAAGTACCTGCTACTAAAACAGAGAGGGAATTATTCTGGTTCTTTAAGACTCCTGCTCTCAAGGAACTTGTATTTGCTTTTTTTCTATTAACGGAAGGGTTACCAGTCACTTTTAATAGTCAAAATTTGTATTCATATTTAAAAGACTAGAGAAATTTGTCTTTTAAAATAAGTCATAAGCACTGCTCCCAAATACTTCAGTTAAAAGAAGTCCTGCTGAGGAAAAGACCTCTTCTTTAGGTATGACATTTTTGGTATTTTTTTTTTTTTAGCAATGTTAATGACTAATACATAGTATATTTAAATGATTATACTATTGAGAGGTGACAGCGTGCTGGCAGTCCTCACAGCCCTCGCTTGCTCTCAGCACCTCCTCTGCCTGGGCTCCCACTTTGGCCGTACTTGAGGAGCCCTTCAGCCCTATGTCCAAGATCTTAATGCTGCAATCACTAGACACAGACAATTTAAACGTTGTAAAAACTTACTTTGTGGGATTAAAAAGCTGTTACCAAGAAATTAAAGATAAATAAAGCCTAATTTAATGGAACACCCCATACTTTCCTCTCTCATTTACACTCTTATTTTGACAACTTCTCCGTAATGCACCAGAAGTATATGCTTCATTTCACAGATGCAGAAATTATGACACTAAGCCAGGCCTTTAAAGCAAATCTTTTTATATCAAGTCTAATTCTCATGCCACTGTGCCACATCGCCTTGTTACCTGACTTACATTTGCTATGTTTGCACATTGGTATGAAGAAAACACTTAGATCAATCTGAACTAAGCTTCTTCTCTGCAAAAACAGAGACGGGGTCTTGATATTTAGATTTAGTGACAAATATGTGAAGAAAAATAGACGATAGGCTGGGGGCGGTAGCTCACGCCTGTAATCCCAGCACTTTGGGAGGCTGAGGCGGGTGGATCACGAGGTCAGGAGATGAAGACCATGCTGGCTAACAAGGTGAAACCCCGTCTCTACTAAAAATACAAAAAATTAGCCAGGAATGGTGGCGGGCGCCTGTAGTCCCAGGTACTCTGGAGGCTGAGGCAGGAGAATGGCGTGAACCCAGGGGGCGGAGCTTGCAGTGAGCCGAGATCGCACCACTGCACTCCAGCCTGGATGACAGAGCGAGACTCCATCTCAAAAAAAAAAGAGACAATAATGCTGATTTATATTTTCCTTTTATATTCTTTCCGTATAGTATATATTCTTTATTTCTGTCTTTGCTTATGAAGAAAGTGAGAAAAGGTGATGGGCTTATGTAGAGAGATGTATCTTGCTACCAAAGACTTATTATGAGCTTTAAAAACTCACATACACAACATTGAAAACAGTTACCCAATATAGCACTTAATCTATCAGCCTTAGGGGGGAAAAGGTTGCAAAGTGAGGATCCGGAAAGATTTGGACATTTTAAGTTACTTCCGGAAATCTACAGAAATACACTTCCTGCTGAAACCTTTTAATCCTCCCTTTTAGTGTTAGCCATTTTCTTTTTCCTTTTATTTCCTTAGAGACAAGGTCTGACTCTGTCACCCAGGCTGGAATGCAGTGGTGTAATTATAGCTCACTGCAGCCTTCAATTCCTAGGCTCAGGTGATCCTCCTACTCAGGCCTCCTGAGTCCCTAGGAACACAGGTGCCTGCCACCATGCCTGGCTAATTTATTTCATTTTATTTTTTGTAGAGATGGGGTCCCACTATGTTGCCCAGGCTGGTGTTGAACTTCTGGGCTCAAGTGATCCTCTCACCTTGGCCTCTGAAAGTGCTAGGATTACAGACTTGAGCCACCACACCTGGCCTGTTAATAATTTTCCGTTGCAAGTTTTCAACTGATTCTACCCTTACTTAAATTAGTCTGATCGGACTAAGTCACTGGGATTTGGAAAAAAAAAATTCTTAGATTGATACATTTTAACTTACATGTTTTAAATGTTCTGAAACATAAATAAACAACCCTTTGGGATTTATAGTTGTAGAAAAAGAATAGAAATGAAATAGCCATCAGTTCTTTCCGTATCAATAATCTGTGTAGTCTACAGTCGGTAGGAGGTTACCTAGCTGTCACAGATCTCTTGGAATTAAAGTCATCGCTCATGTTGTGCCAGTCTAGCTTAATTACAGGTTTCTTAGTTAAGCTTAAGAGGGAAAGGGAAAGGAATGGTATTTCAATCTTCAGAAGGAATTTTCAGGGTAGGTATAACCACCTTCATTTTATAAATTTACAGGTACATAGACAGGTCAAGTAAGTGACAAAAGGAAACAGAAGTATAAGTGGCAGCACTGGCATTTCAACTGAGATCCAAAGTACATGATCTTTATTTAATTCTCTTATCCAAAGGTGCATTTAACAATAAACTTTTCAGTTAACTGTATGTGAGAGATGACGTAGTGCATGTGTTTCACAATGCACGCTGACCTGAATTCCTTTGAGCATAAATGTTGTCTGTACATTTGTTTCTCCATTTGTGTTTTATTTCTCCTTTTATTAATATATGTGACTGAAAGTATATATATAACAAGACAGGCCTGAATCTAAGTCTTGTCCTATTCACAGACTATTAGGAGAAGGATTTTCCATCTTGTCATCTGGTGATTCCACACACGATAACCACTAGTCTGATTCATACAGATGGTTAAGATTTACCAAAAAAAAGTGCAAAATCTTCCATGTCACTCTTCTTTTGAAGAGGACTGCTACTATTCCTTAGGAGTCATAAAACTTTGTGGCCACTATTCTTGTAAAAAAGCTGATTGATATTAAATAAAATGGATTTAAGTATATTATCTCAGAATGGCACTCTCCTTTCCCAGCACTGCCTTAAGAAATACAAAAGTTAACTGTATATGTTGATGATTCAACAGCTAAAAAGCTTACTTTACTTTATCACAGTATAATTTTATGTAAAAACAAATTTAGAAGTGTACTCAGTGCACTTCATGGACATATGGAAAATGATGAAATTTATCTTGGTACCACTAGTGTATAAGTAATGAAATTTACCAACATAATTTGTCTGGAAAGACAAGTATATACACTCATATATCATTTACTACTCTCTCTCTGTAATTAATGATGTGCTGTCTTATACATATAAACTGCTTGGAAAATGATACTTATGACCCACTGTCAGTAAGAATATTTTCTGGGTTGCTTTCACAGTGGTGACTAGTACTTTGTAGTGAGTAAATTTCATTTCTGTCTTGTTCACTTCTGTAATCAGGGTAGTTATTGAGCTGAACAAAGACATTTTTCAAGAACACAGCACAAAAGATACAAGTTAAAAAATGTGAGGGTATGGGCAGAGAGACAAGGAGGGCAGACCTACAACTTCCCTCATGTGTTCTAATATGAGCTTTAGAAACAAATTAACTAAGAAAAAAAACCTAAGAGAATGAAACAGAAGACAAAAATAACAAATAGAAATTTACAGGAGTCACAATTCAACTCCACATGGTAACATTTCAAACTACTATGGATAAAGTACAAATCCAGTATCTTAGAAAGAACATAAGAGGTTACCTGCAATGAACAATCAGATTATCACCAGACTTGACTAGCAAAAGTGAATATCAGAATTTAACAGAGAAGTGTTTTTAAGGATATGAAGTAAAATAATTTTGAATCTAGAATTCTATACTCAGCCAAGTTAGCAATTCAGGCTGGGGGAAAATAAAGAAAATTTCAGACATGTAAAGTTTCAGAAAGAGGCTGCAGACTCTCCCAGATAGAATTACTTGATAATGTGTCCAGAAAAATGGAAACTGAAGAAAGAACAAAAGATATAATATTCAGTGGTGATCAGAGAAATCAGTAAACCCTGTAGCTAAGTGTAAATAACTGTAGCAACAAAACGTGAAAATCATTCCATCAATTGATAATACCACTGAACGAGAAGTAATCGGGGTCGGGAGAGAGAGAACTAGAAGTGTCCTAAAATACTTGCCTTACATATTGACTCCAGTAGTTCATTAAAGGTAAAATTTAAGTATAGGTATTAATATTTAATAACCACAATGACAAAAATAAAAATTTTAATATGTTAACCACCTTAGGAACTATAAAAGGAAGAAAATGTTGAATAATCCAAAAAAAGGCAGAAAAGAAAATAAAAATAAAGATTTAAATAACATAATTAACTGGAATGATATTTCAGATAACCATTGACTGAGCTATTAAACCACCAGAAACATTTCAACAAGTTTCTAAAAGTATTGCACAAGCCACATTTATATTTGCAATGCCATATTAAAAGCATAAAAAATGAAGAGATAGACTAAAATCCAAAAAACCACCATAAAAACAACTTTGGGCCCAAACATATTTATGTGAACCCTTTAAGATACCTTTCTAAATAATTCTGTGTATATGCAAGATTTTAAATAAAAAAGAACAATGAAACCACTTATTATCAAAATATATGACCTGAAGTCAAGCTCACAATATTTAGTCTTAAAAGCACTTAATAGAAAACAAGAGTAAACTTCTATTAGTTTAGTATTCAATGAAATAATGTAAAAAATTAAAAAAAAAACTTGAAGAAAGCAAAACAGGAAAAAATGTAAAAATAAACATAAAATATTCATAGAAGAAATTCATCTTACTGAAAATAAAGGTGATTCTTTGAACCTCTACAATACTAACAAAAACACAGACATGACTGAAATAATAAAACGGAGAAAGAGGCCGGGCGCGGTGGCTCACGCCTGTAATCCCAGCACTTTGGGAGGCCTAGGCGGGTGGATCACAAGGTCAGGAGATCGAGACCATCCTGGCTAACATGGTGAAATCCCATCTCTACTAAAAATACAAAAAATTAGCCGGGCATGGTGGCGGGCGCCTCTAGTCCCAGCTACTCAGGAGGCTGAGGCAGGAGAACGGCGTGAACCCGGGAGGCAGAGCTTGCAGTATGTGGAGATTGCGCCACTGCACTCCAGCCTGGGTGACAGAGCAAAACTCCGTCTCAAAAAAAAAAAAAAAAAAAAAAAAAAAAAACGGAGAAAGAAGCCTTTATCAAGTCTGATGAAAGAAATTAAAAAGGCAAATAATACTAAAAACATGAAGGAGTCGTATCTAAAGACTTAGAGAAAATTTAAAAATCATAAAGGAATGCAACTTTATACCTATAAATTTAGTGTGTAAGGGTATTTATTAAAACTTTAATTAAAAATTGATTGCTGATAATGTGTAATATATCTTTTAATATATCTCCATTGGAATTAATGGTAGAATTAACTCTCACTGTCTACAGAGGTTTCTTCCCTCAGAACTAATTAGTGGAGTTCTTTTTCCATTTTATTATGGGACTAAGAATTTTAGTATGGGATTCATTATAGCAGATGAATAGGCAATATTATTGAAAGAAAATTTTTTGATCTTTACAAATTCCAACTAATGAAGTTGGAGTTGGTTGAGTGAAGGCAAGCGAACGTAGCAATATGAGGTCTTCTTCAATAATGACACAGAATGAGTTTACATCCAGGACAATATTTCTTTCTTCTTTTAACATTTATAATTTCAACTTTTATTTTAGATTCACAGGGTATATGTGCAAATTTATTACATGGGTATACTGCATGGTACTGAGTTTTGGGGTGTGACTGATCCCATCACCCAGGTACTGAGCACAGTACCCCATTGTTAGTTTTTCAACTCTTGATCTCCTTCCTCTCTTCCCTCTCTAGTAGTTCCCAGTGTCTACTGTTGGAATTTTTATGTCCATGAGTATGCACTGTTTAGCTCCCACTTATTAGTGAGAACATGCAGTGTTTGATTTTCTGTGCCTGTGTTAATTCGCCTAGGAAAATGGCCTCTAGCTGCATCCATGTTGCTGTAAAGTACATGATTTTGTTATTTCTCATGGCTGCATGGTATTCCATAATGTATTTATACCATATTTTAAAAAATCCAATCCACTATTGATGGGCACCTACATTGATTCCATATCTCTGCTATTGTGAATAGTGCCGCAATGAACATACACGTGCATGTGTCTTTTCGGTAAAACAGTTTATTTTCCTTTGGGTATATACCCAGTAATGGGATTGCTGGGTCGAATGGCAGTTCTAAGTTCTTGGAAAAATCTCCAAACTGCTTTCCACAGTGGCTCGACTAATCTAGATTCCCACTAACAGTGTATAAGTGTTCCCTTTTATCTGCAGCCTCACCGGCATCTCTACTTCATAGAGAACGTGAAAAAGAATAGTGGCTAGAAATGTTCCCACAGATGTAGGCCTTTGTACTATCAACCTCCATGCCTTTTGAAAAAGTAGAACATCTGCAACATAATGTAACCTTTCATTGATGAGTCAGGGTCAATAATGTGAAGCTAAATTATTGTATAAAGCTGAGGATGCTGATGAAAATGCAGATTATAACTGAATTAGGATGCATGATATTGGATAAGCTGTCTGATTTATCTCAGACTATTTTCATATTTGTAAAATAAAGATAATAACCAACCCATGAAAAACGATGGTAAAGTAATACAAACTAAAATTACTTTATAAACAAAAGCCATTTTCTTCCCAGCATTAACTAACAGGCAATATATTACATTTGGCCATTTACAGATTTACTTGCCATTTAATAGGCTTGGGATGTTCTCATGGCTGATACTCAGACTTCTGAGTGTGCTTCTTTGCTGCCAAAAACTTTTTTTATTTTTAGCTACTTCTAGGCTTGGAACTCCGATAAGAGCCCAGTGGAAGCTCAGGTTTTGCTATCCAGTTTCATTCGTGACTTGCAATGTATTAATAACAATAAAACTCTTCTTAAATATGTCAACATTTTGACTGTATCATACAAAGGTGATAGGAATAGTCAGAATGAAGACTAGGAGTCACATTCTTAAACACAGTCACTAGATTAAATTCTCAAAAGAAGGAAGAAATATTCACTCTATGTGCTCAACATAATGATACATTATTAACATAACTTCTTTTTTTTTTTTTTTTTTGAGATGGCGTCTTGCTCTGTCGCCCAGGCTGGAGTGCAATGCTGTGATCTTGGCTCACTGCAACCTCTGCCTCCTGGGTTCAAGTGATTCTCCTGCTTCAGCCTCCCAAGTAGCTGGGACTACAGGCGCCCACCACCACGCCCAGCTAATTTTTATATTTTTAATAGAGATGGGGTTTCACCATGTTGGCCAGGATGGTCTCCTCGATCTCTTGACCTCATGATCCGCGTGCCTCGGCCTCCCAAAGTGCTGGGATTACAGGCGTGAGCCACCACGCCTGGCCTATTAACATAACTTCTATAGTACCAGTGTTAATCAAACATTTACTTATTACTAGGAAATCACAATCTGTCTTTGAATTTTAGAAAATGATCTAACAAGGTCTAGAACATTAATTTTCATATGATTTGTCAAATTTTCCTACAGAAATGTAACAGCAACTCTAAATAATATTTATATTTAATTTAAAGTTAGGGCTACTTCTCATCTGTGATGGAATGAACACTAAGATGAACTGAAATCTATCCTTCAATTCTCATCCATCTTAAAAGAACAGAAAAGAAATAACTGAGTTTTACACAACTGCTTTTATAATGGTATTAAGACTTTCATAAAAAAGTACAACTGCCTTTAGTACTTATTTTTCCTGCAGAGCTAAAATGTTCACTGCTGAGTTAGCAGTTGATACCATCTGTATTGCTGAATGGCAAAGGAATTGTTAACAAAAACACTGTTGATAAAGAACTTTTATAGTAAAATATAAATTATTTACATATTCTAAGGATGAGTAATCACAGGATTAAATGAATTTAAAATGTAATTTCTTATTCTTCTGAATAGAGCCAATGTCTAAAATAAAGTAATTTTACAGTTCTTTGTTTTTATGTGCCACTATGCTTTTAAAAAGAACAACACTCACGTTCCATTCAGAAGTTTGTTTTGGCTATATCAGATCTGTTTCACACACATAGGTTACAAGTAAACTCTGCATAACAGAGCACCCTGATCATGTCCTTGGAAAACTCTCCAAACAGGATGCAGAGACATTATAATTTCAAACCAACGTGCTTAGGAAAGTTAACGTACAGACTCTCCCATACTTTTCTATAAATAGTTTAGGGACACTCACTAATGATAAATATTTCTCTAAATATCAGATTTCAGGACAACACTGTTTGGAGTTAAAAGCAGTAATACGTCTGACTTCTTCTGGAGAAGTTGTTTTGTATCATGAGCCTGGTTCTGAATATGGAGCTGAATCATTAGTAATTCTAGCGTCAACAAATAAATTAATGCTCAGAAAAATAATGTAAAAGGAAAGAAAGAATAAGGGCTAAGGAATATAATTAATTGTGAGATGAATAAAACGATAAGGTATTAAAATTTAGGAATACTCATATTTATGGCATCTGTCAGGATTCAAGCTAATTATGAGTTTAACTACATTGGTTTATCTACTGATACTTCTATTTCAAAAATTAAAGTAATTGCAGCATTAAAAGTCACTGCTAATGCAATAAATGTACTCACAGTTGACATATACAAAAAGTATCAACAGTCATGGTGGAATTTCCAGTGTCATTACAAAACAAGCAACAATAATGTAACAACATTTACTAAATGTAAAATCAGTATGCCAAGAGTATCTTTCTAAGTGGTTCATTTACTTTTACCTTATTTAATCTTTACTATAACTCCATGACAGAGGTACAATTATTACACTTATTTCACACATGAAGAGTCTGAGTAATATGACCAAAGTCACACAGATGGTAAGTGGTTGGACTGAGATCAAAGCCTAGAGTCAGTTCTTAACCACCAGTGTCTTCGGTCTCAAAATATAATTGGGTCATTTGCCTATAACAACTTTTGAACTTTTAAAGATTAAGTTTTATTGAGTGAAATATAACTGTTTGCTTTAGACTAAATGTTCATTTTTGTTTTACAGATAATGAATCTGTGAAAAAAAAAAAAACAACTAAGCAGTTGTGAGAAGTGCAGGGACCAAATTTAAAAACAGGAACTGAGCTCACCATGTTCCTTATTTAAGAGATTATAACATATTTAGGTACTATTCAGTTGCAAAGTACCATGGTTTGCAAATATTTCTCACATAGTTTACAAATATTTCTCACTTGATTTAATTTCCTTACCTTCCAGATGTGTTCTTTAGTATGACCAGAGCGTCTGGATAGCCATCCATATTGTAGTCTCCAATATGAAGGGTAATTGGAATTGGTATTTCAGTTGGTTGCTGTTCATCCACAAATGGCACAAAGCCCCAGAGTGTGCCCTTATTGCTGAAATCTTGTAGGACTGGAACCCACTATGGATTAAGAGAAAAAGATCAGACTTTATAGTTATTTTATAAAAAAATTTATAATTTGCAAAACAAACGATCCATTAAGTTTTCAAGATAAGCATTATTTTACTTAACTTTTTTATCTCTACAATATGGTAGGGGATCATAATTTACTCTGATGAATAGGTGACACTCTGGGAAAAAAAAAAGTACTTTCCCTTAGAATTTATCCTAGTCATTTTTGTCTGAACTGGCACAGAAAGCCTTAGAAAGTTTTTCACAATACCACATGAATCTTAGGATTGAACTGATATTAATACACATCTAGTCAGATTACATAATTTAAAACTGTGTCACATAGAAACACTCGAACGTTTAAAAAAAACTAGAGCAAGCTGTAATATCATCTAATACTGATGTGCTTTCGGGAGGACCAACTTAGGAGGAAAGTTAGAACATGACAGAGACCCCGTTGTTCATTCTACTGCTGTGTCTCTTACACATGCAGATGACTTCAGTCATTGCCTTCCAGCCGAGCAGCTCCTGAGTCTTTCCAAACAACACCAGGCCTGACAGGCTTCATCAGTAACTGACAGGCACTTCTCAGCCAAGAAGACTGAGCTCTGTCACTAAAACGGCCGGAAGCTACATTTTTAGTAAATTCCTTTATTTCTATATTAATGGCCATGAAGAGAACAGAAAGAGAACAGAAAGCTCATTTGAAAATGAGCTTTGGGAATCCCTTTCTCTTCAGATTAACATAAATCTTCACTTTTTAATAACTAGAAATTTGAAGAGCGGAAATCATGCCATTAAAGTTATAGTTGTGCCCACAATTTGCTGCATATGAATGCTGCCACATAACCTGAAGATGTCTGAGCAGAAGCAGGCACAGCTGACTTGAGATGGCAGGAGGCCAAACATACCTAGAGATTCCCTTCCTTTCCTTCTAAGCAGGTGACTCATTTATATGGCTGCAAGTCAAATTATATTAAAGATGGTTTCTTGAAAAGGGGTTAATAAACAGGGTATCTCCAACAATTTATGTATTTTCCAAAGAAAGTATAATTTACCAGGGAAAAAGGAAACTTGGTAAAGACATGTTTACAGAAAATGAGTTTTTTTAAAAAAAAAGGTATGCATCTTTAATAATTTTTCAATCTTTAAGCAAAACAGTATTATTTTATATATCATTAAAATGTTTCAATGGTTTCACTTGGTTTTTAAAAAATTGTTGTGTTTTATTTCAGCAGATGAGAATTTCACAAAATGCCACGTTATCACAAATTTCTGAAGAGGCTGACAGGTTATTAATCAGGATAAACCACATTGAATAAAGTATTCCTGTTAAGGTAAATGTATTAAGGCCTAAAAAGTAAAAAGATTTTTCAGTATCAATATGACACTGATAATAGTCACCAAAGAACTGTGACATTTATCTTCCCAGAGAGAGATGACTGTATAATTTGAAAATATTCTTACAGTAGTCTGTCGATAGGCAATAATTACTAGGATTACTAATAATTATGAACCAATGATAGTTACTTGACCTAAAGTTTTAAGTGATTCAAAACCTTAAAAAAAGTTCAAGATAAAACTTACAGGTATAACAGTTAAATGTTTTCATTTATTTTATTTTTAAGGCTAATAAAGTGAAGCTTTGGGGGTAGAGAAGCAACAAGGAAATCTGTAACTGGCTGTGTTCACTTAACACCACTGTACTCACACTGGCCAGTTAAATGCTTTTAGAATGCTGACTGTGTGAAGATTTGTTTTCACATAAAATATGATGCTCCTTTTCCATAAGGGCTATAAAAGTCAATACGTTATTCTATCATTTATTACCCTCCAAAAGAAACATTAATTCTAATATGATTGTTATAACCTATCATTCCCATATTAATCCTCCACTGTGACTGTCAGATTCTAAATTGCTTACCTACAAGCTACAGGTAAAAGTCAGCATGAGATAATAAAATAGGTTTAAATAACACAAATAAAAACAAGATCAGTTTCGAAAATAGATACAACGTTCTTCTAAGTAACCTTTTATTATAGTGTGTTTTGCCATATTCCTGGCATATAAAAAGCTAAAAGATCATTTAATTATAGTATCCAGAATGGGTTTTCTTCACTAGAAATAATTATAACAATGATTTTCCCGCAACAAATTAAAAAATAATATATTTAAATGCATTTCATTAAGTTAAAATGAGGAAGTCGGTAACTTAATTTTGGGGTTCCCTCTGTTCTGATTCTACAGGTATCTTTTCTAACCTTAGAAGATTTTTTTCCAAGCACATAA
This sequence comes from Homo sapiens, assembly GCF_000001405.40. Lineage (NCBI taxonomy): Eukaryota > Metazoa > Chordata > Mammalia > Primates > Hominidae > Homo > Homo sapiens. The sequence continues at coordinate 47,313,694 of NC_000016.10, forward strand.
AAAAAAATGTTTACATTAAAAACAACTTGATATACCTGCTTCATCCCAGATCTCACTAAGTAGATGGTACTCTTTTGGCAATTTTTATCTTCACAGCCTGGCAGTAAATGATCCATGTGTCCATCTCCATCTGCCAAAAGAAACTTCAAGAGTCCATTAATAGTCACAAAATAAAGTGTTCTTGTATGGTATATTAAATTTACTATTTGTTCAAAGTCTACATCAATCTGGATAAAACAGAAGAATTTGACACATGGCTTCAAAATGAATATGATTTTATTTAAAAAATTACTCTGGCCCTTGCAACTGATTATCTGGACTGTGTCTTGTTCTAAATTGCACACTTCTGTGTGGTTAAGCATTTCTATAGGAGGGAGGGGGGCAAGGGCTGAAAAACTACTGGGTCCTATGCTATCTGGGTGATGGGATCAGTCATACCCCAACCCATGTAACAAACCTACACATGGACTCCTTGAATTTAAAATAAAAGTTGAAATTATAAAAAGAAAAATGTATAGTGTTGGTAAGAGACCCCATTTCAGCCTGTAATGTTAAAACCATCAATTTTTAAAAATGTAGCTTTGACTTATTTACATAATTATCACTGCTGCCATAGAAGAGAAAAATAAGCATATCAACAGTAGTCCATTATTATACAGAGTATTTTAAACGTGAGACTCTTAACTTTATACATATGTAAGAGACTTTATTCTGGATGAACTTCGATCCAAGAGTTATAAAGCCCTCAACACTCTGGCTTCTTAAAAGTACCAATAAATTTTTATCAATGAAAAAGCAAATGAAAGGAATATAGATATCCTTTCCAAGTGACTGTTTTTTACAAAGCACAGTATTCTGCTAAGGCCTACAGAGGTGAGGTTATGGAGGAAGTTAGTAAGTTACTGACATTACTGAGGTGTCAGCTCTCTAGTGCTCTCTCCCATCTAATGTCCCTGCTACCTGATGGGGTTTACAGATTTTGATGTCGCAGAGTTAAGTCTCTTTATGTGGACATTCACAATGCACAGTCACTTAGTTTTTTAATTTGGGGATTGATTTTGTATTGCTTTAATCACTGATTTACTGCTGTTGTTTATTGTATTATTTAACTCGTGCCTGAGGTAGTATATACACTTGGAAGAAAATAAAAGGATTATTAATACAGAAATATGCTTCATTGTATATTTAGTGAAGCATACTTACGTACTGAGAGCTATGTAGTTATCAAAAGCCTATCAAGTCTCCAATAATGTATTCAAAAGGAAAAAAAAAGAATTTTAGGCTGAGTGGAATTAAAATCTAGCCAATGGAAACTGACTTCAGCATGGAAAATTAAAAATGCACAACAAAGTAAAAAATGAATTTCTTTCATTTAATTTCATGATTTGCTTACTTAGGATCCTCATGATTAATAACATTATGATAAACCCTGCCTTAGAGGAGTGCAACATTAAATACAATAGTTGAATTAATAATAAAATATGTAGAGAACATCTGTAATTTGCAACATATAGATTTGGACTACTGAGAATTAAATAGATTGAGAGACAAAGATGCAATTCTAGGCAGGAATACTTGAAAAGGAGAAGGTTTTCCAAGGAGATAAACATATATCACAGCTTAAAAAAAAAAAAAGTTTGAGAGCTAGCCAAGTAAGAAAGAACTAATACAAAAATGTGATTTACAAACTGGCTCAAGTGATAACATAGACTTCATTAAAACCAAACCATTCTACTGTAAATTAATGGGAGAACAATTTGAAGAGCATTACCACGGCTTTTCCCTTCATTTTTACCCCAATGACAAAATGCTCATATTAGAATCTTATTCATACTTTACTTCTCCCCTAGTTTCTCTTTCTTCCAAGTAGTTTCATATATCTCATGCCTCTTTTGACAATGAATTGGCTGGTATTTTTTCAAGTGCTCTAACAACTACCTAGTAAACATATATCTAACTCGTGGAAACAGCATAATCATGCACTTTAGTATAAATTATCAGTAATATTTTATAGATATGGTCACAGAAAAATAAACTCAATCACAAAATGTGTTTCTTGTGCTATTCTAAATGCCATATATATATACACATATATATAATTTATTATTTTTTTTTGAGGCAGAGTCTTGCTCTGCCGCTCAGGCTGGAGTGCAGTGGCACGATCTCAGCTCATTGCAACCTCCCACTCCTGGGTTCAAGCAATTCTCATGCCTCAGCCTACTGAGTAGCTGGGATTACGGGCATCTGCCACCATGCCAGGCTAACTTTTGTATATTCAGTAGAGTCCGAGTTTCGCCATGTTGTCCAGGCTGGTCTCAAAATCCTGGCCTCAAGAGATCCGCCTGCCCTGGCCTCCTAAAGTGCTGGGATTACAGGCATGAGCCACTGCCTCTGGCCTTATTTTTAAAAAATATTTAGGTGAAATGACAGAAATGCTTTTTGAGAGTACAATTTCAAGAGTATAATTTCAAAGGAAATTTGCTCTTTAAAAGGAGAGAAGCTTTTAAATTGACATATTTCAGTTTTTTGTACTTTTTTAAAAGCTTTTTTATTTGGTAGTAATTTATACTTAAAGTTGCAATAAGAGAAATAGTACAAGAAACATCTGTTAAGCCTTTAACCACATTTGCCTATTGTTAACATTTTACCCCTTTTACAAAATTATTTGTGTTCTTTCCCTCTTTGAAACAAATTTTTTTCGGAACCATGTATATAAGTACATACATTAAGGTCCTTTGTCCCTAAATGTATCACTGTGCATTCCCTAGGAGTAGGGATATTCTCTTACATAACTACAATACAGTTAACAATTCACAGTTTACACACAAACAATGCATTTATCCAATGTGCTATCTATATTTCAGTTTTGTCCACTGACCTCTTGTTCCGTACAGCATTTTTGTCCCTGCAGCACAGGATACAGTGTAGGACTAGAAATTGCATAAAGCTGTTACTTAATAGCCTCCTTTCATTTGGAATGTTTCCACAGCCTTTCTTTGCCTTTAATTTGCATATCTTTTAAATCTCACACTACAGGAATATTTTATGTTTTAATATATTATTATGCCTGGGGAAGAAAGTACTTTTAACATGGGAAAAATCAGAGGCACAAGGCTAGGAGCTAGAATTACTTTAAGCAAATTCTCAGAGAAATAATGTCTCTTTGTGAGTAGATTACAAAGAAGGGCATGCTGATGGAGATGCTAGCCTGTGAACTTGGCACAGTACTTAAAGAAGAACCAGGAATTTATAACTTTGGATTGTCTTTTCTTTGGGACTTCAGTAAATACGTATCTCAGGTTTTCTTGAAGGCCAAAATTCTTTCTCAAAAACTCAAGAGAAACTGCAACAGATGGAATAGCATTTTGATTTACTAATATTTACAAAAACCAGTGTAAAAATCAGCCTTTTTCAGGACTGATCATCCTGAACTAACAAACACATGCTAACTTCCCTTTGATGGTAACTCTAGCCAAATTACAAATGAAATTCTTCTCTAAAACATATAAATACTTTATTGAAATAGAATTAAGGGTTTAAAACTGATTTAGAGAAACTAAAACTGATTTAGAGAAAATTTTTAATTTTAAAAGCAAAACTAAAGTGTTATTGTTCTTGTCATAAAAATGGATTACAATGAATTTTTATATATAATTTTTGTTTTTAATTAAGCAGAGAACAATAAAAGATACACATAAAAAAGTTCACATATATCACTTATTCTCTTAAACATTCTTAATATTTTCATTCTAATTAAGTTAACTGACCTGTGGAATTGTTTAAGCAAATTAGAACTCATTGTTCTGGCCCCAGATTACCTTTCCAACTTTGTTAACCACAATTTCTCTAAAGCAGTGGTTCTGCAGCCTCTGAATCGGCTGGGAAGTTGTTGGACATGAGAATTCTTAGGCTCCTGCCCAGATCTAACAAATCACAACCTCAGGAGGTGGGGCCCAGCACCTTGTATGTTCGTAAGTTCTCCGGCTGACTGGATGCTGACACTTGCTCTCAGGAATCTACACTGGTCCCCCATTGATGCCAGGGGGTGCAATGGGCATCCTACTTCTAATGTCTTGATCATGTTTCTTCATTTAGAATAAACTTCTTTTCTTGCTAATCAAATTATATTACCCCTTTAGAACTCTCTGTATCCCTTCCTTTTGAACACTGCTCCAGCCTCTTGGGACTCCAGGACATCTTCTACATAATCTCATGTCTTTTAGACACGTCAGCTCACTACGGTAATAAAACACATACCACTACATTAAGAAACTTTTTTCTGTGAATGTCTTTACACTTGGTAACAGTATGTGGAGATTTTAACGTAATGGAAAGAAGATAAAATTAGGAACAGTTAGATTTGCATTTTTAACCTAGCTTAGCTGCTAATAATGAGTAATCAGGCACGCAATCTTAAGAAACCAAAAAAAAAAGTCATTTTACTCCATTCCCTGCTCCCCTCCAGTGGCAACCACCATAGCAGTTTCTTGTCTAACCTTCCAAGACAATCTATGCAAATACATATACTACATATAATTTTGCACAAATAGTAGTGTACTCCACACATTTTCTGGCATCCTAAATTTCTGACTTAATAATCTTTGAGATGGTTTCATAATGGTAAATCTGTATTTGTGTCATATAGAGAATATAGTATTACATTGTATGAAGGTATCTCAGTAACTGATTCTCTATTGATATGCAAATGCTGGGTTGTTTCCAATCTTTTGATAATCCAAACAATCCAACAATGAATAATTTTGTATAATCTCACCTTTGTGAGATTATATCTGTAGTATAAATTCCTAAAATGAAAATTATGGTTTCAATTGTTACATTAAATTAAAATTTATATTTTACGCTCCATAGAAGAATAGTTCTCAAACTTTTAAATACTCTGAAAAACTGAAGACCCCAAAGAGCTTTGTTTATGTGACTTATATCTATGCTTATTTACTGTATTAAAAATTAAGACAGAAATAGTTCAATATTTTTATTAAGTTAAAATAACCATAAATATATTACATGTAAACACAAATAACAATTTCATGAAAAATAACTTTTACAAAACAAAAAGTTTTTGAAAAAAGAGTAGAATTGCCTGGCTTTAAAATAAAATTATATTTTAACACTGATTTTATATGCAATCTGTTGTAATATGTTGTTTTGGTTGACAAATACAAAAAATGCAGTTGGTAGAAGTATTAAAATAGCCTTTTCAGACAACCTTGGGTATTATCCCATCTATCGTCAAACTCAACAAGTAATTTTTTTTAACGGTTATTTGCAATGAGGAATCTAAAGCCATATCAATGAATTTTCCCTACTCTGTTAATTAAAACCATTGGTCTATCTTGCACTTTGAATGAATGCTTCATATCCATCTATGCATTCATGTAAAATGCATGACTTTGTGAAATCACACATTGATCATTTGAAAAATATTGGTTATGTGGACCTTCTAAATGTTGATACACTTCATTATATCATATCAAAAATTCACATTTGTTGCTATCACTACAATCTCATCACAAAAGTCTTTAGATGTTGGGAAGCTGTCAGCTCATTGCAGATAAAAGTTTTCCAAAATTCAAATTTTTGCTTGAAAGCTCAAATTTTATCACTGCTACTGAATCCTGTCAGTTGTTTTCTTGATGTGACAAGCTCACTTCGTTCATTTTAGAGAAAATGTCCATCAACTACCGAAGCTGGAATAACAGTAGCTTGTCTGTCAAGTTGTTCTTTCAAGTAAGAAATGGTATTTTAAGAAGTAGCTAGTTTAGCTTGCAACTTAATCTCACCACTGCTTTTCGTCAACACAACCAACATACTTGGTACGCAGATGTGTTTTACGCATATTTTCCAACACAGACTATTATAAAGCTGTATACTCAAGGGTTGAGACTTACTAAAATTATTGTTTTTTTTGCAGAAAGAATTACTAAGTGAAACTGACCACGTTTCTTGTTCCCTTCCTCCCCCTCCTTCATTTTAAAATTGTGAATATATGGTGATGAAGACCACAATGAATACTAGTGAAGTTTGGTGCTACTACTTTGATTTGTGCTACACTGGAAGCAGCTTTATCCACCATTGCTTTGCTTTGTCCTTGTAAATGTCAACATGTGAAAAAGTCAAAAAATATCTTAGTATTAGTGTAAAAACAATTTTCACCTTGTGTAATCCTTGAAAGAGATTCAGGGAGCCACCCCTCCAGAGGCCCAAATATATATACATATCTTTTTTGAGACAGAGTCTCACTCTGTCACCCAGGCTGGAGTGCAGTGGCGCCATCTCCGCTCACTGCAACTTTCGCCTCCTGTGTTCAAGCCATTCTCCTGCCTTGGCTTCCCAAGTACCCAGGATTATGGGCGTGTGCCACCACGCCCAGCAGAGGCCCATATTTTGGATCACACATTCAGAGTCACTACAAGAGAGGTTACACCAATACCTCAATTATCAAATGTTTTAACTTTTTGCCAGTCTGATAAGTGAAAATGATATCTCACTGTGGTTTTAATTTTTGTTTTCTAATGAATAATGTTGTTGGTCTTTTACCTGCCAGTTTGTAGCAGCCCTTTCAAAATTAAGAAAATTATTCTTTTATCTGTGATTTACTAATATTTTGCTTTATGGCTTCCATGTTTTGCTTATATTTTATAAAGGCATTTCCAGTACACACATATAACTCTGTTTCCCCCACCCACACCCTGTTTTGTTCTAGTACTTTGGAGCATTAGTTTTACTTTTAAGTCTTAGATTAACCTGAAATTTATTTTGATATACAATTGTGAGTTGTACTGCACTTTTTACAGATGGATATCTGGTTAGCTGTTCCACACCAATTACTGAATGATATATACTTTTCAGAAAAGAAACTAAATCTCTTTCACTTTGTCTTTTATCTGTAAAATGATTAAAAGGAACATAACTTAGCTACCATATGTGATCACTGTAAGGATTAAATGTGGAAGAAAGAATTTGGAAAAAAACCCTTAAAGCAGTAAACAAACATAAAGGAGTCCATTATCCCTATCTAGCCCTATCACTGTGGTATTCTGTGTATTTAATACAGTGGTATGCTCTGCCTAGGACATAGGCAAAAGAGTAAAAAAAGGCATTAACTCCTGGAAGGACAGAAGTACTTTTTCTTCAGGGTTCTCACTTCAAAAACCCACTGCAAAGTTGTCAGTGGAAATACTAAAACACTTGGTCATGAAAAATGAAACTAACAATTTAGAATTTGACAAATGTTGCTCCATAGATGGTGAAAAAAAATTGTAAATGGAATGGCTAAATATTTCTATCTACAATCTGGAACTCTGAGTTCAAAAACAAAAATAAATCAGTGATTTCTGATTACAGAGTAGAACATGGCATGACAGCTAACACAGGGAATAAGTCAAAATGCCTCCTTCCACCATCTGGAAAATCTACTCATGGATGACTGTAGCATAGATGAGCTATAAATACCACAAATCACATGACTAATTAATGGTAGAAGGTTTTAAATAGAATTCAAGGCTTTTAATATGTGAGACCCAGGGCTGAAAGATTTCTATGCAGAATCTCTGAAACTGCACTTCTTGCTAAAATGGACTCTGAATATAGACAGAAATAATGGCTTTCTCATTATACTTGGCTAGAGATAAGGGATATATGACAGATAATGTAATTACATATAAAATGACATTTTCTTTTGTGATTCATTATTAATATAAAGCTAGAAATACAGGCTGAAATTTTTAAAAATCCATTTACTTTTTACTTTTGAAAACAGTGAAGAATATAACTTTATATTTTTCAGAACACATCATTAACATAAGAGAAATTATTCTCACAAAAGTACAGAATGGGGCATGGTGGTACATGTTAGTTCCAGCTACTTGAGAGGCCAAAGCAGGAGGACTACTTGACCCCAGGAGTTGGAGGCTGCAGAGTACTATGACTGTGCCTGTAGATGGGCACTGCACTCCAGCCTGGACAACACAGCAAGACTCTATCATTTACAAACATACACAATGCTACATTTTTGATATCATAGGAAACAACGATTATTATATAAACCAGGCTAGATACTTTTAGAAAATAAAATTAAGAATTTTAAAATAATTGAATAGTATAAAAATATATGGCATGCATGAACATATTTACAATTCTTTATTTTTAAAATGCTCATAAACCAAATTATGACAATGTGAAACAAGTGCTAATACAAATGGAAAACAAGAAAAAAGATAGTATCATCTACATTACTATGTGGAAGGGATAAACAATTTCTTCAAAATATTAATTTTTAAATGGCATAAATGAAAGAATTATGAATATGTACATGGATTTACTTATTCTGCTTCAGATGTTAAATAGCATACAGGTTGATTTTAAAGTTCTGCACATATACAGAATTAATGTACCTATGTTATTGAAGAGAAGTCTACAAAGTACTAGTGCCTTAGTGGAACTTTAAAAATAAGAAATATATACTATTAAAGAATCTGAACATGATCAGAAAAGAAAAGCTATACTTCTTTAAGATGCTGCCAGTCACTGTCAGACATAGTAACGCTGGAAAGTGTGACATGGTACCAAGGACACAGAAAGTTAACTAAATTAGCTTTAATATAAGTTTTTGTAAAAACAATTATTAATTTTTAATTGACAAAAACTTTATAAATTTATGATCTACAACGTGATGTTTTGAAATATGAATACAGGCCAAGCATGGTGGCTCAAACCTGTAATCCCAGCCCTTTGGGACACCGAGGTGGGTGGATCACCTGAGGTCAGGAGTTCGAGACCAGCCTGGCCAACATGGCAAAACCCCATCTCTACTAAAAATACAAAAAGTTAGCCAGGCATGGTGGCAGGAACCTGCAATCCCAGCTATTTGGGAGGCTGAGGCAGGAGAATTGCTTGAACCCAGGAGACGGAGGTTGCAGTGAGCTGAGATCATGCCACTGCACTCCAGCCTGGGCGATACAGTGAGACTCTGTCTCACACACACACAAAAGAAATACGAATACACTGTGGAATAGCTAAATCTAGCTAATTAGCACATGCATTTACTTACATATTTAACATTTTTTCTGTGTGTTCAGAGCACTTAAAATCTACTCTCTTATCAATTTCCAAGTATATATTGTTATTAACTATAGTCATCACATTGTATTTAATATAAACTTAAGCTTTGTGAATACTTGGCCATCAGAAAGGACATTCAGGATGATTATTTTTCTCTTGCCAAGGTCTGAGATAAACCATTCTATTTATTGTTCTGATTGATATAAATATTTTTGTTATTTAAATTCCCAAATAATTGCCAGGCTTCAATATTATCTCATGGATACTTATCTAGTGATGCTTTTCTGTTTTGCTGAGTATACCAATTCTTTCACTACTATTATGATTTGAATATTTGTCCCCTCCAAAACTCATGTTGAAATTTAATGCCTAATGAGGCACTATTGAGAAGTGTGGCCTTCAAGAGGTGACTGGGTCAGGAGGGTTCTCCCCACATGAATAGATTAACTCATTCATGAGTTAATTAGTTGATATGTTAATGAATTCATGGGTGATCATGGCAAAGAACATGGGTTATCATGGGAGGAGAATCATAGGATTTTATATTTGGGAAGAAGATGATAATCAAAGTGCCATAAGAAAAGGAAGAGAGGCCTGAGCTACCACATTAGCAGGCTCAGCCCCCTAGTAATTTGATTCTCTGTGCTGCCTTGGGATTCTGCAGAGTCCCCACCAGGAGGACTCTGGTATTATCAGATGTGGCTATTATCAGATGTGGCTGCTTGACTTTGGACTTCTCAGATTACATAACTGTAAGAAATAAATTTCTTTTCTTTCTAAATTACCCAGTTTCATAAATTCTTTTATAAGTAACAATGGAATAAGACAACTACTATACCTTGATGATTTTTTTTCCTAACTCAGAGTTTGATAAAGCAGTCATGACCTATTCTTTTTCCTGTTCTGAGATTCCCCTCTTCTCTCCAATATGTGAATCAAGGTAAAAGCTGACTATCTCAGTGAGTTGGGGTAGTAATGGGGTGGACTGAGATTGGGTCTCAGTATACCCAATTCCAGCCCAGTCACCATGATGATGGTGGAAATGTTTCCTAAACATTCTACATGGCAACAGCCTTGTTTATTTTACTTTCTGAAGTCTGGAAGAGAACAGGGAGAGGAAGACGGGACTAGATTATTCTTAAAATTCTTATGATTAAACCCTAAAACTCTATGGCTATTGTTTTATATGAAGTATTAAATGTGCTATGAAATTATAATCATTTTAGCTTTTCTTACCAAAAATAAATATGTGTATATTTAACTATGCACAGATAGAGTATAATTTTTCTATAATGTTCGTTCATATGTCATATAAAATGAAGAGAAATATTTCTATCAATACTACTTTAAAATTTTGGGATATATCTTTAAAAATCTACAAGCCAGAAGAGAGTGGGGGCCAATATTCAACATTCTTAAAGAAAAGAATTTTCAACCCAGAATTTCATATCCAGCCAAACTAAGCTTCATAAGTGAAGGAGAAATAAAATACTTTCCAGACAAGCAAATGCTGAGAGATTTTGTCACCACCAGGCCTGCCCTAAAAGAGCTCCTGAAGGAAGCACTAAACATGGAAAGGAACAACTGGTACCAGCCACTGCAAAAACATGCCAAATTGTAAAGACCATCAAGGCTAGGAAGAAACTGCATCAACTAACAAGCAAAATAGCCAGCTAACATCATAATGACAGGATCAAATTCACACATAACAATATTAACTTTAAATGTAAATGGGTTAAATGCTCCAATTAAAAGGCACGGACTGGCAAATTGGATAAAGAGTCAAGACCCATCAGTGGGCTGTATTCAGGAAACTCATCTCATGTGCAGAGACACACATAGGCTCAAAATAAAGGGATGGAGGAAGATCTACCAAGAAAATGGAAAACAAAAAGGCAGGGGTTGCAATCAAGTCTCGGATAAAACAGACTTTAAACCAACAAAGATCAAAAGAGACAAAGAAGGCCACTACATAATGGTAAAGGGATCAATTCAACAAGAAGAGCTAACTATCCTAAATATATATGCTCCCAATACAGGAGCACCCAGATTCATAAAACAAGTCCTTAGTGACCTACGAAGAGACTTAGACTCCCACACAATAATAATGGGAGACTTTAACACCCCACTGTCAACATTAGACAGATCAGCGAGACAGAAAGTCAAAAGGATACCCAGGAATTGAACTCAGCTCTGCACCAAGCGGACCTAATAGACATCTACAGAACTCTCTACCCCAAATCAACAGAATATACATTCTTTTCAGCACCACACCACACCTATTCCAAAACTGACCACATAGTTGGAAGTAAAGCACTCCTCAGCAAATGTAGAAGAACAGAAATTATAACAAACTGTCTCTCAGACCACAGTGCAATCAAACTAGAACTCAGGATTAAGAAACTCACTCAAAACCGCTCAACTACATGGAAACTGCTCCTGAGTGACCACTGGGTACATAACGAAATGAAGGCAGAAATAAAGATGTTCTTTGAAACCAATGAGAACAAAGACACAACATACCAGAATCTCTGGGACACATTCAAAGCAGTGTGTAGAGGGAAATTTATAGCACTAAATGCCCACATGAGAAAGCAGGAAAGATCTAAAATTGACACCCTAACATCACAATTAAAAGAACTAGAGAAGCAAAGCAAACACATTGAAAAGCTAGCAGAAGGCAAGAAATAACTAAGATCAGAGTAGAACTGAAGGAAATAGAGACACAAAAAACCCTTCAAAAAATCAATGAAGCCAGGAGCTGGTTTTTTGAAAAGATCAACAAAATTGATAGACTGCTAGCAAGACTAATAAAGAAGAAAAGAGAGAAGAATCAAATAGACACAATAAAAAATGATAAAGGGGATATCACCACCGATCCCACAGAAATACAAACTACCATCAGAGAATACTATAAACACCTCTACGCAAATAAACTAGAAAATTTAGAAGAAATGGATAAATTCCTCGACACATACACCCTCCCAAGACTAAACCAGGAAGAAGTTGATTCTCTGAATAGACCAATAACAGGCTCTGAAACTGAGGCAATAATAAATAGCTTACCAACCAAAAAAGGTCCAGGACCAAATGGATTCACAGCCAAATTCTACCTGAGGTACAAGGAGGAGCTGGTACCACTCCTTATGAAACTACTCCAATCAACACAAAAAGAGGGAATCCTCCCTAACTCATTTTATGAGGCCAGCATCATCCTGATAACAATGCCTGGCAGAGACACAACAAAAAAAGAGAATTTTAGACCAATATCCTTGATGAACATTGATGCACAAATCCTCAATAAAATACTGGCAAACCGAATCCAGCAACACATAAAAAGCTTATCCACCATGATCAAGTGGGCATCATCCCTGGGATGGAAGTCTGGTTCAACATACGAAAATCAATACACCTAATACAGCATATAAACAGAACCAAAGACAAAAACCACATGATTATCTCAATAGATGCAGAAATGGCCTTTGACAAAATTCAACAACACTTCATGCTAAAAACTCTCAATAAATTAGGTATTGATGGGACGTATCTCAAAATAATAAGAGCTATCTATGACAAACCCACAGCCAATATCATACTGAATGGACAAAAACTGGAAGCATTCCCTTTGAAAACTGGCACAAGACAGGGATGCCCTCTCTCACCACTAATATTCAAAATAGTGTTGGAAGTTCTGGCCAGGGCAATTAGGCAGGAGAAGGAAATAAAGGGCATTCAATTAGGAAAAGAGGAAGTCAAATTGTCCCTGTTTGCAGATGACATGATTGTATATCTAGAAAACCCCATCGTCTCAGCACAAAATCTCCTTAAGCTGATAAGCAACTTCAGCAAAGTCTCAGGATACAAAATCAATGTGCAAAAATCACAAGCATTCTTATACACCAAAAACAGACAAACAGAGAGTCAAATCATGAGTGAACTCCCATTCACAATGGCTTCAAAGAAAATAAAATACCTAGGAATCCAACTTACAAAGGATGTGAAGGACCTCTTCAAGGAGAACTACAAACCACTGCTCAAGGAAATAAAAGAGGATACAAACAAATGGAAGAACATTCCATGCTCATGGGTAGGAAGAATCAATATCGTGAAAATGGCCATAGTGCCCAAGGTAATTTATAGATTCAATGCCATCCCCATCAAGCTACCAATGACTTTCTTCACAGAATTGGAAAAAACTACTTTAAAGTGCATATGGAACCAAAAAAGAGCCCGCATCGCCAAGTCAATCCTAAGCCAAAAGAAGAAAGGTGGAGGCATCACGCTACCTGACTTCAAACTATACTACAAGGCTACAGTAACCAAAACAGCATGGCACTGGTACCAAAACAGAGATATAGATCAATGGAACAGAACAGAGCCCTCAGAAATAATGTCACATATCTACAACTATCTGATCTTTGACAAACCTGACAAAAACAAGCAAAGGGGAAAGCATTCCCTATTTAATAAATGGTGCTGGGAAAACTGGCTAGCCATATATAGAAAGCTGAAACTGGATCCCTTCCTTACACCTTATACAAAAATTAATTCAAGATGGATTAAAGACTTACATGTTAGACCTAAAACCATAAAAACCCTAGAAGAAAACCTAGGCAATACCATTCAGGACACAGGCATGGGCAAGGACTGCATGTCTAAAACACCAAAAGCAATGGCAACAAAAGCCAAAATTGACAAATGGGATCTAATTAAACTAAAGAGCTTCTGCACAGCAAAAGAAACCACCATCAGAGTGAACAGGCAACCTACAAAATGGGAGAAAATTTTTGCAACCTACTCATCTGACAAAGGGCTAATATCCAGAATCTACAATGAACTCAAACAAATTTACAAGAAAAAAACAAACAACCTCATCAAAAAGTGGGCAAAGGATATGAACAGACACTTCTCAAAAGAAGACATTTATGCAGCCAAAAAACACATGAAAAAATGCTCATCATCACTGGCCATCAGAGAAATGCAAATCAAAACACAATGAGATACCATCTCACACCAGTTAGAATGGCAATCATTAAAAAGTCAGGAAACAACAGGTGCTGGAGAGGATGTGGAGAAATAGGAACACTTACACTGTTGGTGGGACTGTAAACTAGTTCAACCATTGTGGAAGTCGGTGTGGCAATTCCTCCAGGATCTAGAACTAGAAATACCATTTGACCCAGCCATCCCATTACTGGCTATATACCCAAAGGATTATAAATAATGCTGCTATAGACACATGCACACGTATGTTTACTGCGGCACTATTCAGAATAGCAAAGACTTGGAACCAACCCAAATGTCCAACAATGATAGATTGGATTAAGAAAATGTGGCACATATACACCATGGAATACTATGCAGCCATAAAAAATGATGAGTTCATGTCCTTTGTAGGGACATGGATGAAGCTGCAAACCATTATTCTCAGGAAACTATCGCAAGGTCAAAAAACCAAAGACCACATGTTCTCACTCATAGGTGGGAACTGAACAATGAGAACACATGGACACAGGAAGGGGAACATCACACACCGGGGACAGTTGTGGGGTGGGGGAAGGCGGGAGCGATAGCATTAGGAGATATACCTAATGCTAAGTGACGAATTAATGGGTGCAGCACACCAACATGGCACATGTATACATATGTAACAAACCTGCACATTGTGCATATGTACCCTAAAACTTAAAGTATAATAATAATAATAAAAAAAATCAAACCATATATAACTTAAAATTTGGAGTAAATGTGATAGTTGAGAAGAAGGAAATTTAGACACATTTCTTACACACGGTGTTAAAACAGAAGAAAAATACTTAGTATATCCTTGTTATATAACTAATTAGCTTAAACATTCTTATTTTCTACCAAGCAGAGTGATACTTAAGGGCTATTAATTCTTTTGTCTATTTACTTCTGAGTGCTCTCAATATGACAGAAAATAAATTCCGTTGGGGAATCATTTTAAGATTAGCACATTTAAATGAAAGAGATCAAACTTTTTTCCGTCAACAGTCTCTCATTTTACTAATAAACTAACCTATTATGACAAACTACTAGCTAACTCAAACCCATAATCTGAATTCTAAAAATAAGCAAGAAACTGAAATACAATCCTATTTTTTGCTTTATACATTTATTCACACCCATGATACAAGGTAGGCAAAGGTGGCTGCTAGTCTCTTCGTCAGTACGATCCTGCATTCAAAATAAAGCCTAAGACCAAAAGAACAGAAACGTATTTAAATATAAAAATCCACGCTTAAGGCAGCAAGGACTGAAAAATGGTTCCTTCTTATTATGATTAGAATAAAGCACCATAAAATGATGGTAAAGTAATATCATTGTAAAATGAAATCTTTACACACAAAAGCTTTCATTTAATCCTAACAATCTAGGATTTTATATTTGGGCAGAAGACGAGAATCAAAATGCAAATGATTAAAGCTATTCTAAAGAATTCTTAAGAAAAGAAGTCATGCTTGGGGGCAGCAGAAAGGACAATGGGAAAGATACTGCTTTCAGGACTGTCTGTTACTAGGGTGCTTAGTCAATTCAGTTTTTCTATCCACAAAATGAGAAGGCTAGATTCCATGTATGACATTCTAAAATGCTACCAGCAGTCCACTTCCACTAAGGCCACAGTCTACTTTAGGAGCATGGGCTTAAGTTCATCACAAGGACTTGAGGTCAAATCTCAGCTATCACTTGCTAGCAGTGTTGCCTTGGGAAAGTTATTTATGATTTCTAAGCCTCAGTTTCTTTATCTGTAAAATGCATACTATCCCAATGTTTTCTTGTAAAGATTAAATGATGATGATGACAATGATCACACTAATAAGCAGTCACTGAGTGTTTACTATGTGCAAAACAGTTATGAGTTTTATACATGTATTATCTCCTTTAATCTTCATAACAACTCAAATTGTGTTATTATCCTATATTATGACCTCCATTTAACAGAAGGAGAAATGGAAGTATAAGAGGTTAAGTACCTTGCCCATGAACACAGATTTAGTAAGAGGCAGAATCAGAATACAAACTCAGGCAGCCTGCGTCGAGAGCCCATATTCTCGTCTACTTCCCTTTGCATAGTTCTTGGCACATAAGAGCTAAATATGTGGTAGTAATTGTTAGAATAAGACACTCAGAAGTGTCAAATGGTGACACTACAATATCAAAGACAGTTGCTTTTACATAAGCCAAATGTCAACATTTGGGCAGGGATAGGTTACAGATTCTTAGTTTCTTCTGGAGAACATAAATGAAAGAGTGACCTTTAAAGAGGGCTGAAAATGCCTGGTACTGGTAAAAAATAGACAGGCATGCCAATGGAACAGAATAGAGAGCCCAGAAATAAAGCTGCACACCCATAAAAAAATGATCTTTGACAAAGTTGAGAAAAATGAGCATGGGAAAAAGGACTCTCTATTCAATAAATGGTGCTGGGAAAACTGGCTAACCATATGCAGAAGAATGAAACTGGACCCCTACCTCTTACCATATATAAAAAAGAACTGAAGATGGATTAAAGACATAAATGTAAGACCTCAACCTAAAAAATCCTAGAACAAAACCTAGGAAATACTCTTTGGGACATGTCCCTAGGAAAAGAATTTATGACTAAGTCCTCAAAAGCAAGTGAAACAAAAATAAAAATTGACAAGTTGAATCTAATGAAATTAAAGAGCTTCTGCATAGCCAAGAAACAAATAAACAAACCCAAAAAACAAAAAACCTAAACTATCAACAGAGTAAAAAGACAACCTATAGAATGGGAGAAAATATTTGCAAACTATGCATTCTAAAAGGGACTAATATCCAGAATCGATAAGGAACTTAAGCAAATCAACAAAAACAAAAATAACACCATTAAAAACTGGGCAAAGAACATGAACAGATACTTCTCAAAAGAAGACATACGAGCAGCCGACAAACATGAAAAAATGCTCAATATCACTAATCATCAGAGAAATGCAAATCAAAACCACAATGAGATACCACCTCACACCAGTCAGAATGGCTATTAAGAAGTCAAAAAATAACAGATGCTGGCAAGGCTGCAGAGAAAAGGGAATGCTTAGCACACACTGTTGGTGGAAATGTAAATTAATTCAGCCACTGTGGAAAGTAGCTTGGAGATTTCTCAAAGAACTTAAAAGAGAACTACCATTCTACCCAGTAATCCCATTAATGTGTATACACTCAAAGGAAAATAAATTGTTCTACCAAAAAGACATCTGCACTTGTATGTTCATCACAGCACTGTTCACAATAGCAAAGACATGGAAACAATCTAGGTGCCCATCAACGGTGGACTGGATAAAGAAAATGTGGTACCAATGGAATACTATGTAGCCATAAAAATGAGCAAAATCATGTCCTCTGCAGCAGCGTAAATGCAGCTGGAGGCCATTATCCTAAGTGAATTAACACAGAAACAGAAAGCCAAATACTGCATGTTCTCATTTACAAGTGGGAGCTAAACCCTGGATACCCATGGACGTAAAGATAGAAACAGACACTGGGGACTCCAAAAGGAAGGAGGAAGGGAGGGACAGAGGGAAGAGGGCAAGGGCTGAAAAACTTCCTATGGGGTACTGTGTTCACTACTTGGGTAACAGGATCAATAGAAGCCCAGATCTCAGCATCATGCAAATATACCCATGCAACAAATCTGCACATGGACCCTCTGAATCTAAACTAAAATTAACAATTAAATAAAACAAAACAGAAACCCAAAGAAAAGGGCTCCATTACAGTGAACGTTGATAAAAACTGCGAATAAAGGTTATCCTAACTTCTGCTTATACTCTTCTTTCATTGAAATATCTATCTTTGTGAGATTTACCTTTCAGATCCTTTTATAACCCATAATATTCTAAATAAACATGGGTTAGTTTAAAAGTAAAAGAAGGGTCAAGTTTCAGAAATAAGTAGACTAACTTGAAATAGCCTTTTGAAAAATAAAAGAACAGTCTCGTCATGCTAATTTTGAAATTTTCATGAGAAAAGTAGTTTAGGTGTTGTTAGTAATTTTTGTTGTACGATCTATGAGCTAATTAGTACTTTTACTCAGACGATAAACATCTTTAATTCCCTTCAAAGCTGTAATTATAATTTCCACTTGCAGGTATTTTTGATCACCTATGAAACAGCTAAATACATAATCTCCTCAAATACCCCAAATATTATTAGGACATCAAATTCTTAGGTCAAAGCACCTTGTCTTTAAGAAGCTCATTTTGTTCTTTCAATAAAAGACTCTTATGTATGAAATGTCTGAACCAGTGTTGCGGTTTTCTCACTCTGACTAAATCCTTGTTTCACAAGTAGCTGTGAACTTTTTGCCAGAAGGGTAGAGGTGGTGTAACTAACCTGCACATTGTGCACAGGTACCCTAAAACTTAAAGTATAATAATAATAAAATAAAATAAAATAAAATAAAAAAAGAAGGGTAGAGGTAGATGAAATAAACAGCTGCTAACAATGATATTCCATGGATTTCACAGAATATTCATTTTCAAGATTAAAATCTTTGTTATCCATCCTTTCAAGGGAAAAATAGGGAATCAAATATGAAGCTGCTATGTTCAAAAGCAAGGTGCACAAGGAATTCTATAGCAGCTTTTACCTCTACAAGCACTTCACGGCCACTAAAAGTAAAATGTTCTAACTATTAACAAGCGTAAAGATCCCTGTAACTTGGTGTTTCATTTACATATTTTGTTCATATTTTCCTAATGATCAATCCTTTTAATTTAAATAATCAGTCAACAGAATATAACAATCAGCTTTGACTTATTTCTCACTGATTTCAAATTACATATGTTAGAACTATAAAAGGCCATAGAAATTATGTCCTTTATCTCCATCATTTTATAGATGAGAAAATGGAGGCCCAGAAAGGTTAAGCCATTTGTCTGGGATCAGACAGACAGGGAGAGGCAAGACTTGACTCCAGTCATGGGGTCCTTCAACCCATGCAAGCTCTATTTAGGAATGGCCCAGAACCAGGTAATTATTCAATTTGTTAGGCATAAGTCAGTGAACAACATCAGGATTTTCACGTCAGTCTTTCCAACTAACTTCTGCATTAAAGCAGCAGTTTATTCAAAGGTACTAGAGCAATTTACGAGGTTATTCATCTATGAAATAATTGAAACATCATTTACTATCATATTTATAAACATACTTTAATTGTGTTCATAAGCACTGAATTAATCACCGAAAGGGAGAAAAACACCTACACATGCAGTTGTCTCAATTTTAATAAATATACAATGCCCAAAGCTGTTCTTATTTTTTTTTTCTATTCCTATACACATGAAGGGTATGTCCTGGGATGGAAGAAGGAAATTGATAATTCCTGAATATCTACTAAGTCCTAGTAGAGGTTATTTTATATGTACTACATTAATATTTAATTCTGACAAAAACTATGAATAACAGAGTATTATCTTTAATTTACAGATGAGGACATTGATGCTTGGTAATATTAATCACCCAAGGAAAAAGCCAATACATGGCAGGCAAAAGTGGAATTTTAACTCAAGTCTGCCTAAGTTCATTATCCAAGGATGTCTCCTCTCTTCCTGAAACTGAAAAGTGTTTGTCAAAGGTTCATCCAGAATTAGAGACCTAGCAAGCAGCTGAAAAATATGGTTTTTCTCTGGATTGAAGGTAAATGGACAATACTGGAGAATATGCCCTTAAATATGACTTTTTACCTTATTTTGAGTTGATTAGTTTAGAAATAAGAAAAGCAAACATTCGTTATAAAATTTTTCTTTTAATGAAGTATATAAGCACTGTATTAACCATAATATAAAATGGCCACATAACTTTTATAAGTTCATGAAGTTGGTAAGCAGTAGAGCTGGGATTCATACCAAGAGCTGTTTGGCTTTAGGACTAGAGGTATGTTACCGTACTTCCCTATGGTCAGTTTTCTAATCCACAAAAGAAGCAGAGTGGACATAAGACCCGTTTCGTGCTTTAAGGAACTGCTCTTTTTACCTTGCTCTTCAAGCAGGAAAACAGTCTTCATCATGGACTAGGTCTTTACTAAGCAATATTAAATACTGAAAAATATAATGGTTTCAACTGAGATTTTAAAATTCAATGAACTGTGATACCACATTTACATGACTTCATTTTATATGAAATAGTACCTTTCAATTTAGATACCCACAATATCATCTGGCACACCATTTACCATATTGGTATTTTGGCCCACCAGTAAGAAAGTTGTGAAATAATAGTGTTAGTATGTGAAAAGGCTTTTAATCATGTTCTATTTTATTAATCATTGATTTTGCTAAATACAATGAAATCCATGAATGTTACTCTCATTCAAAGAACCTCTCAATACATGAATGAATATATTTTAGGCTGGGTGCAGCGGTTCATATCTGTAATCCCAGCACTTTGGGAGGCTGAAGCAGGTGGACTGCTTGAGCCCAGGAGTTCAAGACAAGCCTGGGCAACATGGCCAAAGGAAGTTAGCTGGGTGTGCTGGTGTGTGCCTGTAGTCCCAAATACTTAAGAGGCTGAGGTGAGAGGATTGCTTGACCTGGGGAGGTTGAGGCTGCAGTGAGCCATGATCTCACTACTGCACTCCAAACTGGGTGACAGAGTGAGCCCTGTCTTAAAAAAGAATAAAAAAGAAAATACATTTTATTCTATATTAAACAAACACTTAAATATAGGAGCAGTGAACGCCAAAAAATTCCTAGAGCAAGTGATTTCTCAGATTTTGTTTCATTGTGTTTTTGGTCAATGATTCACTGCTTGGTTGAAGTCATGCGTCAAGGCAAATTACACAGTTTTATATAGGTGGAGAACTGTTAGCTGGATTATAACGCTGACTTTTGGGTCTATATAATTTCAACTCTGACAAACAAGAAATTCCTGCAGCTCCTTCCCCACCCTGAGTTATAGCAAATAATCATCAGTCAACATTAGTCTAATTTTTCAGACAGGTCCCATTTTATGATATTACTCTCTATACATGCAAATATTATAATTAGAAAATATTCTTATAGTGTTCTGAGATGAGAAAAATTTTTTTGTTAACTACCAAGAATTTATTTAAAATTAATGCAAAATGACTCACAGACTTACAGAGCTAAAATTAGAAAGCTTATAGAAGAAAACAGGAAAAAATTTTTCTGTCCTTAGGTTATTAAGCAAAGAATTCTTAGATATGACATGAGAAACATGATACTAAAAGCAAAATTGGATAAACCTGACCTGATAAAAATTACACATACATGCTTTTATAAAACCCATTAAGATGACTGGGTGCAGTGGCTCATGCCAGTAAACCTAGCACTTTGGGAGGCCGAGGAGGGTGGATCACCTGAGGTCAGGAGTTCAAGACCAACCTGGCCAACATGGTGAAACCCTGTCTCTACTAAAAATACAAAAATCAGTCAGGCGTGGTGGTGGGCACCTGTAATCCCAGCTACTAGGGAGGCTGAGGCAGGAGAATCATTTGAACCTGGGAGGCGGAGGTTGCTGTGAGCCCAGATCATGCCCATTGCACTCCAGCCTGGGTTGCAAGAGCGAGACTCTAAGAAAAAACAAAACAAAACAAGACAAAAAAACAAACCCAAAAGTCCCCCAAAACAACAAAAAACCCTACTAAGACATAAAAAGACAAGCTGCAGAGTGGAGAATAAAAGAATTGCAAATCATGTATCTTATAAAGGATTTGTTTGAAGAATATACAAAGAAGTACTATAACTTAAGATGTCACACAATGGGTTTCTAAAACATGGACAAAGAATTGGAATAGACATTTCACAACAGAAAAACCTACAAATGGCAAATAAACTTATAAAAAAGATGTTCAGCATCATTAGTCATAAGGGAAATGCAAATAAATGGCAAAATAAGACACCACTACACACCAAATAAAATAGTTATAATAAAAAAGAATGACAATACTAACTGTTGACAAGAATGTAGAGAGAATAGAAATCTCATACATTCCTGGTAGTAACAATATGGATAGCCACTTTGGAAACATAAAATGTTAAGCATACACTTATCATATTGATCTGGTATTTCCACTCCTAGGTATTACTAAGAAAAAGGAAACCATGTATCTACACACAGTCTTTTAAACAAATGTTCACAGCAGTATTATTCCTAGTAACCCCAAACTGGAAATAATCTAAAGTCTCCCTCAACAGTTTACAGATAAATAAAATGTCATATACTCATACAATGGAATACCACTCAGCAATTAAAAGGAACAAATTACGAATACATATTACAATATGAGTGAACCTTAGATGCTAACAAGCCAGAAATACAGTATGATTCCATTTACATAAAATGTCTAGAATAGGCCAAAGTATAGAGACAAAAAGTAGATCAAATGATGTCAGCAAAATGGCAGAGTAGGCAGCTCCTGGATCTCTCACAGACACCCAGAGAAAACAAGCTGAAACTATCAGAAATAACTGTCAGAACTCTGGAAAACGGTCAAAGGTTGACAGCAACCAAGCAAATGCTGAATCAAGAAACAGGCAACTTGAAAATGGTAGGAAAATTTGACAGCATTTTTCCTTGCCCTTGTCCTGCTGCTCTCGGCTGTGGTAGCAGTGCTGAAGCAGTGACAACACTGGTCCCTGGATTTGAGGAAATACAGCAGATCTCACTTATAAATCATTGTGTATGTCTGTTCTAACGTGTCTAGGGACTATCTGGAAGATGGACAGAAGGTGCTTGATTCTCTTTTGGCTAACTTGAAACTAAGGACAGAAAAGCAGCAGACATTACTCAAAACACTCCAAAGCCCACAGATACCTGAGGCAAAAGATGATGGATCAAGTCATACAACGGCATATAAGGCACTGGAGAAAAAGCTAAGGGAAATTCGTTAAGAAATTAGGGGTCGGGCATGGTGGCTCATGCCTGTAATCCCAGCACTTTGGGAGGCCGAGGAGGCGGGTCACCTGAGGTCAGGAGTTCTAGACCTGCCTGGCCAACATGGCAAAATCCTGTCTCTACTAAAAATATAAAAATTAGCCGGGCATGGTGACACATGCCTGTAATCCCAGCTACTCGGGAGGCTGAGGGAGAAGAATTGTCTGAACCCAGGAGGCGGAGGTTGCAGTGAGCCAAGATCACACCACTGAACTTCAGCTTTTGGGACACAGCGAGACTCCATCTCAAAAAAAGAAAAAAAAAAAAAAAGAGGCTGGGTACAGTGGCTCATGCCTGTGGGCACATGTAATCCCAGCTACTTGGGAGGCTGAGGCAGGAGAATCACAGGGAGGCGGGGGTTGCAGTGAGCTGAGATGGTGCCATTGCACTCCAACCTGGGTGACAAGAGCGAACTCTGTCTCAAAAAAAAAAAAAAAAGAAAAAGAAAAAAAAAGAAAGAAATTAGGACAGCTGATGAATGCTGAAGATATAGGTACTTGATATCCTCTTGTGGAAATTTTGACTCCAAACTTTCAGCTGGAAGGTCAGTGGAATAACTTTAAAAAAGAATCACAGCCAGGCGCGGTGGCTCATGCCTGTAATCCCAGCACTTTGGGAGGCCGAGGCAGGCAGATCACGAGGTCAGGAGTTCAAGACCAGCCTGGCCAATGTGGCAAAACCCCATCTCTACTAAAAATACAAAACTTAGCTGGGCGTGGTGGTGGGAACCTATAATCCCAGCTACTGGGGAGGCTGAAGCAGGAGAATCACCTGAAACCGGGAGGTGGAGGTTGCAGTGAGCCAAGGTCGCGTCACTGCACTCCAGCCTGGGTGACAGAGTGAGACTCTGTCTCATAAAATAAAAATAAAAAAAGAATCACAATGCATGGCTTTTTAGATTTTTGGTACATACGTTAAGGATTGTGAACAAACTGAAATGTCTGTGTAGTGATCCTCAACACAACCAATAAAATCGCAATTGCGACAGAAGGTAAAAAAACACTCGTGTATGGTGAGATGCAGTGGGGGAGGGTTGCGGGGAGAGGTATGGTGGCGTTCAGAAAACCACATGCATTGCCAGGGCAAGATGTGTGCTCAGAAAGGGACCTGAGAAGACCCTGAGTTTTCACATGGGCTGTTCCCTAGACTCTGTGCGAGCCCCAGTGCAAGTGCTGTAGAAGTGCCCTAGCACAGAGCCAGTCTGCAAAGACTGGGAAATATGATTGCTGTTTGTTTTATTTCTTGGTTTCATGTTTGTTTGTTTGTTTTTAGTTCCTGCTATTCAAGGAAATCTCTGTCAAAACATTAGATGAACACGAACTGAAGGAACAGAAATTTCAGTGACACACATGACAAGGAATACAGTCTTTCAAAAAAATAGTTTGGAAAATTACTAAACAAATGGCACTATAGGCCAGGCGCAGTGGCCCACGCCTGTAATCCCAGCACTTTGGGAGTCTGAGGTGGGTGGATCACCTGAGGTCAGGAGTTCGAGAACTGCCTGGCCAACATGGTGAAACCCTGTCTCTAGTAAACATAAAAAACATTGGCCAGGAGCGGTGGCAGGCGCGCATAATCCCTACTCGGGAGGCTGAGGCAGGAAAATTGCTTGAACCCAGGAGGTGGAGGTTACAGTGAGCTGAGATCATGCCATTGCACTCCAGCCTGAGCATCAAGAGCAAAACTCCTTCTCAAAACCAAACAAACAAAAAAAAATGGCATTATAAACAAAGAAAAAAAACCCTAGCAAACGATGGGAGTGGGTGAGAACCTGATTTCCAGAGTTACATTATAATATCTAAATGTTCGGTTTAGAGCAAAAAAATCACAAGGCATACAAAGAACAAAAAATTTATAGCCTATTCAAAGAAACAAAATTAACCAACAGATAAAATCCTGGAAGAAGCCTAGGCATCAGACTTACCAGACAAAAACTTTACTTTTTTTTTTTTTTAAATTTTTAATTTTTGTGGGTACATAGAAGGTGTATACATTCATGGGTTACATGATGTATTTTGATACAGACATACAATGTGTAATAATCACATCAGGGTAAATGGGGTTTTTCCATTACCTCAAGCATTTGTCCTTTGTGCACAAACAATCCAATTCTACTCTTCTATTTTAAAATGTACAATTAATTATGGACTATAGTCACAATGCTGCATTAACAAATACTAGGTCTTATTCATTCTTTCTATTTGTTTTTGTACACATTAACCATCGCCACTTCCCTACTACTATTCTTCCCAGCCTCTGGTAACCATCCTTCCACGATTTCCATGAGTTCACAATTGTTTTAATTTTTAGATCCCATAAATAAGTGAGAACATGCCAAGTTTGTCTTTCTGTGCCTGGCTTCTTTCATTTAACAGAATGACCTTCACTTCCCTCCATGTTGTTGCAAATGATGTAATCTCATTCTTTCTTATGCCTGAATAGTACTCAGTTATATAGATGTACCACATTTTCTTTATCCATTCATCTGTTGATGGACTTCCATATCTTGGCTATTGTGAAGAGTGCTAAAATAAACATGGGAATGCAGATATCTCTGTGACATACTGATTTCCTTTCTTTTGGGCATATACCTAGCAGTGGGACTGCAGGATCCACATGGTAGCTCTATATTTAGTTTCCTGAGGAACCTCCGAACTGTTCTCTATAATGACTGTAATAATGTATATTCCTAGACAAATACTTTAAAACAACTATCTTAAATATGTTCAAAGGGCTAAAGAAAATATAGGCAAGTAGCTAATAGAAATCAGGAAAATGATTTATGAACAAAATGAGAATATCAATAAGGAGATTATAAATGAACCAAACAGATACTCTGGACCTGAAAAGTATAACTGAAATATAAAGTTCCCTAGAAATGGGGGGCCTCAACAGCAGATTTGAACAGGCACAAGAAACAGTGAACTTGAAAATAGGACAAATGACATCAAGTGTGAGGAGCACAAAGAAAAAACGATGAAGAAAAATAAATAAAGCACAAGGGACCCAAGGGACACTATCAAGTGGATCACCATATGCATTATAAAACTGCCAGAAAAGAAAAGAGAACAAAGAGAACACTTGAAGAAATCATGGCCAAAAACCTTTAGAAATTTGAGAAAAAACATGAATCTACAAATCCAAGAAGCTCAAAGAAGTCCACATACGATACTCTCAAAGAGACCCACACCAAGACACACAGCCAAACTATTAAAGCCAAAGAGAAAGAAAATTTTGAGAACAGAAAAAACAAACAAAAAACCAATTCATCATGAAAAAGGGATACTCAGATTAACAGTCCATCAGAAACGACAGAGGCCAGCAGGCAGTGGGATGATGTATTTAAAACACTCAAAGAAAAACAGTAAACCCAAAATTTTATATAATGTAAAACTTTCCTTCAAGAACAAAGAAGAAATGTAAGATATTCCCAGATAAAGGCGGAGGGAATTTTTTTTTCCACTATCAGACCTGCTATATGAGAAATGCTAAAAAGCCATATAAAGAAAAAAAATTATTGGTAAAAGCATATACCTGGGCAAGTATAAAAGCCAGTATTATTGTATTATTTATCTGTAACACAACTTTTTATTTGCTATATGATTTAAAAGACAAATGTATAAATATTATGTATTGAGCACAAATTATATAAAGATATATTCTGGGACATCAATAACATAAACAGGAATAAAAGAGCTATATAGTAGCAGAGTTTTTGTGTGGTATTACATTAAGCTGGTTTCAATTCAAATTAGAAGGCTACAACTTTAGTTGTTAAATGTAATACCCATGGTAACCACAAACACGAAAATATAGAATATGTGCAAAAAGAAATGAGAAAAGAATCAAAACCATTCACTACAAATCAACTAAACATAAAAGGAGGAAACGAAAGAGAAAAAAAGTGAAAAGACATATAGAAAACAAACAGGAAAATGGCAGAAGCAAAATCTTCCTTATCAGTTAATCATCTTAAGTGTACATAAACACTCAAATCAAAAAGGAGATTGGCAGAATGAATTTTAAAAAAACATGGTCCAACTATATGTTGTCTATAAGAGACTCTACATAGAAAAACACAAATAGGTTGAAAGTGAAAGAATGGGCAACAATGCCGGAGAGGTTATATTCATATAGACAAAAGTTTAAGTCAAAAATTGTTATGAGAGACAAATAAGAACATTGTATAATGACTAAAAGGACAATTCACCAAGAAGATATAACAACTGTAATCATACATACACCTAAAAACATAGGCTCAAAATGTAAGAAGCACATTCTCTAATCACAATGGAATGAAGCAAAAAAGCAATAGCAGAAGAGAAACAAGAAAATTCACGAATACATGAAAATTAACACACTCTAAACAACCAATGGGTCAAAGAAGAATCACTAGGGAAATGAGAAAGTACTTAAAAGCCAGGCATGGTAGCTTAGGCCTATAATCCCAGTACTTTGAGAGGCTGAGGCAAGAGGATTGCTTGGGGCCAGGAGTTTGAGACCAGACTGGGCAACAAACAAAGCAAGACCCCATCTGTAAAAAATAAATAAATAAATAAATAAATAAATAATAAAATTAGCCAGGTGTGGTGCGCACTTGTAATCCTAGCTACTCTGGAGGCTGAGGTGGGATGATCCCTTGAGCCCAGGAGTTGGAGATGCAGTGAGCTAGGACTGCGCCACTGAAAAAAAAAAAAAAAAGAAAAAAAAAAAGAAAATACTTGAGACAAATGAAAATAAAAATATAACATACCCATACCCAGATTTACAAGATCCACAAAGGCAGTACTTGGGGGCAATTCATAGCTTTAGAAGAAAAAAGATCTCAAATCAAGAACACCTTGAGAAACCAGAAAAAGAACAAAGTCCAAAGAGCAAAGATGAGGAAAGAAAACAATAAAACTAGAGAAAGATAAAGAAAACGGGATAGACAGACCATTAGAAAAGATTTAAAAAATGGATGAACTTTTATCTAGATTGACAAAAAGAGAGATGTACATAACTAAAGTAGCAAATGAAAGTGGGTACATTACTGTTGACTTTAGAGAAATAAAATGCATTATAAAAATATTAACAATTGTGTGACAACAAATCAGATAACTCAGATGAAATGAACAAGTTCCTAAAAATACTGAAATTACCTAAACTGACTCAAGAAGAAATTAACATTCTCACCAGACCTATAACAAGTAAAGAGATTGAACCATGAATCAAAAATTTCCCAACTAAGAAAAGTCCAACCAGATGGCTTCTCTGTTGAATACCACCAATCATTTAAAGAAGAATTAGCATCAAACCTTCTCAAATTCTTCCAGAAAAAGAAGAGGAAGAAACACTTCCCAACTCGTTTTATGAAGGCAGCATTACTCTGATATCAAAGTCAGATAATGACATCAAAGGAAAATTCCTGAGCAATAGATGCAAAAAAACCCTCAGCATATTAAAATGATTATACACCATAACCAAGTGGGATTTATCTCAGAAATGCAAGGGTGATTCAACATAAAATTGACCAATGTAATACATCACAGTAATGGAACGAAGGAAAAAGACCCACATGATCATCTCAAGTGACACATAAAAGGCACATGACAAATTCAACACACTTTCATAATATCTCTCAGAAAAATGGAAGTAGAGTGAAATTTTCTGAACATGAATTTATAAAGAACCCACAGCTAATATACTCAATGGTGAAAAACTAAAAACATTCCCCCTAAGTTCAGGAAGTTAAGGATGCCCACTTTAAGCACTGCTATTCAACATACTGGAAATTCTAGTCAGAGCAATTAGACAGGGAAAGAGATAAATGGTATAAAAATTGCAAAGAAAGAAAGAAAACTATCTCTATTTAGAGATGACATGATGCTATATTGAGAAAATCCCAAAGAATCCAGAAGAAAGCTAAGAGAATTAAAATAAATGTATTCAGCAAAGTTGCAGGTTGATCTTGTGATCAACACACAAGAAAAAATCAGTTGTGTTTCTATAAAACACCAATGAAAAATCCCCCAAAAATTTAGCAAGCAATTTCATTTACAATAATATGTACAAGAACAAAACACCCAGGAGTAAATTTAACCTAAGAGTTGAAATGCTTGTAAACTATATAACATTCCTGAAAATTCAAATTAAAGACCTAAATAAATGGAAAGTCTGTATTCAGAGGTTGGAACTAACTAAATATTGTTAATTTGTCAATACTACTCAAAGCCATCACTTTCAATGCAATCACACTCAAAATTTCAACAGCCTTTTTAGCAGAAATGGAAAAGAAGATTCTCAAATTCATGTGGAATTGCAGGAGCCATGAATAATGAAAACAATTCTGAAGTAGAAGAATACAGTTGGAAGACTCACACTTCTGAACTTTAAAACTTACTAAAAACTACAGTAATTAAAACAATATAGTATTGGCATAAGAACAGACATAGACCAATGGAATATAATTTACAGTCTAGAAATAAACACATAGACGTATGGCCACCTGACAAGGGTACCCAGTCCACTTACTGGAGAAAGAATAGTCTCCTCAACAGATGTTAGAACTGGATTTCCACATGAAAAAGGACCCAGCATCTTTTTGTACTCATACCATGTACAAAAACTACCTTAAACTAGATTCTAATAATCTCCATTTAAGTGCTAAAATCATAAAACCCTTAGTGAAAAGACAACTCACAGAATGGGAGAAAATATTTTCCCATCACATCTGTTTACATAGATATGTTTAAATATGCACATAAAGGATTTAATATGTAGAATATATAAATTACTTGAAAAATTCAATAATAAAAAGACAAACCACCCAGTTAAAAAATAGGTAAAGAACTTGAATTAACAATTATCCAAAGAAGATATAAAAATGGCCAATAAGAACATAAACAGAAGATCAACATCAGTCATTAGAGAAACACAAATGAAAGCCACAACGAAAAACCACTTCACATCTACTAGGAAGGCTCTAATAATTTTTTTAAAAAGAAAACACGTTAGTGATGATGTGGAGAAACTGGAACCCTTCCGCACTGCTGGTAGGAACGTAAAATGTTTACATTATAGAAATAGTTTTTAGTTCCTCAGAAAGGTAAACATATAATGACCTTATATCCCAGCAATTTCCCTCCTACTAAAAATAAGTGAAAGCAGGGATTCACATAGACTACAGCATTATTCACAATAGGTTAAAGGTAAAAACAACTCGTGAGTTCATCAACAGAAACAGATAATCAAAATGGAAATGAAGTTCTGATACCAGACAGAACACGGATGAACCGCAAAAACATTATGCTAGGTGAAATAAGTCAGACACAAAAGGGCAAATATTGTAGGATTCCACTTATATGAAATATCTAGAATAGGCAAATTCATTGAGACAGAAAATAGATTAGAGGTTATCAGAATGAGGAATTATTGCTTAACGGTTATTGAGTTTCTACTTAGAGGCATAGAAAAAGTTCTGAAAATACATAGTGGTTAATGATGCACAACAGTGTGAATGTAATTAATGCCACTGAATTAATACATTTAAAAATGGTTAAAATGGCAAATTTTATGTTGTACATATTTTAACCAAATTTTTAAAAAAGTAGATTAGTAGTCATCTGGGACTGTGGTAGGAGTGGAGACTGACTATATGTGGGCAGAAGGGAACTTTCTGGGTTAATGGAAGTATTCCAAAACTGAGATTGTTGTTATGCTTATACAACTGTCTCATAGTTTATTAAAACTCACTGAACTCTACACTTAAAATGGAAGACTTTTATGATATGTAAATTTTACTACAATAAAACTGTTAAAAACTTAAAATAATTTATTTAGCAAGAGTTTTTTCCAAAGGAATTATTTGGTCAACATTTATTAAGGGTTACTATGTGTCATCCACCAATCTATTTTTAGTTTATTTAAGTTTTAATGTTTGTGGGTACATAGTAGGCATATATATTAATGGGTTATCTGAGATATTTGGTACAGGCATTAACCATCCCCACCTTCCCCACACACCTCATTACCCTTCTCAGCCTCTGATAACCATCCTCCTACTGTCTATGTCCATTTCAATTGTTTTCAGTTTTAGATCCCACATGTAAGTGAGAACATGGGATGTTGTCTTTCTGTGCCTGGCTTATTTCACTTGACATAATGACTTCCAGTGCTATCCATGCTGTTGCAAATGACAGGATCTCATTCTTTTTTATGACTGAATAGTACTCTACTGTGTATAAGTACCACATTTTCTTATCCATTCATCTGTTGATGGACATTTAGCCAGCCACTATTCTAAACACTGGAAATAGAAATATGAAAAGTTATGGTCTCTGTCTTCAAGGAACTCCCAGGAAAGTGGGGGAAAAAAGAAGTAAACAAATAATTACTATAGTGTTTAGCAAGGGTTAAAACAGTAGGTAAGGCAGGACAAAAAAGGAACTGGCAAGTCATCTAACTCAGAGGTGTCCAATCTTTTGGCTTCCTGGGCCACAATGGAAGAAGAAAAATGGTCTTGAGCTACACATGAAATACACTAACACTAATGATAGCTGATGAGCTAAAAAAGAAAAAAAATTGCAAAAAAACTCTTTTTTTTTTTGTTTGTTTGTTTTTTTTAGACAGAGTCTCACTCTGTCGCCCAGGCTGGAGTGCAGTGGCACTATCTCGGCTCACTGCAACCTCTGCCTCCTGGGTTCAAGCAACTCTCCTGCCTCAGCCTCCTGAGTAGCTGGGATTACAGATGCGTGCCACCACGCCTGGCTATTTTGTATTTTTTGTAGAGATGGGGTTTCACCATGTTGGCCAGGCTGGTCTTGAACTCCTGACCTCAAGAGATCCGCCCACCTTGGCCTCCAAAAGTGCTGGAATTACAGGCATCAGCCACTGTGCCCAGCCAAAAAACTCATATTTTAAGAAAGTTTACAAATTTGTGCTGAGCTGTATTTAAAGCTGTCCTGGGCCACATGCAGCCCACGGGCTGCAGGTTGGACAAGGTTGCTGTAGGCAATTTGTAACATAATGATGAGTATTTGTGTGTCTAAAGATATGTAAACATAGAAAAGGTACAGCAAAGAAATGGTACTATAATTTCATGGGACTACCATTGTATATGCGGTCCGTGGTTGACCAAAATGGCACAATGTAGAAAATGACCATATATGCACCCAACATCGGAGCACCTAAATATATAGAGCAAATATTAATGGGCACGAATAGAGAAGTAAATAGTAATACAATACTACTAGGAGACTTCAGTATCCCACTTTCAACATTAATAAGGAACTACCAGAATTGAACTTCACTTAGAACAAAACAGACCTAACAGATATATACAGAACTTTCCATCCAATGGCAGCAAAATACACATACTTTGCTGGTACACATGGAACATTCTCCAAGATGTGTCCAGTTGGTTTCGATATCAGAGTAATTCTGGTCTTACAGAATGAGTTTGGAAGAATTCCCTCCTCCATATGGTAGGCTGCAAAACAAGTCTTAATAAATTTTAAAAAACTGAAATTGTATCAGGTATTGTTTCCAACCACAACTGTATAAAAATACTCATTGATACAGGAGGAACTTGGAAAACTATATAAATACATGGGAATTAAACAACATGCTCCTGAAGAACCAATGGTCAATGAAGTAGTTAAAACATTTCTAGAGACAAATGAAAATGAAATACAACATATCAAAACACATGGGTTACAGCAGAAGCAGTAGTCAGAGGGATGACTACAGCAATAAACACATATCTCAGAAAAGACAAAAGATCAATAAAGGGAAGAGTTAGCTTTCTGAAAAGATGAGCAAAATCTACAAACTGTTAGCTAGACTAAGAAACAAAGAGAATACTTAAAATCAGAGAAGAAGCAGGCATTATAACTGATAGTACTGAAATACAAAGGAACATAAGAGATTATTATGAACAACTATATGCCAACAAACTGGAAAATCTAGAAGACACTGATAAATTCCTGGATATACACAACCTACCAAGATTGAATCATGACGAAATATAGAAAATTTAAACAGGCCAATGAGCAATGAGATTGAATCAGTAATAAAGTCTCATATCAAAGAAAAGCCCAGGACTTGATGGCTTCACTGCTGAATTCTACCAAACCATGTAAAGAAGAACTAATACCAATTCTCAGAGTATTCCAGAAAACTGGAGAGGAGGGAATTCTTACAAACTTATTCTACAAGAACAAAATTACTCTGATATCAAAACCAGCCCAGGACACAACAACAACAAAACTACAGGCCAATGTCCCTGATAAACATAGATCAAAAATGCCTCAACAAAACACTGGCAAACCAAATTCAACAACACATTAAAGATTCACCACGATTGGGGCGGTTCCAAGATGGCCGAATAGGAACAGCTGCAGTCTACAGCTCCCAGCGTGAGCAACACAGAAGACGGGTGATTTCTGCATTTCCAACTCAGGTACCGGGTTCATCTCACTGGGGCTTGTCGGACAGTGGGTGCAAGACAGTGGGTGCAGCGCACTGAGCGTGAGCCGAAGCAGGGCGAGGCATCGCCCCACCCAGGAAGTGCAAGGGGTAAGGGAATTCCCTTTCATAGCCAAGCAAAGCTGTGACAGATGGCACCTGGAAAATCGGGTCACTCCCACCCTAATACCGCGCTTTTCCAATGGTCTTAGCAAATGGCACACCAGGAGATTATATCCTGTGCATGGCTGGGAGGGTCTCACGCGCATGGGGCCTTGCTCATTGCTAGCGCAGCAGTCTGAGATCGAACTGCAAGGCAGCAGCAGGGCTGCGGGAGGGGCGCCCACCATTGCTGAGGATTGAGTAGGTAAACAAAGCAGCTGGGAAGCCCGAAATGGGTGGAGCCCACCACAGCTCAAGGAGGCCTGCCTGCCTCTGTAGACTCCACCTCTGGGGGCAGGGCATAGCCGAACAAAGGGCAGCAGAAACCTCTGCAGACTTAACTGTTCCTGTCTGACAGCTTTGAAGAGAGTAGTGGTTCTCCCAGCACAGAGTCTGAGATCTGAGAACGGACAGACTGCCTCCTCAAGTGGGTCTCTGACCCCCAAGTAGCCTATCTGGGAGGCACCCCCAAGTAGGGGCAGACTGACACCTCACATGGCCGGGTACCCCTCTGAGACGGAACTTCCAGAGGAACGATCAGACAGCAACATTTGCTGATCAGCAATATTCGCTGTTCAGCAACATTCACTGTTCTGCAGCCTCCACTGCTGATACCCAGGCAAATAGGGTCTGGAGTGGACCTCCAACAAACTCCAACAGACCTGCAGCTGAGGGTCCAGAATGTTAAAGGGAAAACTAACAAACAGAAAGGACATCCACACCAAAACCCCATCCGTACGTCACCATCATCAAAGACAAAAGGTAGATAAAACCACAAAGATGGGGAAAAAACAGAACAGAAAAACTGAAAATTCTAAAAATCAGAGCACCTCTCCTCCTCCAAAGGAACGCAACTCCTCACCAGCAACGGAACAAAGCTGGACGGAGAATAACTTTGACGAGTTAAGAGAAGAAGGATTCAGATGATCAAACTTCTCCGAGCTAAAGGAGGAAGTTTGATCCCAACGCAAAGAAGTTAAAAACCTTGAAAAAAGATTAGACAAATGGCTAACTAGAATAACCAATGCAGAGAAGTCCTTAAAGGACCTGATGGAGCTGAAAACCATGCACAAGAACTACGTGACAAATGCATAAGCTTCAATAGCTGATTCCATTAACTGGAAGAAAGGGTATCAGTGATGGAAGATCAAATGAGCAAAATGAAGTGAGAAGAGACGTTTAGAGAAAAAAGAATAAAAAGAAATGAATAAAGCCTCCAAGAAATATGGGACTATGTGAAAAGACCAAATCTACGTCTGAATGGTGTACCTGAAAGTGATAGGGAGAATGGAACCAGGTTGGAAAACACTCTACAGGATATTATCCAGGAGAACTTCCCCAACCTAGCAAGGCAGGCCAACAT
The DNA here is from genome assembly GCF_000001405.40 of Homo sapiens. Classification (NCBI taxonomy): domain Eukaryota; kingdom Metazoa; phylum Chordata; class Mammalia; order Primates; family Hominidae; genus Homo; species Homo sapiens. Next base: position 47,348,687 of record NC_000016.10, read on the forward strand.
TCAAATTCAGGAAATACAGAGAACACCACAAAGATACTCCTTGAGAACAGCAACTCCAAGACACATAATTGTTAGATTCACCAAAGTTGAAATGAAGGAAAAAATGTTCAGGACAGCCAGAGAGAAAGGTCGGGTTACCCACAAAGGGAAGCCCATCAGACTAACAGCGGATCTCTCAGCAGAAACTCTACAAGCCAGAAGAGAGTGGGGGCCAATATTCAACATTCTTAAAGAAAAGAATTTTTAACCCAGAATTTCATATCCAGCCAAACTAAGCTTCACAAGTGAAGGAGAAATAAAATACTTTACAGACAAGCAAATGCTGAGAGATTTTGTCACCACCAGGCCTGCCCTAAAAGAGCTCCTGAAGGAAGCACTAAACATGGAAAGGAACAACCGGTACCAGCCACTGCAAAAACATGCCAAATTGTAAAGACCACTGATGCTAGGAAGAAACTGCATCAACTAATGAGCAAAGTTACCAGCTAACATCATAATGACATGATCAAATTCACACATAACAATATTAACATTACATGTAAATGGGCTAAATGCTCCAATTAAAAGGCACGGACTGGCAAATTGGATAAAGAGTCAGACCCATCAGTGTGCTGTATTCAGGAAACCCATCTCATGTGCAGAGACACACATAGGCTCAAAATAAAGGGATGGAGGAAGATCTACCAAGCAAATGGAAAACAAAAAAAGGCAGGGGTTGCAATCCTAGTCTCTGATAAAACAGACTTTAAACCAACAAAGATCAAAAGAGACAAAGAACACCATTACATAATGGTAAAGGGATCACTTCAACAAGAAGAGCTAACTATCCTAAATATATATGCACCCAATACAGGAGCACCCAGATTCATACAGCAAGTCCTTAGAGACCTACACAGAGACTTAGACTCCCACACAATAATAATGGGAGACTTTAACACCCAACTGTCAATGTTAAACAGATCAATGAGAGAGAAAGTTAACAAGGATATCCAGGAATTGAATTCAGCTCTGGACCAAGCAGACCTAACAGACATCTACAGAACTCTCTACCCCAAATCAACAGAATATACATTCTTCTCAGCACCACACCACACCTATTCCAAAACTGACCACATAGTTGGAAGTAAAGCACTCCTCAGCAAATGTAGAAGAACAGAAATTATAACAAACTGTCTCTCAGACCACAGTGCAATCAAACTAGAACTCAGGATTAAGAAACTCACTCAAAACTGGTCAACTACATGGAAACTGAACAACCTGCTCCTGAATGACTACTAGGTAGGTAAATAACGAAATGAAGGCAGAAATAAAGATGTTCTTTGAAACCAATGAGAACAAAGACACAACATACCAGAATCTCTGGGACACATTCAAAGCAGTGTGTAGAGGGAAATTTATAGCACTAAATGCCCACAAGAGAAAGAAGGAAAGATCTAAAATTGACACCCTAATATCACAATTAAAAGAACTAGAGAAGCAAAGCAAACACATTCAAAAGCTAGCAGAAGGCAAGAAATAACTAAGATCAGACCAGAACTGAAGAAGATAGAGACAAAAAAACCCTTCAAAACAATCAATGAATCCAGGAGCTAGTTTTTTGAAAAGATCAACAAAATTGATAGACCACTAGCAAGACTAATAAAGAAGAAAAGAGAGAAGAATCAAATAGACGCAATAAAAAATGATAAAGGGGATATCACCACCGATCCCACAGAAATACAAACTACCATCAGAGAATACTATAAACACCTCTACACAAATAAACTAGAAACTCTAGTAGAAATGGATAAATTCCTTGACACATACGTCCTCCCAAGACTAAACCAGGAAGAAGTTGATTCTCTGAATAGACCAATAACAGGCTCTGAAATTGAGGCAATAATTAATAGCTTACCAACCAAAAACAGTCCAGGACCAGATGGATTCACAGCCGAATTCTACCTGAGGTACAAGGAGGAGCTGGTACCATTCCTTCTGAAACTATTCCAATCAATAGAAAAAGAGGGAATCCTCCCTAACTCATTTTATGAGGCCAGCATCATCCTGACACCAAAGCCGGGCAGAGCCACAACAAAAAAAGATAATTTTAGACCAATATCCCTGATGAGCATCGATGCAAAAATCCTCAATAAAATACTGACAAACCGAATCCAGCAGTACATCAAAAAGCTTATCCACCATGATCAAGTGGGCTTCATCCCTGGGATGGAAGGCTGGTTCAACATATGCAAATCAATAAACATAACCCAGCATATAAACAGAACCAAAGACAAAACCACGTCATTTCAATAGATGCAGAAAAGGCCTTTGACAAAATTCAACAGCGCTTCATGCTAAAAACTCTCAATAAACTAGGTATTGATGGGATGTATCTCAAAATAATAAGAGCTATTTATGACAAAACCACAGCCAATATCATACTGAATGGACAAAAACTGGAAGCATTCCCTTTGAAAACTGGCACAAGACAGGGATGCCCTCTCTCACCACTAATATTCAACATAGTGTTGGAAGTTCTGGCCAGGGCAATTAGGCAGGAGAAGGAAATAAAGGGTATTCAATTAGGAAAAGAGGAAGTCGAATTGTCCCTGTTTGCAGATGACATGATTGTACATCTAGAAAACCCCATCGTCTCAGCCTAAAATCTCCTTAAGCTGATAAGCAACTTCAGCAAAGTCTCAGGATAGAAAATCAATGTGCAAAAATCACAAGCATTCTTATACACCAAAAACAGACAAACAGAGAGTCAAATCATGAGTGAACTCCCATTCACAATGGCTTCAAAGAGAATAAAATACCTAGGAATCCAACTTACAAGGGATGTGAAGGACCTCTTCAAGGAGAACTACAAACCACTGCTCAATGAAATAAAAGAGGACACAAACAAATGGAAGAACATTCCATGCTCATGGATAGGAAGAATCAATATCGTGAACATTGCCATTCTGCCCCGGGCAATTTATAGATTCAGTGCCATCCGCATCAAGCTACCAGTGACTTTCTTCAGAGAATTGGAAAAAGCTACTTTAAAGTTCATACGGAACCAAAAAAGAGCCCGCATTGCCAAGTCAATCCTAAGCCAAAAGAAGAAAGGTGGAGGCATCACGCTACCTGACTTCAAACTATACTACAAGGCTACAGTAACCACAACAGCCATGTACTGGTACCAAACAGAGATAGAGACCAATGGAACAGAACAGACCCCTCAGAAATAATACCACACATCTACAACTATCTGATATTTGATAAACCTGACAAAAAAGAAATGGGGAAAGGATTCCGTATTTAACAAATGATGCTGGGAAAACTGGCTAGCCATATGTAGAAAGCTGAAACTGGATCCCTTCCTTACACCTTATACAAAAATTAATTCAAGATGGACTAAAGACTTAAATGTTAGACCTAAAATCATAAAAACCCTAGAAAAAACCTAGACAATACCATTCGGGACATTGGCATGGGGAAGGACTTCATGTCCCAAATACCAAAAGCAATGGCAACAAAAGCCAAAATTGACAAATGGGATGTAATTAAACTAAAGAGCTTCTGCACAGCAAAAGAAACCACCATCAGAGTGAACAGGCAACCTACAGAATGGGAGAAAAGTTTTGCAATCTACTCATCTGACAAAGGGGTAATATCCCAAATCTACAATGAACTCAAACAAATTTACAAGGAAAAAACAAACAACCCCATCAAAAAGTGGGCGAAGGATATGAACAGACACTTCTCAAAAGAAGACATTTATGCAGCCAAAAAACACATGAAAAAATGCTCATCATCACTGGCCATCAGAGAAATGCAAATCAAAACCACATTGAGATACCATCTATACCAGTTAGAATGGCGATCATTAAAAAGTCAGGAAACAACAGGTGCTGGAGAGGATGTGGAGAAAGAGGAACACTTTTATACTGTTGGTGGGACCGTAAACTAGTTCAACCATTGTGGGAGTCAGTGTGGCGATTCCTCAGGGATCTAGAACTAGAAATACCATTTGACCCAGCCGTCCCATTACTGGGTATATACCCAAAGGAATATAAATCATGCTGCTATAAAGACACATGCACACATATGTTTATTGCGACACTATTCACAATAGCAAAGACTTGGAACCAACCCAAATGTCCAACAATGACAGACTGGATTACGAAAATGTGGCACATATACACCATGGAATACTATGCAGCCATAAAAAATGATGAGTTCATCTCCTTTGTAGCGACATGGATGAAGCTGGAAACCATGATTCTCAGCAAACTATCGCCAAGGACAAAAAACCAAACACCACATGTTCTCACTCATAGGTGGGAATTGAACAATGAGAACAGTTGGACACAGGAAGGGGAATATCACACACCGGGGCCTGTTGTGGGGTAGGGTGAGGGGGGAGGGATAGCATTAGTAGATATACCTAATGCTAAATGATGAGTTAATGGGTGCAGCACACCAAGATGGCACATGTAGACATATGTAACAAACCTGCACATTGTGCACATGTACCCTAGAACTTAAAGTATAATTAAAAAAAATTAAAAAAAAGAATCACCACGATCAAGTGGGATTCATCCCAGAGGCATAAAAATGGTTCAATATACACAAATCAATAAATGAGATTGACAATAATAGATGAAGAAAAAGCATTTGACAGAATTCAGTATCCCTTTGTGATAAAAACCTCTCAACAGATTAGGTATAGCAGGTATGTACCTCAACACAATAAAAACCATATATGACAAACCTACAGCTAACATCAATTGAAAAGGAAAAAGTTGAAAGAAAGCTTTTCCCCTAAGATATGGAAGAAGACAAGGATGCCCAGTTTCACCACTTGTATTAAAAAAAAATTGGAAATCTTAGCCAGAGCAATTATGTGAAAGATATTAAAAGATATTCAAATTGGAAAGGAGGCAGTCAAACTGTTCTTGTTTGCAGATGACATTATCTTATATAACCCTAGACTCCATCAAAAAAAACCCTTTTAGAATTAATAAATGAATTCAGTAAAGGTGCAGGATACAAATCAACATGCAAAAATCAGTAGCATTTCTATACATAATAATAAACTATCTGAAAAAGAAATCAAGAAAAAAATCCCACTTACAATATTTACAAAAAAAATAAGATACTGAGATTAAGCCTAAGGAGATGAAAGATCTTTATAACAAAACTAGAAAATTGATGAAAGAAATTGAATCAGATACAAATAATGAAAAGATACCCTGTGTTCATGAATCGCAAGAATTCATAAATATAACCAAAGGAATATGGTTAAAATGACCACACTACCCAAAGCAATCTACAGATTCACTGCAATCCCTATCAAAATACCAATGACATTCTTGACAATAGTAGGGAAAAAAATCCTAACGTTTGTGTGGAACCACAACAGACTTTGAATAGCCAAAGTAATCTTAAGCAAAAAGAACAAAGCTGGGGGGCACCATAATACCTTACTTTAAAACATACTACAAAGCTATGGTAATCAATACAGCATGATACTGTCATAAAAACAGAAACATAGACCAATAGAACAGAATATGAATACAGATATAAATCCATGCATCTACAGCCAGCTGATCTTTGACAAAGGTACCAAGAACACACACTGGGGAAAGGACAGTCTCTTCAATAAATGGTGTTGGGAAAATTGGATTTCTACATGCAGAAGAATGAAAGTCAACCCCCATTTCTCATCATATTAAAAAAATCAATTCAAAATAGGTTAAAGCCTTAAAGGTAAGACTTAGAACTCTGAAACTACTAAAAAAATACATGGGGAAATACTTCATGACATTGGTCTTGTCAAGGATTTTTTTAGATAAGACCTCAAAAGCACAGGCAACAAAAGCAAAAGTAGGCAAATGAGATTACAGCTAACTAAAAAGCTTCTGCACATCAAAGGAAACAAGTAAGAGTGATGAGACAACCTAAAAAATGGAAAAGGTATTTGCAATCTATACATCTGACAGTGTTAATATAAGAATTAATAAGGAACCCAAAGAATTCAATACCAAAAAAAATTGTGATTAAAAATGGGCAAAAGACCTGAATGGACATTTCTCAAAAGACAACACAGAAATGGCCAATAAGTATATGAAAAAATGCTCAACATCATGAATCATCAGAAAATGCAAATCAAAATCACAACGAGATATCTATCACCTCACTCTAGTTAGAGTGGCTATTATGAAAAACGATAGCAAGTGTTGGTGAAGAAGTGGAGAACAGGGAACCCTGACATATTGTTGGTGGGAATGTAAATTAGTACAGCCATTATGTAAAACAGTATGGAGTTTCCTAAAAAAATATTACGAATAGAACTATCATATGATTCAGCAATCCTACTACTGGGTATATAGCTAAAGGAAATGAAATCAGTATTTCAAGAGATATCTATATCCCTATGTTTATTACAGCACTATTCACAATAGCCAAGATAAGGAAACAACCTGAGTCCATCAAATGTATGAATGGATAAAAAAAAATGTGGTATCTATATACAATGATATATTGTTCAGACACGAAAAGGAATGTAGTCCTGTCATTTACGACAACATGGATGAACCTGGAGGTCATTATGTCAAGTGAAATAAGCCAGACCCAGAAAATAAATACCATATGAATTCACTCATATGTGGAATCTAAAATAAGTAGATCTCATAGAAGTAGAGAGAATAGTGATTATCAGAGGCTGGGGAGAGGATATGGAGAGAGCTTGGTCAAAGGGCACAAAGTTACAGTTAAGACTGGCAGAATACTTTCTGGTGTTCTACTGCACAGTAGGGTGACTATAGGTAGCTGTGATGTATTGTGTATTTCATAATAGCTAAAAGAGATTATTTTTAATGTTCTCACCACAAAGAAACGATGCTTGAGGTGATAGATTTGCTAATTACTGATTTGAACGTTACACAATGTATACATGTATTGAAACATCACATTGTATCCCACAAATATGTATAAGTATTACATGTTAACTAAAAATTTACAAAAACCTACAAAAAATTTATATTCTGAAAGCTTGTTTTATTCCAACAGAAATCAATTTTTAATAAATTTTATATCAAAATCACTATTGCTTGGGTTTATTTTTTCTGGAATCCATAAACATATATTCTAGAATTATAGATATACATAATCATATTTTTGAGATGGATGACTTGGGAGAGTGGTCAAAGAGTATAAAAATTCTAAAAATAATATGTGAAAACCACAGGGAGCAGATGGAGAAGATTCACTATCAAAACACATGGTTCTAAAAGCAAACAGCATATATACTAGTAGGTCACTGTTGGTGACCATTACTGAAGATGATAACATATTTTAAAATTTAAACTAATGCAGATGAAGAAGGAGTGTATAGTGTTTAAGGTAAGGATACAGCTTGTGAGACAGAGCCAAAGATCATGTCCCAGCTCTGCCACTCCCTCCCTAGCTATGTGCCCTTGGTCAAGTTTCTTAACTTCTCTGAACCCCTATTACCACATTCTATAATGTGGCTAAACAATATTGTTCACCTCAGAAAGGTTTGGAAAGATTACTTGAGATAAATGTAAAATATTTTCTATGAAATAGTTTCTGCCAAAAATAACTATTTTTGAGCATTATGAAAAAGAAGCAAAGAGACATTTGCAATATACAAAACTTGTAAATCCTTTCAACGTCACTGATTAACAAAAATTTGAAAGCTTTCTCTTGATTAAATTCAACATATATTAGTTACAGAGGGTGATGTGATGATAGGCAGGGGCAAGTTAAATACAGAGAATGTCCACTTGTCTGTGTGTAACAAGGACTAAAAGGGAACTGTCTTGCTACTAGGGAACCGAACAGGAAAATAGGATTGCTTTGTGAGAGAGTCGGAGGGAATGGATTGCTGTGAATAAGTGATAAGTAGTAAAGGGCACTTTCATCCATTCAGTCACTATCCATCCATCACCCACCATTCATTCAACCCATCAATTCATTATTCAGCTCTTCATTGGGTTAAGGTTAAGCACAGAAAAGCTGTGTACATGCCTACATCCAAGAAGCACAACTATGACTTATCAATGAATGGGGCATTTACACAGAGTGAAAATGTGGAGTTACGGAGGGGAAAATATGGGGTTGAAATGGAAGTCAGACGTGTTTGAAAATAGGGCAGGATATTTTCTGCCTAGGAGTGGCATTAGGCTCTTCATAATGAGCTCCTATGCCACTCTGACTCATGGCAGGGAATTCCTCTCAGGTGTAATGTGCCATAGAGAAATAAATCTCACCATCTTTTGGTCCTTCCTAGCTATATGTATCTGTAAGGTCTAACAATAGCCAAGTTATCTGCAATAATCACTTTCATAGTACTGTTGCAATAAAAAAAAAAAAGAAAGAGCTATGCATAGTTAACAGAACAGTTTCATGGGGTGCTCCATTTATCATAGATCAATTATATTAACTAGGGTAGGCTTAGAGTGACAAATATTCCAATTAATTTGTGGGTTATATTAGAAAGTATTAAACATACCATCTATTAAATTACAAAATAGCAATATAATAATGTAAAATACAACATTATCCCATAGCATTTTTAAGTATGCTAAATTTAATATTGAAAAGGCTGAGTATACATTCATAATACCATTCATCATTAAAAAAATTAAATGCGGCTGGGCGCAGTGGCTCCCGCCTGTAATCCCACCACTTTGGGAGGCTGAGGTGGGCGGATCGTGAGGTCAGGAGATCGAGACCAACCTGGCTAACATGGTGAAACCCCGTCTCTACTAAAAATACAAAACAATTAGCCGGGCGTGGTGGTGGGCACCTGTAGTCCCAGCGACCCGGGAGGCTGAGGCAGAAGAATGGCGTGAACCTGGGAGGCGGAGCTTTCAGTGAGCTGAGATCATGCCACCGCACTCCAGCCTAGGTGACAGAGCAAGACTCCGTCTCAAAAAAAAAAAAAAAAAAAAATTAAATGCAATGCACAGTATAGTCTTGAGAATACAATATGTCAGAGGTATATTTAGGAAAAAAACACTCTTACCTAGAAAGGCATGAATTTATTATATGCAAACCTGTACAAAATGGCTCCAGGGATATAGAGTCCTAGTTTTTCCTCATATTTGTATACCTTAAAAGAAACTAATATAGCCTAGTCTGCTTTAGATGTTGAATATGTAAAAAGTCAAGACTATGAAGCAGCCATTTTATAATTTTTATATAAATTATGATTTCCAATCAAAAAGCATTCAAAATATTTATCAGAATCACATCTGGCATCCATGACTCACCAAGATAGATGCCTCAGAGAAGTCTTTGCTACAAGGTAGAAACTCAGGAACTAATCACTTTTGCTGTGGTAACTATTGCACTGCAATCATCACAGACATGGAATGAAAAGGAAATACTAATGACCTGGGTTTATTATTTGTTTGAAAGAGTATTGCAAATATTAGAAGAGGACTCTAAGAACACCTCACCACTTTGGGTGCTTTGTGGCAATGAGTGCACATAAAATATTTGTTTTACCAAAAATTTCTAATAGCATTGTCCTTTTTTGATGGGATAGGAGCAGAGTAGGCTAAGGGAGACAAAGGTCCCGCAGGTTAGAGGGAGAACTGTTTTAACTGATTATGATGACTTCGAATACATGGAAACAGAATTGGCACTATGAAAAAACAAAAGGATATTAAGAAGCTGTACAAATACAGTTGTCTATTTAAATGCTAAATAACAGTAAATACTGTAGATAATGTATGTTGTTATCTACTGGTCAGAATTCATGAATTAGAAAATGTAAATAGGAAGACTAAGAATTAACAATTTATAAGGATCCAGGATGTCTCCTACTGAAACCAGCACCCATGCATTTTAGATTCAGAACAATTTTTAATCACTTAACTTTAATCAAAATAAGCAAAAGTAATGATATGTTAATCTTTATCATATGAATGAATCTCAGAAGTTCTGGTTTAGGATTATAGTTGAAGGTCTTAATATTTCCTAAACTTAATTCTTAAAAACCATTTATAATATTTTGAAATTTTCAATGTTAATACTGAATAGTTAATATCCAATTGAATAGAGTATTTTTCATTTAATTAAATAATTCATTTAATATTATTCATTAGTATTTATAATGTGACTGGCACTGCTATAGGCTTGAGAGATATAATGGTGGACAAAATACACCAATGGAGTTCTGGTGAGGGCACATGAGTAGAATGAATACCATGTCAGCAATAGTCTGCAATGGAGAAAAATAAAGCAGGAAAGCAGGGCGGAAGTGCTGGGGGTAGGGTTTACAGTTTTAAATAGAGTGGTCAGGGAAGGCCTCCAGGAGAGGGTGATGTGGCAAAACCAGAAGGTGGTATGGGGGTGAGTCATGAGGAATATCATGCAGAGGGATAAGCAAGGGCAAAGGCCTCAGGAGGGACAATTTGCAGAACACCAAGGAGGCAATGTGACTGGAGCACAGGTGCATTTATAATGTTAGAAACAAAGGCAGGATGCTTTGGACATGCGCTCCTTCATTTATCCATTATCTGTCTTCTAAATGGCAGTTAAACAAGGACATGCTAATATCCAACTCTGTGTCTCTCCAGAGCTTTTATCTCCCATTTGTATTTCATTTTGTCTTCTAACAGACATCTCAAACTTAACATGTCCCAAACAGAACTATCAATTAACAGAACTCCAGAGTTCCTCTTCCTACTCCTTTCCTACCTCATCAAATGGCGCTGAGTTGTTCAAACCAAAAATCTAGAAATCAGTCTTCTTTTTCTCTTCCCCTCAACATCTAATCCATCAGCATTTCTTGTCAACTTTGTCTCCAATATGTCCTAAATAAGACTATTTCTATCCATTTCCTGGTGGTTTCCCTGGTCCAAGTCACCATAGCTTTTCCCTCTTAACTAGTCCCCTTGAAGTTTCCAGTTACATTTAGAATAAAATCCAAACTCCTTGTTACCTTTGTCCACAAAGCACTACAAGACCTGGCCAAGTGCCAGCCTTCTTTTTGTTCCTTGAACATCAAGCTTACTGTTGCCTTAGAATCTTCACTTATGTGTTCCGTCTGCATGGAGCATTTTCCCCAAAAACCTTCTACAACTTCACTCAAGTCTCAGATCAGATGTAACCTCCAACGAGCTACTTAAAATAGCCCTTCTCATTTCCTATTATAGCCCTTTGTTTAATTCCCTCAGAGCTCTTACAACTTTCTAATAATTCCTTATTAATTTAATTGTTTTTGTCTTTCTTCCCTCAATAGAATTTAAACTTCATGAGAACAGGGTTTTTGTATGCTTGAGGCTTGGCTATATGCCAAGCATATAATACACAGCCAGTCCAAATAGTAGGAACTCTAAAACGTTTTTTGAATTCATTAACCAATGCCTTGTACACAATAAAAATATTTCATTATAAAACAGAAAGGCAACTAAATGGAAGGAAAATGAATTGCTCCACAATTTTAAAGAATAAACATGCTATTTGACTGAGCTATTTGACTGAATCCTATGTATGTACCATACAATTTGAAGAATATCAAAGTATTATAATGCAGCACTTACATCTAATTTGCCCATATTATACATATTAATGTACTCTGTATTTACTTGATAATTTCTGACTGGCAATGACAGTGATATGGTACAGTAGTACATTTAAGAGAGAATATCTGCAACTTCAAACATTCCTCTGTTTTATTGATTTTTTGACTAGTGTTCAATGTCCCTTTTCAATGAAAAGGGCTACTTAACGAAACAGCAGCCAATTTTCAACTATAAGATACAAACAAACAAGAGTGCCATTAATGTAAGACTGTGGACCAAAAGCCAATCTTAAATGATTTACATAATAAGACCAAGTACAGAAAGCATAGCACCCAGAACTTTCTGCTTTCTAGCTTCTTTTATAATATAATCATCACCTGTTTATTTGAAGGCATTTGATTTTTAAAATTCTTTTGTGAGAGAGAATATGAACATTCAATTACCAATTAGCATTCAGACTAAATATAAAATTTACATTTCCACACACGGCGCATCTGATTTACTTTCCAGATCAAACATGAACAAGAAACAATTTTAATTTGTCAGATGGTTACTCAATACACCTAGCCATAAAACAAAGGAAGCATAATTGCTATAAATGCTTTGAAATCAGCTCCACGATGGTTAATTTAGAATTAACATCTGAATCTTTACCAAATATTATAAGGCTTCACAAAACAACTTTAATGTGGGGTGTCCCTACCTTTCTCCTTTACTTTACTAAATGTCATTGATTACTGTGCTAGGTACTGGGTGTACTCATTGAATCATATTTGGGGTTAACCATCAATGACACTATCTTTAAGTTGTTCAAGATTTTCTAGTATGTTTATAACTTTCACGAATGACAGTTTTCCATTTTCATTAGTTCCTTTATTTTTTATAGGATTATTTAGATCTGACTGAAAATTCCAAGGCCCAATTCATCATGCCCAGTATTCTCCCTTTACTTGAAGAAGAAAGTGTGATCTCCTTCTGAAGATGTGATACACAGCAGTTAGCATGAGATCTGTATAATTTATAAATAAATTTATATGACATTTACAATAATTCAATCTATAAAAAATGCTGACATTCTGTATAAGGTTTCTGTTTTCCCTTCAGTTTTATAGCTTTTATTGATTTCCACTACACCTAGTATTACATACAAAATTGATACCCATTTTCTCTAATTTCTATTGACTTTTTGTCCTATATAATTTAATAAGAGATAACACCTTATTTATAGGAATTCTAGAATTTGATATTCAGAGCCTACGTAGAAAGAGACTCAAGATTAAAATACAGTTTAAAAGGAAGATATAGTAGGGCAAGACAGAAAACATGTCTTCTAGAAGATACACCTTCCTTGATTATTTCTTAGGTATGAGAGACATTTATGGGTTGCAGATGTTCCAAATATGAGACCAGGGCCCAGAACCTCATCTGACACTTACCAGTAGCAGCAAGTATTTATTGGGTAATTTCTATGACTAAGGGACTGCTCTAAGAATTCTGCAAATGATAACTTTTGGGCCACTAATACCCTGCTAAAATGAAAATCTAAAGGTCTTTTCTTGGTCTTCTTTTGCATTATATTTTAGTATCTGCCGATGGTTTCTGACCACCTTTTAGCACCCATTTTTCTCCCTACTTAGCCCTCTGTCAATCTCCATTTTACACCTTCTTGTTTGGAGGGCTCATCTCAGTCTTGACCTCTTCCCTCTTAAAGGGCTCTCACACCTGCCCTGGCTTTTTCCCTCATCTTAGGTCTGCTAAATGTGATGGCTTTGTTGTCTTTACAGCACGATTAATGTGATAACTTTAAAGCGTCTCAGTACCCAATCCAGCTCCCTCTCCTGATTTACCTATCTTTGTGAATAGTATCACCCTTTTTTAGGTAATTCAGAGTCAATTTTTTACTTTTTACTCTCTCTAGTGTCAAACCAATCAGCAAATTTACTGATTCCCTCCACATACTGATGTAGTCCAGCTCCGGCTCTCACCACCTCATGCCCTGACCTGTCTCCTGAGTGGTTTCCACCTTTAGAAAATACTGCATTTTAAGACTGTTTAAATCTGCCTCTCTTTTAACATCAAAATCTCAGGCACCTCAGAGGTTCTAATAATCTTCCTCTGAACTCCTACTGCATGCTCAAGAAGCATTACATTATGCATATCCCACCAGACCAGAAATTTTGTTCAACTTTACTTTCTGAAGTTAATAAAAAAGGTATTAACAAAGAGATGTTCAAAATTGTTCTACTATTTCCCATCACTTCTACAGAATAAAATCAACATTTGTTCATCTGTTATTCATTTGGTAATCCAATGGATTCCCAGGCCATTTATTATGCTTCTATATTTTTACAGAAACTGTCGATTCAACCCAAAGTGGTTTATTCACTAGTCACTAACCAAACCATTTTTATGTCTCCACATATTTTTAGCCAAAGTCCAGTACAAAATCTCACCACTTCCATGAGGCTTTTGTACCCTTTCTCAGCTTAGGATAATCTATGTTTCCACAAGACTTATTAGCACTTTTTCCATGGCATTAATTTCATAATCAACAATGAAATGCAGTTTGGTTTCTCTTATATTGTGGCAGTTACTTGTTGCTTTACTCTTGTATTTTTTTTAACATATTCATATTCTGTCTTCCCAACTGGACTATAAATTTCTTTCTTTCTTATTTATTTATTTATTTATTTTTTGAGAGGGGGTCTCACTCTGTCCACCCAGGTTGGAGTGCAGTGGCACGATCACTGTTCACTGCAACGTCTGCCTCCCAGGCTCAAGTGATCCTCCCACATCAGTCTCCTGAGTAGCCTGGACCACAGGCTTGTGCCACCACGTCCAGCTAATTTTTTTGTATTTTTGGTAGAGATGGGGTTTCATCATGTTGCCCAGGCTGGTCTCAAACTCCTGAGCTCAAGTGATCCTCCCGCCTCAGCCTCCCAAAGTGTTGGCATTACAGGTGTGAACTATTGCACCAGGCCTGTAAAATTCCTAAAGACAAGGATGTTACCTTTAAAATCAGTTTTCTTACATAGTATTCAGCACAATATTTAAAGCATAATAGAAGTTTAATTTTTTTCAGAGGTCTAACTTTTACATTTTATTTGGTGTTAAAGACCCTGTGAAACTACACAACCTCTTCTTTCATTCTTTAAAAAAATTTTTTTTAGAGATGAGGTCTCACTTGTGTTGCCTAGGCTAGGGTGCAGTGGCTTGACCACAGCTCACTGCAGCCTTGACCCCCTGTGCTCAAGCAATTCTCCTGCCTCAGCCCCGAGAAGCTGAGACTACAGGTACAAACCACCACACCCAGCCATACACAACCTTTTCTAAATGAGTCGTTCATGCCACTCAGAAAATAGTATCAATTTTACATGAACTCAAAAGTTCTATGATAAAAATAACACTTTTTTTACTGGGCAGTAAGTATATACTTTGGTTTATTTCTTGCCATTGTTGACTACTACTTCTCTATAATTTACTTTTTTGCTATTAAATTAACATATTATTCTAGCCACATAACAAAATTTGGAAAATAGGGAATAAGATAATCTATTTTCCTACTTTAACAAAACCATTATTACCCTTTGGCTCTGTTCCTTTCTAGTCTTCTCTTTTTTTTTAGACAAGTGAGCTGGGAGCCATTTAAACACTTCTCTTTGGTACAGACTTCTTGTCACTTACATCACTTATTTAAGCATGTGCACTCTTTATCAACTGAATGGTAAATTTCTTGAATCATGCTGACTTCCTGGCGGTCAGTCACTTCCCTTGTTTTGGTTCAAAGGAAGTAGGTGGAAAGGAAGATGGAGGGCTGGATGCAATTCACAAATATATTCAAATGTACACTTTTCACAGGAAAAATGCATATTTTTGATATGTTAATATTCATATTTTTGGACCCAGCAGTCTTTTTTACCAATATTCAACTAAAAATACATGAACTTTTAAAAAGCCAATGTGTGATATTTATTAAAAGTGTACTATTAAAAAAGTTTACTGATGAACTACCCAAAGCTATTAAAAACATGGAGCAATAGATATGTTTCTTAATTTGACTGTGTCTTATAATCTGCATATCTTAAAAACACTAACATGCAAACGTTTATGTTTAGCAAAATTGTAAAAAATCCTCAAAGTAAAGCTACTAATAATTTTGTTAAAAGTAAGGCATTTTATGATATAAAACACACGATCATAAAAGATATAACTTTAATTTGGAGTTTTTAACCAGGGCTTAAGGGGGTCAGAGAGATCTCTGTACTCCCTGAAAATTATGTAGTACATATACACTTTTTTCCTAAAGAGAGACTTGCAGATAGAGCTGTTATTAATCTAGCTAATCAAATTAGCCAGAAAATTCCAAAAAATAACATCATGTGTTCTATCACTTGACTATTGGCATTAAAAACTGTAAAGGCAACAGAAATTTACTTAAAATTAACATAATATTCAATATAACTAAAATACAGGACAACATAGAGATTCATGTTAAAATTTCCATGATATGACATTATCAAACCTCCTGGTTTAGCTGTGTTGGGATACATCCATATGACACTGAACAGTGACTTGATTTAGTCAGCTGCATACAGAGCAGCAGAGGCAACAAGAACAAAAAACATGTAAGTCCAATGAATAGACTCAAACTACAATTTGAGATGAGGTTCCACTATGTTGCCCAGGATGGACTTGAATTCCTGAGCTCAAACAGTCCTACCAAGTAGCTCGGGCTATAGGCGAGAGCCACTGTACCCAGCTCAAACTCTAACTTCTTGTGCTCTTGCTATAAGCCTGTCACTGTGCTTCATTTACATTGTGCTATTCATAATAGCCTTTAGAGGTGGATATTACTGTCATTCCCATTTTATATATGAAGAAGCTGAGGTATCTGAACATGGTGATGTCTCATCTACATTTTGAGGAAAGCCTACGGTGGTTTATTGGCATAATGAAGGATCAGCAGGATGGGAACAAGCACTGAACAGCTTTTAGGTGGGGCAGACCACTTTCCCATCTCATACAATTACTCTGACAAATGATAAAAAGAGCCACATATGCTTTGGAAGTTCCTGACCAATGTGAACTTGATTGTGCAGAATCTTACGGAAAACAGAAATTCATATGTCCTCTTTTGGGTAATTCATAATAGACATTAATCTGCTTTAAAATTAAGTTGTAATAAAAATGGCTTTTAGTATTGGTTTTAAGAGGTCATATTAACTCCTTCACTTCTATTTGTTCCATATGTTGTATATACGTGAAGAATTTACGGTAATTAATACCTGGAATTCTCTAGAAAAAGTCTCAGTAGTTTTCTTGTTTTGCATATTACTTCTGCAAACAGTATCAAACTATTTTTTAAACACATCATAAATTTCTCCTTATTTCATTAAGGAATTGACATGTCACATACAATACTATTATGGAATAGGCATCTTTTGAAGCTATAATAGCTCTGAAGACCCTGGAGTTATTTCCTGCTATGGGGAATTAATATAAATAGAACAGAAAGAAGGAGAGAATTGGAAAGGCAAAAGCCTTTTTTTTTTTTTTTTACCAAATCTTACCAAAGTCTGCAAATGCTGACTGTCCAACCACCATCATATTTTGAGGTTTTTCCAATATAGTACTGACAGAGAAGTTTCCATCCTGTTAAATGAAGAAAACTTTGAATTAGACCATCTTAATCCACTCATTTGTTAAGTGTAAAACAAAGCATTCTAACTGAACTGGGGAAATAAATAACTTCAGTATTTTGTTGTATTGCACAAAAATTATTCCAATCTCCTGTTTCACTTTTATTTTGAAGCAAAGGAAACTCCTGTGAGTTGAGGAAGAAAATATGAATGTGGTATGCTTTCCTTGCTGTCAATTCTAGTATCTTTTACCAAATCATCACCATAATTTCAGAGAGTAATAATTTCAAGTACTGTGGAAGGCTTTGGAAATGTAAAGAATTATAAAACTAGTTCCTATCCTCAAAGAGCTTACAGTCCAGTTGGGAGATAGAATATAAGTCAGAAAAATAGGATTTCTGACGGTAACACATAATTAGTATAAGTACAAAGACATGTTTTGCAGATTTTAAGGGAAGAAGATTCTGTTGGGAACAATTAAGAAAAGATATTGAAATGAGAGGAGAATTTCATTGATCCTTAAAGGGCCAATCCATCAACTCAAGTTTACATATCAATGAGAAGAGAAGCAAAGGATTGCAACAGCAGCCATGTGCTGACTGAGAAGCAGAGGTGCCTAAGCTAAATAGAAAAGGAGAGCTTATCAGCGATCCTTTGTTTCACTCACTCTTTCCAAACAAAAACAGCACACATCTGATTACCAAAAATAATATGCATTTCTTTAAATTATTGCCTTTCCCTTCTTAATTTTAGATTATTACACAAGAAAAAGAAATCAAAACAATGAATTTGAAATTCTGAGCTCTCAGGTTTGTACAGAGTTCTTCTTATCACTGACCTCTCTATTTTCTGTTTGAGATACTGACTCTGATTCCTACATACTGTATACAGGATATCTGTATACTTTAAAATGAGTTTTTCCTTCTTTGCTCCTCTAAGGATACTGTAGATCTGTCTGAGTAAAAAAATGAGCACTGGTTTTCTCCCTTATGCTCTCTCACAAGAATCAACAGACATAAGACTTCTGTGACTAAATGTGGGGGACTTCTCCCCACCATAAACAAGCAATCATTTCTGCAGTGGATACTACCTGGCTGTCCTCTAATTCCACAGGTTGAGGGCTCAGTCCCTCAAATTACCCTAGACACCAGTCCAAAGTTTGGACCTCCAGTATTTCTGCCTGACCAGCTTCAAGTTGGGACTCACACCACCCCCTCTTTGGATTCACAGCTGGAGTGGCTCGCAGAACTCTGGGAAACATATTTACTTAGTTATTATAGAGGATATTACAAAGGATACAGATGAAGAGATGAGTAGGGCGAGGTACGGAAGGGTCACAGAGCTTCCATGCCCTCTCTGGGCACTCCAACCTCCAGGAACTTCCACCTGTTCAGCTATCAGGAAGCTCTCAGAACCTAGTTCTTTTAGGTTTTTATGATGGTTTCATTATGTAGGCATGATTGGTTAAACCGCTGGCCACTGGTGATTACTTTAACCTTCAGACTCTCCCCCATTCCTGGAGGCTGTGGGGAAGGGCTAAAAGTCCCAATCCTCTAATCATGTCTTGGTCATTCTGGTGACCAGTCACATTCTGAAGTTATTTTGGGGTTGCCATCCACCAATCAACTCATTAGCATACAAACAGACATCCCTTTGGAGATTCTAGGTCTTTCAGAAGTTCTATGTTAGGAAGTGGGGACTAACGCCAAATTTGTATTTCATATTATCACAATCTGCAAGTTGGTTTCTTAAGAAATCACTGCTGATCTTTACAGAGAAATGCTATAACAAAAGCACAAAACCCAAATGCTTGAGGACCATGAGTAAGGAAATAAGATTTTTCATGTGACAAGCAATGTTCCAACCACTTTAACACTCCATTGTCCCTGTGCAGAAACATGTTTCCCCTCCCATTATTAAAGCATCTGATGTATTTTTCAATGATTTTCTATAGACATCTTATTTAGTAAGTGTATTAAGCCTCAGGCTTTCCCTCCAGTCTTACCTAGAACCTGAAACTGCACTAGAGATGTGTCATAGTTGCCAAATCCCTAGCTGAAGTGTCAAGTGCTTTTTCATTTTAGAAAGATCACAGCATTGGCCCAGCGCAGTGGCTCATGCCTGTAATCCCAGCACTTTGGGAGGTCGAGGCGGGCGGATCAGGTCAGGAGATGAAGACCATCCTGGCTAACACGGTGAAACCCCGTCTCTACTAAAAATACAAAAAATTAGCCAGGCATGTTGGCGGGTGCCTGTAGTCCCAGATACTCAGGAGGCTGAGGCAGAAGAATGGTGTGAACCCAGGAGGCGGAGCTTGCAGTAAGCCGAGATTGCACCACTGCACTCCAGCCTGGGTGACAGAGCGAGACTCCGTC
Source organism: Homo sapiens (assembly GCF_000001405.40). Classification (NCBI taxonomy): domain Eukaryota; kingdom Metazoa; phylum Chordata; class Mammalia; order Primates; family Hominidae; genus Homo; species Homo sapiens. The sequence continues at coordinate 47,368,232 of NC_000016.10, forward strand.
TCAATTAAAAAAAAAAAAAAAAAAAAGATCACAGCATTGGCCGGGCATGGTGGCTCACACTTGCAATCCCAGCACTTTGGAAGGCCGAGGCAGGCAGATCACTTGAGGTTAGGAGATCAAGACCAGCCTGGCCAACATGATGAAACCCCATCTCTACTAAAAATACAAGAAAAATTAGCTGGGTTTGGTAGTGCACACCTGTAATCCCAGCTACTAGGGAGGCTGAGGCAGGAGAATCACGTGAACCTGGGAGGTGGAGCAAGCAAGTGAGCCAAGACTGAGTCACTGTACTCCAGCCTGGGTGACAGAGCAAGACTCCATCTCAAAAAAAAAAAAAAAAAAAAAAAAAAAAAAGATCACAGCATTCAGCATTGTGTAGAGTGGATAGAATGTTTCATGAATGAATGGAAAAATCTCTCTTAAAATATATCAGCCTTCTATGAGATAAAGCTGAATATCAACTCAATATACTAACTGAAGTGAACAGATTACCCCACTGAAGGTCTATGAATTTTGGTAAATATATCTAGAAATATATAGATATAACCTCATGATTTATCTCTATCAAGAAATATTGAAGTAACAGCCTTCCATGTCTTCTAAGATGCCACTTTCACACTGAGCATCAATAGAAGAGCAATGCCCACTTCCAATTGCTGGAGGAAAAGAATACGTTCTGGCCATAGTGAGAGTAAGCAGAACACATTAGACATGTGACAGAGTTGGGGGAAAAGACAACACTTTATTAGACAACTTTTCCATTATTATCATCACTTGTTCTTTACTTTGCTTAGCAGTATAAACATATATAACTTCATTTCCATTCAGATTATTTACATATTTAATATGTAATGAAATGATTTAATAAACTGCATCATCAATATATTTTATCTCAATAGATAATACATTTTAAAGTGCAGCATAACTACGCTCATTTTCAAAGATGAAGCTGCTCGGTAGCTATTAATGAGGCAGGAGAAACATGATCAATACTGTTTTTCATTTTGAACATATTCTGGGAGAACAGTCTGGTGCAAAGAACACTAGAATTGGAGTAAGGTGAGGTGGGTTCCAGTCCTTTTTCACTGAAAAGTTATGTCACTTTGGGACAGCCATTCATCGTTCTAGGCTTCAGTTCTTCAGTTGTTAGAAGGGATTAAACATACTGTCTACTTGCAGGGTTCTGGAGAGGTCAAATGGAATGAAAGGCAACAGTGTTCTGCAAAATGCAACGTATCAGGCACCTATATGGTACTGTCATAATGGCAGTCCTGTGCTTATGATCTGCAAGTACTTTTTTCACAGGATGCCATTTGCTACTCATTTACTCCATGGTCTGACTCTCTCTTTTACTTTTGGATTGGAATCTCCACCTATTTGTATATTTATGTTCTTTAGTATGAGAGTAATTTTGTTATGAAACAAACAATACTACTTTTTTTTATACTGTACTATTTTTTAAAAACTGATAAATAATTATACATACTCATGGGGCACACAGTGATGTTGTGATACTTGTATAGTGATTGGATCAGGGTTTTTAGCATATCGATCATCTCAAACATTTATCATTTCTTCCTATTCAGAATATTCAATATCCTCTTTTTTTTTTTTTTTTTTTTTTTTGAGATGGAGTCTTGCTGTGTTGTGCAGGCTGGAGGGCAGTGGCGCGATCTTGGCTCACTCCAACTCCACTTCCCGGGTTCACGCCATTCTCCTGCTTCAGCCTCCCGAGTAGCTGGGACTACACACACCTGCCACCACTCCCGGCTAACTTTTTTTGTGTTTTTAGTACGGACGGGGTTTCACCGTGTTAACCAGGATGGTCTTAATCTCCTGACCTCGTGATCCACCCACCTTGGCCTTCCAAAGTGCTGGGATTACAGGCGTTAGCTACTGTGCCTGGCCTCAATATCCTCCTTCTAATAGCGGCAGGAGGCAGACAAATTCCTAGGCAAATAGGGATGGGTCCCCGGTGAAACCCGACCTTCAAACCAAAGAAAAACTAAAGCCTGAAACCAAGCAGCCAGTTCCGGGTAAAGTCCCCGACCAGAGTGAGAACTTCCTTGATGCCTCTTAGACAATAAAATGGTGCTTTTCCGAGGCCGCCATGGACCAATCCACATGCACTCCCCCATTCTGAGCCCATAAAAACCCCAGACCCAGCCACACGTGGGGATTCCCTGCTTTTGGGTAGGGGCTGCCCACTTCAGGTCCCCTGTCCACTGAGAGCTATTCTGTTGCTAAATAAAACTCTTCTCCACCTTGCTCAATCTCTGGTTGTCCACTGTAACACCCCCTTTAGGGCCCTGCAGTTGCTGGTGTCTCCAAGTTTTTAGATGCCACTATGCTCCCGTTGTCCAAACGCTGGCGCCTAAGTCAGAAGCTGCTTGTAGTATGCCCGGTTGAGCCTCAGCCTTGCATGGAGTTGGCGCCTGGGGCAGCTGCCCTGCACTTGCTTGCTTATACACCCCTCATCACGCAGTGCCTGGCTTGCCCACAGTGGGTGTGAGATTAGGACTGGTAGTGCGAGCCAAACACAGCCTGCCGGGTCGAGAGGGCAGTGCCAGCCCAGAGGTTGTAAGTGAAACTTGAGCAGAGGCCCCACCAGCGGTGGAGGTCTCTAGCTGGCGAAGTGGCACTGAAAAAATCCTGTGTCAATTCCAGGTATTTGAAACTATATATTATTGTTAATCGCAGTCATCCTGTCAACTGCAGTGCTATGGAACACTAGAAATTATTCCTAGTTAGCTGCAATTTTGGATCCTTTGACTGCAGCATTTCTTACTGTGATGTTCTTACCGATCTGCACTGTTTCCCTGCAATCCAAAATTCAACGAACTCACTAGGGGCTTCTGTTGCAGTCATCTCTTTACCTTTTCTTTTCTGAGTTGGTTTCTGGAATTATTGTGTACTAATTTCAATGACTTAAGGGTAGAAAGTTTAGAAACAGATTTCCTAGCTCAACTCGCAGCTCCACTGTTTGCTAGCCATGAGGCAGGAATAAGTTAGTCCTTCTTTAAGCATTCCTTGACTTATTAAAAAATGTATTTTTACAAGGATTTTGTGAGGATTAAGGAGATAATCCATATAAAATGCTCAGTATAGTGCCTAGCACACAGCATGCATTTAATGTTAGTAATAGTAGTAGGAACACTAGTAGTAATGCTGTTACTACTGCTACCACAACTACCAAAACCACTGAAGCAGTTAACCCACACCTGTTGACAGGAAGACTTTCTGCCATTTTCTACTTGAATTCCAACCAAATGTGTCATGTGGTAGCAAGTAGCCTTTCATAGATGACTATCAATGCTTTGGCTTTCATGTTTAATATTTAATGTTAAAACTGCCATATTTATAAAGGTAAAAACTGACCATGAAGCAGTATGTAATGATGACTGCATGCCCCTATCTTTATTTATGTAAAGCAGTGGTTCTCAACTGAGGGAATTTTAGTCCCCTGAGAACATCTGGCAATGTCTGCAGACATTTTTGATTGTCACAAGTGGGAGGTGGTTACTATGAACTAGTGAGAAGAGGTCAGGGACACTGCTAAACAATCGACAATGAACAAGACAGTTCTTCACAGAAAGAATTATCTGGCTCAAAATGGTGATGTGCCAACGCTGAAAAATTCTGACATAAAGGGTGCCCAAGGATCTGGTTTTGCCACTCTCTCTTTTTTTTTTTTTTTCCTGAGACAGAGTCTCGCTCTTTCACCCAGGCTGGAGTACAGTGGTGCGATCTCGGCTCACTGCAAGCTCCACCTCCCAGGTTCACGCCATTCTCCTACCTCAGCCCCCCAGTAGCTGGGACTACAGGCGCCCGCCACCGCACCCAGCTAATTTTCTGTATTTTTAGTAGAGAGGGGTTTCACCGTGTTAGCCAGGATGGTCTCTGGTTTTGCCATTCTTCACTCTTCCTCCACGACACTTACCTACTTTCTTCCTTGAGTTCTGTTCCTACATTTCTAACCAATTCCTTGACATGTCTCTGTTTTTTGCTTTTTTAAAAAAATTTTTAATATAGAGATGAGGTCTTGCTCTGTCGCTCAGGCTGGAGTGCAGTGGTGCAATCATAGCTCACTGCAGCCTCAAACTCTTGGGCTCAAGCAATCCTCCTGCCTCAGCCTCCTGAGTAGTTGGGAGACATATCTCTATTCTAAAATAATTTTTTTCCTGCCCAAAATTAGTTACTTCTTTCGTCTTTTCTATTTCTCTCTTTTTTTTTTTTTTATTTTTTGAGATGGAGTCTTGCTCTGTTTCCCAGGCTGGAATGCAGTGGCATGATCTCACTGCAACCTCTGCCTCCTGGGTTCAAGCGATTCTTCTGCCTCAGCCTCCCAAGTAGCTGGGACTACAGGCATGTGCCACCACACCTAGCTAATTTTTGTATTTTTAGTAGAGATGGGGTTTCACCAGCTGGCCAGCCTGGTCTTAAACTCCCAAACTCCAATGATCTGCCTGCCTCAGCCTCCCAAAGTACTGGGATTACAGGTGTGAGCTACTGTGCCTGGCCTCTATTTCTCTTATTGCTCACCAGAAGAAAACACAAGTAAGCACTGTGTTAATGGTCATCCCATATTCTCATATCTAACCCTTTTTGTCTATTTCCAACATTTCCTTCTTTAATCATTCATCTCTTTCCCAGGTTATTATAAATTCCTCCTAAATTTACTATAAACTTTAATCTCCCTACGTCCAGATGTTGCATGCTAACCTATCTGATATGCAGTGGCCAATTTAATTGCAATAATGAAGGCTCTGTTCATCTCACTCTCAGTCCTAAAACAATAGCTTCTCAGTAGATTTTTAAGAGATCATATTACTTAGTTTAGAGATCAAAGCTCTTGCTGATCTTGTATAAACCAATTTTTCTAGTCTTACATTTCAATATCTCTTTCATGTTCTGGCCTAAATCAGCCACTTTATACCATCTGGATGTGTCTTGTGTCTCCTGTGCAATTCCTTGCCTGCCTTTTCCTCTTTCTTTCTCACTTCCAAATCACTAAAATCCTTTAATTCATACTAGTCATGTTGAATACTACATCTTTTTTTTTCCTTTTGAGATGGAGTTTTGCTCTTGTCGCCCAGGCTGGAGTGCAGTGGTGCAATCTCGGCTCACTGCAACCTCCACCTCCCAGGATCAAGTGATTCTCTTGCCTCAGCCTCCGAATAGCTGGGACTACAGGTGTGCACCACTATACCAAGCTAATTTTCTATTTTTAGTAGAGACGGGGTTTCACCATGTTGGCAAGGCTGGTCTTGAACTCCTGACCTCAGATGATCTGGCCGCCTCAGCCTCCCAAAGTGATGGGATTACAGGTGTGAGCCACCACACCTGGCCTAAATACCACATCTTTCTTGAGGCCTTCACTGATAATTCTGGAATCAGATAGAAGCAACTGCTCTTTGAATTCCTGTAGCATAATGTATATCTCATCATACCAGCCAGGGTCATCCACACTCACATCCCAGCTCCTAGCCTACAAGCCCTATTCACTTCTGTAACTGCCAGAGCACTACCATGGGGCTGTACATGCAACTGATATGTAAGAAGATTTGTTGAGCTTTCATTCTTCTACTGGCTAATGTGGTTTTATAGGTTTTGAGGTTTTTTTGGCAAATTAGTATGTGACTGCAAAGTCTCTGTCCAATCTCTAATTGAAAATGATCATTCATTTTATGAAAACAAAACTTTATCTATCCTAGTTAATTCTGAATCTACTAATGATTAACTATTGTTACTGTGGAAACTGAGAAAGATTATCTCCTTGACCAAACTTTGGTTAGGCTCCTCTGAGAACTCTGCTTAACTTATCCCAACCACTACCCTGCCCAAGTAATTTCCCTTCCACTGACCCCCATCCTGCTCATTGGTTATAACATCCTGATTTTCCTTGTATTTGGAGGTGAGTCCAATCTCTTCCCCCTACTGCAAAACCCCACTGTAGGAGCACTCTTGAAGAAAATCTGCCTTACCATCTTTAACAAGAGTTTAAAAATACTTTTTTCTTTAAAAGTTACTTACTGATCCAGCCCTTTATAAGAAGAAAAACCCTTAGTCCCCATTTTCTAACAGTGAATTTATTAGTTTTCTTTAAAGAAAACAATAACAAAAGACCCAGTCAAAATCTATTTTATTCATCAAGAATCTTCTCCTATTGAGTTGCTTCATTCCATTAAGTTTAAATCAGCCTAGACTGAAAGAACCTCAGATACTTAAGGGTGTTTCATTATGTTCTATAGATATTCTACTTATTTATAATGAGGCTTCCCCCGACCCTCAGATACAAGTTAATCAAATACACCTCTCATTTTCTAATACTAGAAGATTCACTTGTGGTAGCAATGAAAGGCCACCTGCAAACAAACTTCTCCCAGCAGTGGGGACTTAATGTACGGCAGTCATAAAAATATAGCAACCATATTTCTATTATCAGAAAAACAAATATAACTGCATTTTTTTAAAAAGTAGTACATTAAATAAGTCTTTTTTGATTTAGATGTCTTACTTCCCCTTGCCCCATTTAAAAAAACAAAAAAAAAGAATCAAATTGCTGAGCTTAGAAGTAGTCGGAAGCTCTGATTTCATCTAAACAAAGCAACCCCCCATCGTAGTTTCCTTCCATGAAGAGATCTGAGTCATGACCAGCATCACTTACCATATTATGAGGGATGGCTGATAATGAGTCTGAGTCTCCTTCCATAAGTTTGTGCTTTACATTTCAAAAATCTGCTTATTTTTTATCAGCATTTTAATAAAATTTATAAAAGGTTATGGGTTTAATTTGGATTGAATAAAATACAATCAGGAGTTGCAGATGGGAAATCAACAGACCTAAAATTAAAATTCGATAAATGCCTACTGCATGTCAGGCATGTTACACAAACTGTTTCATTTGATCTTCATAAAGATCCTGTGAAGCAGAGGCTCTTACGCCCATTTTCTGTGTGTGGAAAGTGGGGTTCGATACTTGGCCAATACTTCACGAATGTCACTGTGATGGCCAGTTTGGTCTGGTCTCAGATCCTGTCTTCTACTATGTAGCCTGAAATTTAACTTTAAAATTTCAGGTTGTTTATTCTTCATTAATTAATCCATCATATAACTCACATCAAGCTAAAAGTAAAACAAAATCATGACATTGGTTTGGGAATCTTCTACTTACAATTAAAAAAAAAAAAACCCTATTGGGAAAGATTTCTTAATCCTAGTCAACGTGGCAGTAAGTTTGGTGTTTGTTGTCTTATTTCTTTATATAAGCCTAAAGGCAAAGGGGAAAAATTGGTCTTTTTAAAATAGTTTTTTTTCATAAACCATCATGCTGACAAATTAAATGACAGTAACTCTCTCAACAGCTGACAGCATAGCAGGGGTCCTGTTAACATGCACATTAGGGCAGCCTGATTGGTTTAATTGGCAGTCATGCCTAAAAACCTGCAGAGTAACTGATGCTGAATGAATCACTTCCTTCAGAAATATTCAGTAGTTTGAATGCAGCAATGCAACCAAAGGCTCTTAAAGTTTTCTATTTATTGTTGAAATCAACCAAGTGATTATTTTCATTTTATTTTCTAAAATTGTGTGCTTTTACTGAAAGCCATCATTTTAAAATGCTTCAAGGAAAAGATTTCTTACCAAATTTTCCCATATTTCAAACTGGAAGGTACTAGTGGTGGCATTCAATGTCGTCAGGAATAAATCTAGAAGGAAAAATAATAAAAACGTAAAGTTTTGTAGTCTTACTGATGTGTACATTTAAAAACAGAAAAAAAATGCAATACATTAAAAGAATTGACACAATTCTACTTAAACATATTTTAAATTATATTTTAACAAGTTTCATCCCATTAAAAAAAAAAGCAGATGACCCTGCATTAAAGAAAATGTATTTAACGAGGATATTTGGTATTAGTCCTTCAAGAATATTCCTTATTTCCAAGAATAGTTATGTGTCGCACTTTTTTTAAATCATGTGCCTTTTAATCTTTTTTATTCCAAAGTGTACTATATTTTTTAAAACAGATATTCTGATCGCAATCACATTTGCTTTCTCACCCTGAAAGCAAGCAACACTTACCTATATATCATAGTTTTCAGCATTATTTTAAATAACAGTATTTCACCACCCAAAAGTTTTTGCACTCATGTTAAATGAATAAATTATGTTTCAAATTTTCAGTAATAGAATTGTCTTCATAAATTCCAGCTAACGAATGGTTGTTTTATTGAAAAGTACAATAATTTTAATAAAATTTCTTTGAAAAAAAATAGGTTCACAGTCAAATGAAACATCCTATTATTGTAAAGGCCTATTACTGCAAACAAATCTATTCTAGTAGCAGCATTTATTATGTTTGTATCATGGCAATTTTACTTAGTGAATATATAAGGTATTAAAACGATGAGGTGGCTTATAGGAATATTAAAATAACATTACTGTTTTATGCTTTGAAAAACAAATTACTGGCAGGGCGCTGTGGCTCACGCCTATAATCGCAGCACTTTGGGAAGCCGAGGTGGCAGATCAAGACCATCCTGGCCAACATGGTGAAACCCCATCGCTACTAAAAATACAAAAATTAGCTGGGTGTGATGGTGCGCACCTGTAGTCCCAGCCACTTGGGAGGCTGAGGCAGAAGAATCACTTGAACCCAGGAGGCGGAGGTTGCAGTGAGCCAAGATTCTGATCTCCAGCCTGGAGACAGAGGGAGACTCTGTCTCCCCAAAAAAAAAAAAAAAAAAAAAAAAAAGATTCAGAGTGATGTGAAGGCCATGACTACTGAAAAAAAGAGTTTTTTTTTCCCTTCCTACATTAGATATGCTCAGAAAACTATCATTCACATTTTAATGTGTTTTCTGTAAGGGTGTCATATGAATTTGATGAAGCTAATTTATCTAATAATTGTAATAATAAAGATTTTCATGGAATCACCCAAAAGCTAAGGAATTTATTTTTATAATTAGTTGAACTCAAAACTCCTCATTCCAAGTGGAACCATTCTTTTGTCCATGTATCAAATAGCTCTGTATTTATTTCCACAACAAGGAAAATGCTTTGCCTGTGGATATGCAAATGTAGTCCTCTATGAACGTCATTTGTTTACTGTTACTCATGCACTCCCAATGACGTGTTACTTCCAAAGTCATTTGATCTCATTCCTTTTCTTCCAAGATGAAGGGCAAATACCTCAGCTGTTATGTGAAGGCTACCTTACCTACCTTTCCAGCCTCAATTCTGTGTTACTCCCTCACAAGAAGATTGTTTTCAGACAGAGCAAAGTAGTCGCCAGATTTTATCATGTTTTTTGACCTCTGTTTGCCTCTGTACATGTCATTCCTTGTCTCTGTAGTACCTTTCCACCTCACAGCCACCTGGTGAATGGATTCTTCAAAATTGGCTGAAATGTCCTCTTCCTTCTAGAGTTCCTTCCTCTCCCTAGACATAGCTTTCCCTCCGCTGTTATTCTCCTTTGCTACCTCTGTCACGGCAGTGATTACAACCTACCATGGTATTCTGGCTTCACATCTGCCTGTCCAAAGCTCCCTGAGGGCAGGAATCATGCCTAACGGATTTTTCTATCCCTGCTGTTTCTATGAGCTAGGAAATATAACATGTTCAAATGATTGCTGGATAATTATGGACAACATGCTATATGTATATTGTAGTTCTTGCAAATTTGCTTGGACGTCTAAAAATAATTGCTCTATTATGTCTTTAAATGGAAAGTCTTGGGGAAAGAAGGGTCTACGTTAAAGTGTTTCATTAAAAATAATCACAGTGACTACTGTACTAAGTATGTTTAAAAGGTGTTACATTTTTATAGCATCTGAAAATGGGAATAATCAGCATAAGAAAGTGATTAGGGATTAACAGCCACAGAGAATTCTAAGAATCACTAAGGGAGGCATGAGTGCAAGTTCTGACCTATTTGAAAGAACTAAAACTGAGAAAAGGGGCAAGCATGCTACTACATTACAGGTGAATTTGTTCAAACTGAAAATATCCAACTTTTGAAACTCTTAACCCATTTGAAAATAGAATAAATGTGGAGACATGTTTTCAACAAGAAATCAAAGGTCTGGTGTCTTGATAAGGCAGTTAGCGTCATGGGATTAGAAGAATGACTCTGTGACCACATATGGTTAAGATATGGTTAAGGGGGATAGTTAGAGGGAGTGGTGTAACTACCAGCAATTTATCGCCGCTCCTTGAAAACCAATTCAAAAATTTTTTTCCACTGGTGTTCTATTAGTCAGAATCTATATTTGCATAGAAGGTGAAAATTATGCCCTCTTCTTTCATGCATATTTAAAGAATTTAGGAACTATAACACACAATGCTGATTCTATTTCCATGGCTTTGCTAGCTATTTATTAAAACTTTGAAAAGTAGTAAAGCTAGTTGAGGGACTGGAAGTATCTTGTAAAATAGACTTTTTAAAAATATATCATCTTACTATTCAATTATGTAAAGGGGCATAGAAAAAATAAATGATTCATTACACAGAGAAACAAAAATAGAGAAAATTAATTATTAGTAATTAAATATAAAGAATCATGCCTCAGACTTTGAATGAAATGGGAATGAAGAAACTCCTAAAGAAAATTTTTAATCAATGAAGCAATAAAGTTCTCACCCTCTCACATGGCTAAGAGTAATTCACAAAATAAAATTAAGGAAATGTACTCCAGAAACTGTCATGGATGTGACATGCCACCCAGATGCCCTTTTGGGAATTAAGGATTTATTCTCTCAGCTTCTAGAAATATTGCTGGTAGACAATCCTAAGTGGTTAGCCCTCTTTGGAACAACTTCGGCTGAAAAGGAGCTACCTTGCAGAAGGTTGCATCCCTTTCTGGACTAGTCTGCATCCAATCAATGGTCAATTTGGAGGTATAAAGGCTGGACCCACTCACCACAACTCAGGACAACTCTACAGGGCCATTCCACATTCAGAGCTCCCCAGGGGTCCCCTTGAGGCTTTTACTGACACTGAATTGCAGCCCAACTCTGTTTCTGTCTCATGCCGTCCACTGGTTTTGACTCTAAAATGAAACTTCATGCCCATGAATCTCAGTCTCAAAGTCTGCTTCCCAGGAAACCCAACCAACAATAGTTGATACCAAAAGTGATCTGAGAAAACAGACACTAAGATGAGATTCTGGACTGGGCACGGTGGCTCACACCAGTAATGTCTGCACTTTGAGAGGCCGAGGCGGGCAGATCACCTGAGGTAAGGAGTTTAAGACCAGCTTGGCCAACATGGTGAAACTCCGTCTCTACTAAAAAGACAAAAATTAGCCAGGCGTGGTGGTGTGCATCTGTAATCCCAGCTACTCAGGAGGCTGATGCAGAATTGCTTGAACCTGGGAGGTGGAGGTTGCAGTGAGCCGAGATGGCGCCACTGTACTCCAGCTTGGGTGACAAGGGCGAGATTATTCCATCTCAAAAAAAAAAAAAAAAGAGATTCTGTAGTTGGATCACCTTTCATGGGGCAGGCAATATGGGTTCCTTCACTGGGGATAAGGCAGAGGCAGCCCCCAAATAAAACACCTTTTCCCCCACTTATCTTTTACTGCTGCTGTCTTGCAATAGTATTCTGGTGGGAGGAAATACACTAGTGGGGGTGTGATATTTTGTGTTTTCTTTTTTGAGAAATATGAGGCAAACACTAATGCTAAGGACAGGGTAATTAGACAGCTATTGCTAAGCTCAATTGAGGCAGTACAAGACAGATACAAAGGCTGAACATGATTGATCTGAAATTAAAAGCTAAATGTGAAAGGAAGAGGGTCTCTTGGGTAGCCAAAAAAAAAAAAAAAAAAAAAGAGGTTCTCACATCCCACACCAAAAGGGCAAGGAGGACTTTGACCAGTAAGAGCAGAAGAAGGGAACCCAAGAAGGTTAAATTCTCAACCATAGCAGCTCTGCTATGCTAAGGTTAGATCCCTAGGTTGGAAACAAAATACATGATTCATGGAAAGGGAACATCTAGGTTGATGAAGCAGAAACTCTGAGTCCTCAGATTCACGCAAAACTTCATAGTCTGCAGAAGTAGCCCACTCTTTGCTGTTAACAGCTAGTCTCCTTTCCTGTTTGATGATGATGACGGAGAAGTTCCTCCCCTCATTATGTGATTCACACACACCCCCATTCCTATGCTCTGCCCACCTTATCTCCTGGACACTACGCCAAAAAGTAAGGTTAAATTACAGTGTAAACTTAGCCAGGAATGTGATGGACAGGTAGGAGAAAGGGACTGCACTCTGAATTAAGTCAAGGACCTAGTGGACACGTACTGGCAGGAGCCAGAAGAGTGTGCATGAGACTAAGTTCTGCATGTATTTGATCAAGGCAGGGTGGGAGTTGGAAGAACAGGGTTGGTATAGGGAGAGTGGGGTGAGTTGTGGCTTGGAATAAAGATTTGGTGGCTTGGCGACTATATTGGACCCCTTTCACCCTGGAAGTGGCAGCAATTCATTTACAGGAACCATATATATTTTGGATATGGGTTTGTCTTTCCTGTTTTCAAAACTAAGTTTAAAAATGCTAATAGAAACAACATAATGATAGCTGATATCACTGGTATTCACTTGAACAAATACTCCATAACAAAAGATCACATCATGATTTCATGAAAAATTCAGGATTTAAACTCCAAACTCAATTAAGTTCTTTTTCATTAGATTCATTTAACAAGTAAAATAGTGAAAATATTCAATGCACATGCAGTTTCTTCCTCAGAAACTACAGAGACATAGACAAGTGTGTACAAAAACATTAAATGGTTTATGCTTCAATTATCTCCATTCATAGCTTGAAAGGAGTAAGCTACTGCATTTTAATCTTTGTCAACTGCAGCTTAGCCTTCCTTTCAAATGAAGAGCTCTCTGGTTAAAGTTGGCATTAAAAGGAAGCCTCAGGAGTTTTAGAAACTTAAATTGGAAGTCTAAATGAACTAAATCATATTAGAAAAACTCAAAACAAAGCTTAATGATTAATCATGAGCATGTAATATCCTTTTGATACACTATGGTATAAAAGAAGATGTTGAAAATTGTGATTTCAGGCACTATATCCTTCAGTGTGATGTCTCAAGTTTTAAGAAAAATATTCCGATGGAAATTAAAAGAAAACTATTCATAATATTATTTTGAGTTCCTGCATGAAGAAATTCTCCTTGGATAGTAATAGTTACTATTCACAGAGGAGTAATATTATGGGTTATTTTAGAAAAACATAGTTAATAAAACATTCGTAGTATTTTCTGTAAGCTGAAATGTCTGGAGACATTTCCACAAAGAATGGCTCAAAGCAGTATCATAACTTATACTGTTTCTATGCTCAAGCTAGGAGGCTATGCCAAGCTCATGTTTATATTTGTTCTATAGTAGTATCCAGTTTCTCTTAGGCCTAGTTATATTAGTGGAAGGGCAGCATAACAATGTAGAATAAAAATATCTTTAAAATAAAACACCTTTTCCTCCACTTATTCATTAAAAAGTATACTGAAGGCCATATGACTTCTGAAATCACTAAGACAAACCAGGTCATGCCAGCTCTCACTCTTTGCAGCAGCAGTTTAATTGCATTCTGTAGCTCAGAGGTCATCAATTGAAATGCTATAAGGCATAAGGCCTTAACTTAAATAAGTTAAGAAGGCCTGGTACAAACAAGATGATCAAATAGTAAAAAGGCAAGGGCATACAAACTGAAAAAGCATCTCAGGATAAGACAGACAGTAGTAAGTGAGGGAACTGGATGAAGCAAAAGAGATCATCACTGACCAGAGGGACAGAATTAATTAGCTCCAGACAATTGTTGTTGTTACAGAAATATGATTTTTAATATGAAAAATCAAACTTTTGAAATACTGAAACTTAATTCAAAATATATGAAACACAGCATGGGTCAAAAAAACTCAAAACATGTCTCCAGGCTGATTTTGCTCATGAGTATTGGTTTGAAACCTCTGATAGAGATGATTGCATTAGTTATATTTTTGTTTGCAGAAGATCAACCCTATTTCCTATATCAAATAATTCTGCCAGATCATATTTTATAAAGATGCACTAATTTAGTAAGATGATATCAGAAACGTGCTTGAATTGTTCCCCATTCACAAGTCTACATTTCCAAGAATCATTTTAAAATTTCAACTTTTAAGTTCATTATCTTCTATCTAGACTTTCTTTCTATTTCCTGAAACATGGGGTCCAAAATGAAGATTCACCATACTTAGCAGACAGCTCTGATGATCTCTAATTCAAGACGGTACACAACAAGTTACAGAGAGACGCAGACACCACACTCTGGAATCCAGGCACACAAGGCTGAAATCACTAATGGTAACAATGAACACATTCCTACCCTGTCTTCCGTCGTCAGTGAAATCATGATCAGAAGTCGGGGGGTGGGGGTGGGTGGTGGAAACCACTGGCTTTATTTATTTCAGATTGTATATAAACTAAAAATTTTAGGCAAAACCAATAAATTCCAAGTAACAGGCTGCTGGCAGCAAATAATGATAGGAACCTGTTAACTGCACTGAAATGGAATGTCTAAGGGGATTATAATTTTCCCTTGATGAGGGTTATTAACAAATGAGGAGTAAAAATTTTCCAATTACTACACTTTTATCATAGGAATTTATTTTTCATAACTTGTATGTTGAATTGTTAGGAGAAATGTAATCAAGACAATTGTGGTAAGTTAATGGTCCCCAAAGACTTAGCAATATTTTGAATTCTGGTGTTAAATATATGTATCAAGTGAAGTCACATATTTCCTCTACCCCTGTGAGGTCAGGACCTTAAGGAATTTCAGGGAGATTTTGTAGATTTAATATTTTCAATATTGGAATGTTTATATGGGTTAATAGACATTAATACAAACTTCAAACATAAGACTCTCCCCTTTCTCAAAAAGTCCTCTATGTTCCAGAAGGTAAAGAAGTCAACAGAGATAATACTTAATGATGGAAATAACTGGAGAACAGGACCCTGGCATCAATAATTGCTAAGATTTTCTGACTTCCCATCAACTTTCATTTATGTAAATTAACTTAAATGAAGGTTTTAAAATATAAATTTTAGAATTATATTTGCCCTGACGCGTTTTCTTAGGGCAATGAAATCAGTCTGCAATAATTTGGTTTATGCACTAAGGTTACTTAACTTTCATTCATCACTTTCATTCCAAAATCCTGATGCTTTCTTATCTTGTCCACCTGTGCCTCATTATAGATTTACAAAGATGTTACACTTTCTAGTTGCTCAATAGCTGCCTACACAAGCGCTACTATCCAAAAATGGTTTTTTTAGCAGCTGAAACATGGCATGCTGGATTTCTGAGTATTTATTTCCTCCAAATGAAAAGACTGGGCCGGGCATGGTGGCACACGCCTGTAATCCCAACACTTTGGGAGGCCAAGGTGGTTGGATCACCTGAAGTCAGGAGTTCGAGACCAGCTGACCAACATGGTGAAATCCCGTCTCTACTAAATACAAAAAATTAGCTGGGCATGGTGGCGCATGCCTGTAATCCCAGCTACTCAGGAGGCTGAGGCAGGAGAATTGCTTGAATCCAGGAGGCGGAGGTTGCAGTGAGCCAAGATCGTGCCATTGCACTCCAACCTGGGCAACGAGAGCAAAACTCCATCTCAAAAGAAAAGAAAAGACTGTATGTCAGTTTATACTGATGTTAAAGGACTTCCCAAAATTACATTTTTTAATGCATTTCTGTCTCCTGAGAGAAACATTTTTGACAGAACTCTAAATTTTCATGACATGATGGACTCCTAGTCATGGGGTATGTGTTAGAAAAAAACTCTTAATTTTATTCACAAAAATTGTGGCCAGACATTTAAAATCAAATTCAACTTCAAAGTGATTTATTTCTTAAGTGGCACAATTCAATCAAGGTGATAATGCTCCAAGAGTTATGAGAAGTTGCTGGTCTCTCTAATAACTGCTACCTCAGACTGAACTGCAAAACATGATACAGGTGGTCAGCTAAGGTTAGCAGTTTATTTCTCTTGTAAATCCAAGGGAAGGATGGTTAAAAATACAAAGTTAGTTATTTAAAAAGATTTAAACTCATTGTAACTGAAAATCAAACCTCTAACAGTAGGCACTTACGCTCCATCTAGTCTGGAAACCTGATTTGTGTACTGTCTTCTTTTTTTAACTATTCTTAGTTCACTTTCTACACACCAGAGAGGCATTTTCTGCTAGAATAACCCTGGTCTTAATGAAATAACCTGTCTCTAAGGTTTCCGCACATTATTTCTGGAACATACTGGAAGGGAATATTTTTCCTGAATCTAGAGCACTGTAGTGATAAAATGCCTGAAGTAATACAGTCTGATAACTTGGAAAAAGTAAAGCAAAATGTTACCTTTCTGGACTTCACTTACTTGCCTATAAAATGATGTGAAAGAATGATCATCAAATTTTTTTTCCACGTCATATCCACCAACTGATTCAAACATCTTTTAAATATCTCTGACTGCGTGGCAGTCAACTAGGTATTGGAGAGATAAACACAAATGATGGCGGGGCATGGTGGCTCACACCTGTAATCCCAGCACTTTGGGAGGTCAAGGTGGGGAGATCACCTGAGGTCAGGAGTTCGAGACCAGCCTGGCCAATGTGGTGAGGTTACTGTCTCTACTACTTCTCTCTACTCCTTCCTTGAGGAGGCAGATGTGGAAATTGACAAATACTATGTGGTAATGGCTCTGCTAGAATTATGAATACATACTATTGGAACAGAGCTGGCAGAGGTACTCTCTTGTTGGACGAATTTGAGGAGGGCTTCACTGAGGAAGTGACATTTGCACTGGTCAGAAACTGTGCAATTCGTTTTAAGAAGTTATTATATTCACATTAGTGAAATGCTAACATTACCAACACGTGACATTGTGTTTATAAAGGTCTGTATGTTTGAAATAAGTTAAAATCAAATAATCAGATTATTAAGAAACTTCAGGTTAAAGTAATTTATTAAAATAATGAGGCACACTCATGGCCTCTAATAAAATTAGTTCAAAAAAATTAAACAAAGTTTATTAATGTAAAATACACACTAAATACACTTAACAATTATAAAAATTGCTCTTATATGCATTCCAGTGGTACACAATCTGAAGTTGGTAATTCTGAGAAGTAAATAATTTCCCCAGCATATGGCATTTGATTAAAGTAGTCCCTAAACTTAATATGTGAAACTACAAAAAATTTCTCTTGAAGCAGAAACAAGTATAATAGTGATTAAACATGAAAATAAAATGTATATTAAAAATATTAAGGCTTCCTTTCAAAAGCTACATGAAATAATTTTAAAAACAATGTTAACTCTGAAAGCCTATCTTCAATCATTCTAATGCAGCAAAGAGTAAACCTTACAGTGACTAAGAACTTCTAATGAACCTTCTTTTTCCTCAGTTTTCTCTGCCTGCTGTAATAGCAGAATGCTAGTTATAGGTCATGCTGAGTGCTCACTTCAATGAGAAGACTTCAACCTTTCTTTTTTAATGTCAAAGGGCCTTACAAGAGAACCAAAACTTTGAGCTTTTAAAACTGAAGACTTAAAACACTGCACTAAAAACAAGGAAAGGCTGTTAAGCTAGACAGGACAGTTCTAATGCTGTTTTGTAAATTGATCATATTTAACTTACAGACTAATCTATAACATGGAAGAATATTCCTTTGGAGCATACATGATAAAACCTTCATCCTAAAAAAAGCCACAGCCAAAACAGTGGGCAAAATTCAAGGCCATTGACTTAAACAAAAAAACATCTGTTATCCGGCATTAGGACTGATGAGTTTTAGGTCAGCAAATGCCTACCAATTGTAAAAATTCCCTTCTGGAATGACAGTGTGATCCCTACAGACCTGCTCTCCAGTAAAACAAGCATAACTGGGGGAAATTATTAAAAAAAAATTTACAGTCTCTGGAAATTGTTCTGAGAGCATATAACAAACGAAGAAACATTTATTCAAGAAAATATACTGAAATCAGACAAGAAGAGCAAGAGCCTGTAACTTTTGAACTACTACCTGCTCTTTCTCTCCTCCTCCTAGCTCAGTGTGAAGGAAACTCTGCTTCAGGAAGCTGCAGCCAAAAACACAGGGCTCCCCCTCCACCCAGCTCCTAGTCAAGGACTGTGGTAACTTCTTGCGGGGCAGGCCACCATTTCTCATCTCCTCCTGCTATATGCTGTAGAGGCTAAATTCCAAGAGTGTGAGGTCAAGAGGCTGGGGACACCCCTTCTTCAATCCAGCCCCTACTCACAAAGGTGGAGGATCCATCTCTCGTGCAGCACACTAAGAATGGCAGGGGCCTAGCGACTCACACACCACCCCTTTTGTAGGCCTTTGGTTCAATGCCGGAAAGGGAAGCAAAGATCAGAAGCTACCACTCCAATGCAGTGTTCTGATCCTAAAGCAGGGATGCCTCTCAGGGGGAAAGTGTGTCACTGTCCTCACTCTCACCTCTGGAGCCATGCTCAGGGATTCTGCCCAGGAGAAGCGTCAGGCTGTAACAGGCAGCTACAAAGCTGTCCCCTAATATTTAAAACAGAGTGTGGGGAAGTTCAAGCCTAAGGGTATATTCAAAACAAATGGAGGTTTGATGGAAAGCAATAGAGAGAAGGCAGTCAGCCTCATGAAAGAATCAAACTAAATCACAGACCAGGGCTTAACAGAGAGAACTAGGGAATGAAGATCTACAGATAACCTTCCTGAAGTCTGGACAAACCTACAACACCAACCTACAGAACAAACCTGCAAAGGAATCCAAACTTAATTATATCAGACCATGGAGCAATTTATGACCCAAGGTATTGTCAAAAATAGAGCAATCAGCTGGCAATTACTGAAGCCTAACAGCTGAGTGTGATCCAGAAGGAGACAAAGAGAGCCCTGCTAAAACCACTGTCATACCAGGATGACAAGGTACGTCTCCAAAGCTGTAGCCTCTGAGGAGCAACATCAAAGGCTTCACACTACAGGGAAAATAATCTTTATTGAAATAGTCTAGCCAGTCACTAAACAAATAAGCAAGCAAACAACAATAACAAGCTTTGGGGAGTGGAGGGCAGTATCCAAAGTTGCTACAGTATATTATTGTGGAAAAGAATCTGGCTCCATTTTTTAATATTTGTCTGTTGACAGCTTTTAAATCTTACCCCTCCCTTTTCCTCTTGTGCCCTATATCTGGGCAAGCTGGTAAAAAAGCCAGCCTCCTTTGGTGCTGGTGGGAGGTTCATGCCCCTCAAGCCCTACTCATGCATAGGAACCTCACCCAGGCCCCACCTCCAAACAGCACACAAATAACCTTCCAAGGCAGTCTCCTGTCCTTGATCTCTCAAATCATTTTCAGACCAGTTTGGAAGGCCTGCCTTGCGGTTCCCACAAAGCCTCTTTATGTGATTGATAAACCTTCTCATACCTTCTTGGCTTTTGAGCCAAATTTCGGAGGGAAGACTGTGCATACTTTTTCTGTGGAATGACCATAACAATTACCTAAATGTCCAATAAAAAATTATGAGACCCATAAAGAAACAGGAAAGTATAATCCATATACAAGAAAACAGAAAACCAAAAACCTGGCAACAGACAGTGCTGTGAGAGGGACCAGATGTAAATTTCACAGACAAAAACTTTAAAGCAGCCACTACAAATATGTTAAAAAAAAAAAAGGAAATTATGCTTAAAGAAGTGAAGTGTGCCTTATCAAATATAAAATATCCATAGACAGAAATGATAAAAAACCAAATGGAAATTATGGAACTGAAAGTAAATATACTGAAATAAAAAATTCACTTGAGGGGCTCAACGTTAGCTTTGAACTGCCAGAAGAATTAGCAAACTTCATGACAGATTAAGCAGCCTGAAAAACAGAGAGAAAAAAAGGATAAGGAAAAAATGAAAAGAATCTCAAAGAAATGTGGGGCACAATTAAGTACACCAAGATATACGTAATGGAAGTTCTCTAGTAGAAGTGAGAGAGAGAGAAGACAAAGAAAAATTTGAAGAAATAATGGCTAAAACCTTCCCAAATTTGATGAAAAACATTAATATTCACATCTAAGAAGCTCAATAAATGTGATGCAGAATAAATGCAAAGAGATCGAGACCCAGATAGATAAATCATAGCAAAAATGCTGAAAACCAAAGAAAAAGAAAATTTTTGAAAGAAGCAAGGGAAAAACTATTCATCACATAGAAGAGAATCCCAATAAGTTTAATGGGTGACTTCTCATCAGAAACAATGAAGACCAGAAGGCAGTGGGATGACATACTCCAAATGACGGAAGAAAAAAGCTCCTGTCAACCAAAAGTCCTACATTCAGGAAAACTAATTTTAAAATTTAAGAGGAAATAAAGACATTTCTAGATAATGAAAAACGGAGATAATTCACTGCTAGCAGACTCACCTTGAAGAAGGAATTAATGAAATCAACTATAACCTAATAGTAGTAGTAACAGAAATTTTAAAATCCTCTTAAAGTTGCTGCAAAGTGTGACCCCGTCTTACACTCAAGTTAAAAGAGAATATTAACAGCCTGTCCTCTCTCTGTGGACAGTGTACCTTATCTGTACTCCCCAACTCCATATTCCTCAAAGTTTATTACAGGCCCAGGAAGTTCCTGCACGGCTGCAGGGTCACAAGACTGGTAAGTTTAGGTTGCAAGACATGTTTCCCTCAAGATATAAGGAATGTTGTAATGCTGCCTTTGTTCCTTGCTTCTGTAACTCGCTTCCCGCCTCATGTTAGCTCCCACCTTAAGATGTTTAAAAGTAGGAAAAGCCCTTTTTCAGGGCTCAGACTTTCTGGACATATGTCTGGCTGAGCCGGTGATCACCTTAATTTAATAAACTCTCCTGAACCTTTTTCGGTCTGACTGTCCCGCAACAACCTTATAAAAAATACTAAAGTTGCTCAGGATGAAAGCAAATGACCCCTGATAGTAATTCAAATCCATAGGAAAAAATGGTGCAATTAGTAAAGGAATTATGTAGTTAAAAAAGACAGTTTAAATGTATATTCCTTCTCCTTTCTTAACTGATTTAAAAATGCAACTGTAATAAAACAATATGTATATAATTGTATCACTAGGCCCATAATATATAGAAATGTAATATATTTGCCAGCAACACCAAGAAGGTGAGTGGGAGCAAAACTGCAATGGACCAAGAAAATGACACCAGATGGTAACTTGAATTCACAGGAATAAAGAAGAGAACCAGAAACAGTAACTAAGAAGGTTAATATAATAAACATTGTAAATAATATCTGTCTACTGTCTTCTCTAAGCTTAAGAGACATAAAATTATATAAAGTAATAATTATAACAAAGTATGATGGGTTTGTAACATATATAGATGTAATATGTATTACAATAAGGGGGAAAGAGAATAGAGCTATAAACAAGTGACATTTCCATGTCTCACTGCAATTAAGTTAGTACATATCTGAAGTAGATTCTGATAAGATATATGTAGTAAGCCCTATAGCAACCACTAATCAAAATAAAAAGTTAAAAAAGTTACTAAAGGAATTAAGATGTTACAATAGAAAATATTCACTGAAAGCAAAAGAAAGCAGTAACGTAGGAGTAGAGGACCAAAGGACTGAGGCATAGTAAACAGAAGGCAGATGTAAACTCAACTGTTGCAATAAGAACATTAATAACTTGTCAGTGAATTAAACAAGTTCACCAAAAGACAGAGCTTGTCAGACTGGACAAAAAATGCCTATCGAATGCAAAGATTTTAGTTTGGGTACAAAGCTTAAAATAAGCCATTTTCAGGTCCATGAACTTCCACGTGGAAAGAAAAGCAGCATGAGATGTGTATGGAGAAGCATTCCTTTTCAGTCTGTTAAGACTGGAGCTCATCCATTCAGTTCACCAGATGGACAGTTATACACACTTAGATAAAGGTGGTAATCACTGAGGATCAGGACTGAATCTGACATAGGCATGGCATGGGCTGACATCACCAGTCATTGTGACAGAGAATTCCTAAGGAAGCATCATTAGCTGAAAGTTTGTTGTGAGGTTTTTAAGTCTTTGCTCTTTATTTGGTAATGAGTTCTGTATGTGAAATCAAGGGGAAAAAACAGATGAATGCTGCAAATAACCTTACATAAACTGACATAACTTCGGAATGAAATAAAACCAGATATAATAATTCTTGTTTATTATTATTTATTTATTTATTGAGATAGAGTCTTACTCTGTCGCCCAGGCTGGAGTGCAGTGGTGCGATCTCGGTTCACTGCAACCTCCATCTCCCAGGTTCAAGCGATTCTCTTGCCTCAGCCTCCCAAGTAGCTGGGATTACAGGGCACCCGCCACCACGCCCGGCTAATTTTTTTATTTTTAGTAGAGATGGGGTTTCACCATGTTGGCCAGGCTGGTCTCAAACTCCTCACCTCAGGTGATCCGCCCACCTCGGCCTCTCAAAGTGCTGGGATTACAGGAGTGAGTGACCGTGCCCGGCCAATAATGCTTATTAACAGAAATATTTTGCCTGAACTGTATAAGGTATTACTTTAAAAATCCAATACTGAAATAGGCTCATTTGCTCTCTTAACAAATATTTAATGAATATAACTGCATATAATACATTATACTTAAAGAAAAATCTAGTTTGAGTGATTAGACAACTATTTCAAATACTTGTAATTCAATTTTATATAATTTTTATATGAAGTTGAAGTGAAAAATATCATTTAGGAAGAGACAAATAAAGTCCATGGGAATCCCGAGCCTGTAGAGAATCTTAGTAGCTGGGGGGCATTAAGAAAGTTTCATCAGGCTTTGAAGCACAGGGACTATCTGGACACATACAGGTGCACGGAGAACCCACAAGCAGAGGCACAAAGGTGGGAAAGGGACATGGCAGAGAACTTCAGATCAGGTTACTCAGGGAAATATGTTGACTTAGTTATAATTTAATATTATGCCCTCAACTACTATACAAGGCACTTATACACAGTGTACATTTGAGCAAAGTTTCTGAATGTTTTATAATCCTACAGTTGAAGAGAGTCTATATAAAGACACCTATATTTTCACAGAATTGAAGTTCCAAGTAAACGTATCTCTGTAGATGAATGTGGGTACTTTCTTCTATGAGACATTCAAATAACTTTCCTTTTTTGTCTTAGCTACCAATTTACTCAGAGTAAAATTTAGTGCACTAATTTTTAATGTTGCTTAAATGTTTAGGTCGTATTTAATGCCCTGGGCCTAACAACTCTTGGGATCTTTCAGATCATCTCTGAGACGTTTTAAATTTTTTGTCCATATTTTGCAGCATATATAGTGTTTAAAGTTCTTTCAAATTCTTTCAGAAACAGTAATAAAAACACTAAGTATAATTCTGTTATGCTTATGTGACCTATGTGAAAGGCTTCTGAAGATCCTTTTTGAAAGTCAGGATAAATATTAGAAATATATATGTGCATGCATCTTGTTAGATTACTGAAGGATTTGGTTATTAAATTATTTTCTGCCCACTCTGACACCCTCATATGGGAATCAGAATTCAGTTATATTACCTTTGATGCATTAATATCCTAGGAATTATTTCATTATTGGGACATATATGCATAGACATATACACCTATCCCTTCGTCCATTTTTCAAGGAATATTTATTGGGTGCTTAATATATGCCAAGTACTGTTCTAACTGGAAATACAAGAGTATTTCTTGGCGGAAACTTTTGCTCCTTTATTTTTACATATAAGTAAGTAAAATAGGTCACACTAAAGAGAAAAATAAAGATAAGAAGTGTCCATGTGGGAGGGGTGTTTGGAATTTAATGAAAGCAAACTTACAAAGTGATATTGAGTAAAGATCTGAAGGAGGCTGGGTGCGGTGGCTAATGCCTGTAATCCCAGCGCTTTGGGAAGCTGAGGAGGGAGGATCGTTTGAGCCCAGGAGTTTGAGATCAGCACCAGGCAACATAAAGAGACTCTGTCTCTACAAAAAACCCTCAAAACGACGAACGCCCACAAAAACCACAAAACAAATAGATGTGAAGGAGATGAGGAAGTGAGCCCTGTGGATATCTGGGGGAAGAGCGTCCTGCTGGGCCTCAGCCGTGTAAAGGCTGGAGGTGACAGTGTGTCTCAAGAACACAGGCCATGGAGGTCTGTGTGGCTGGGACAGGGAAATAGAGCAGGAGAGGAGGAGATCAGGTCTGAAATGTGAGGCATCAGGCTGTGCAGAACCCTGTGATCTATTGTAAGGACTTGAGTTTTACACATTATGGTATAGACTGCAAAGAACACAGGTTTGGGAATCAGAGTCAGCTGTGCCAGTCATTAGCTATGTGACTTATGGGCCTTTGTTTTCTCTACTTCTTAATTAATTTATCAATGAAGTGGGTGTAATATCACCATTTATAGTAAGTTGATTTCACGCATGAATCGGAAAAGGGTGAAATGAAATAATGTATGGAGACTGTCTAACACAATGCTCTGTTGTAAGGGGCTTAATAAATCTTAGCTTCTTTGAGGTGCTCTCATGTACAGTAAGGAACAATATCTGACACTGGTCTCACAAAATTTACAGAGCCCTCTGGGACAAAATATTTAACAACCTAAATGTAAGTAATAGAAAAATCACCCAGCCACAGGTTTTTGATCAGAAAAGTACTGACTAGCTCACAGGTGTCTTAATCCAAGGCCACCCCTCCACAACTGGCAGGTAACTAAAGAAGAGGCCAAGCATGAGAAGCTATGTCCAAAGATGGATAATAACTATTTGTTGGACCAGAATTCTAAATGGAGAAAGACAGATAAATTTGACCAGCTAGTAGAGGGAGGAGAAACAAATATTAAGAGATGCAGAGCTAGAAAAGAGGTAGCACTGCCATTTTAGGGCAACTAGAACTTAGATGCTTAGGAAGAGATAGGGAAGGTGACATGGTCCCCAGAGTTTCCTGGCCCTCTAACAAGAGCCAACAATACCCCTTAAGGTGTCTGCTCCTTTTCTGACTACACTGTACTCGAGGGTGCCTGAGCCTGTATTCCTTTAGCATAATTAGATAACTAGCAGTGCGATGCTATGAGGCAGTGCACCATACACTATCCAAGGGGCTATACTGGTATTGAACTCCTAGGTGTTAAGGAGAAGGTCCTTGGTAGATTGGAAAGATCCTTCAAGAATGAGCAGTGGCAGCCGAGTGTGGTGACTCATGCCTGTAATCCCAGCACTTTGGGAGGCCGAGGTGGGAGAATCACTTGAGGCCAGGAGTTTGAAACCAGACTGGCCAACTTGGCAAAACATCGTCTCTACTAAAAATATAAAAATTAGCTGGGCGTGGTGGCAAGAACTTGTAGTTCCAGCTACTAGGGAGGCTGAGGCATAAGAATCACTTGAACTCAGGAGGTGGAGGTTGCAGTGAGCCATGATCACCCCATTGCACTCCAGCCTGGGCAACAGAGCAAAACTCTGTCTAAAAAAAAAAAAGAAATTTTTTTTGGTTTTTCTACAGTGACAAAGTTAAGTCACTAAATACAAGACCATGTAATTATAATAGACTTCATCAAACATTTGGCTATTACATGTTTTGGAGATTAAGGGGTTGCCTATAGGTAAACATAACACACTAACATATCAGTGTCATTTAAAACATATGTTTTAAGTCTCTTTATGTGAATTAAAATTTGGTCAACAGAATAGGTTAGGACTCATCCTAAAGGATAACTCAACTTTTTAAAATACTTGGATCTGTATGCTGGAATTAGCATTAATTTCAGGATAATGCTAGAAATGCTTGTGAGCAATGGGAAAGATATACTGCAGAGCAGCAGGATTTAAGAACTTATTTAGTACAGATTCTACATGTTTTTGTAAGAGAACTCATTGCATTATATTTTTAATGTTCACAAAAGATTCACTGTGGCCCAAGAGGACAGAAGAATTTAAACCTAGATTTATCAAAGCCATCTGGAAGATACAGTCTGTGCTGCTTTTAAGAAAAAGTGTGTGTGTGTACATGTAGCATACTGATCAGAATTACTAAATCGATGAGAAAATATTATATACTTTTAAGTCAGCTGAGCAATTCTAAGATGTCAAAAAGTACCCTCAACCTTAGCTCACTTTGCCTTCCTGGTAGATTTGTTTGAGAATCGCTCATGACTCATCGACATACACTATTTTCACTTTTTAAAGCTTTTTCAGAAACAAAATTCTATTTATCTTTAGGTAAAGTCCACAAAAACACAAACACACACTGTCTTTGAGAATTCTGTCAAAAGTACTGTGTCATGTGGACTATGTTTTCCTAGAGCAGAAAGGCCAAGTTTTCATTACTCGCCAGAAGCACTATAATTAAGGTGCTTCCAAAAATCTAAATGGAAAAAAAAAAAGACACATCTCTCTATAAATCTCTCAATTTGTAAAAGGTCATCCTACATAATTTCAGTTCATTTTATCCCATATTTTATTAACTTGTATTTCTAAAAATGTATACCAAAAACATTCTCAAGTAATAAGCACCTGATTCCTATGAATGGTATCTGAGATCCTGAGTGCAAAGGGTGAAATGAGATCTCCAGTAATTAAAAACTAAAGTTTCATGTTACTCCATGACTTCAGCTAGTTTTCAAAAGACCATTTATGAAAAAAATTAGTTCTGTTGGTATTGGGAGATAGACAGGAGTGGTGCAGCTAAATAATACTTTTTAGATATTTTTTGTTTTTCATGCCAATATACAATATGAAGAGTCCATTATGATTATGGACAATTTCTACTAAGAGAAATGTGAACATCTTGGACAAAACATTTTTACATGGCTTATTGAAGTTGCATGCTAATTTTATTTCCTTCTTAACCACATCAGTGGTCTAGAACATTTAGTATTAATAGACTTTAGTTCACAGTAAACTAACTATATTGGATAGAAACAGACTTAGTTCATCTTCAACCTAACTAGATAAGAATTCAAACAATTTAAAGCTATTTACCATATATTCATTATATTGTATATTAAAATTATGATGACATTTTGCTCCACAATATATACAGCTCATTAAAGAGTCTAATTAGATAAAAATAAAAATAGAAAATGAAAATATCAATGAGACACCATGATCATTTATGTTCATTGGCATAATATATGCTGCTTAGGGATGCCGTAAATTGTCATTCTGATTAAAACATCTGGCAGGTCACACTGTTTAATCATGTTTCATGCCTAGGCAAAAAGCTTGATTCAAAAATCTGTATTACAGTCTAAACCCATGAAAAAAGTAACTAGTAAAAGTTAAAATGTCAGAACAAATCTGTCAATTATGATTGAAAGCAATCCCCTTAGGTGACTAAGGATCACTGTTGGGGATAAATTAATAGATGGGAAACACTGTATAATAAAAGCAAAACAGTAATTCTACTTTGTTATTTAAAAAATGTGCCCTCACTTTATAGTAAGAGCCGAGTATTTACCGGCACCATATACTGTTTTTAAATGGAGTTTCTCTTCTAGAGTTCTCTTAATAATGAAAATATACAATTTCAAAATGTCAAAGAAGTGAAGTTTCAAACACTTTCATGCATTTATGCAGAAAATACAATGTTATTGCCTCATGTCTATCGTCAGCAGTATGCAATCCTAGATATCAAATTAAGAACACATCTATATTCAGAAAGCAGGTGTGAAGAAATATCAAACCATGTAACACAATCTGCTGCTAAATGTCATATCAGTCTCTTGGTAAAAGCCTGCCTAATGTTTTAGATATCTGAAGACCCAATTTACATCTAATCTGTTATCCAAAGGATATTCCTTTACTTTAGTCTACGTGATAGTAGCAGAAAACACTCACCTATCCCTTTCCATTTTCTTAAGTATAGTGTGGTGGGTGGTCAGGAGAAGGAGAGATAAGTCTACATTTGCCTCTGAAGAAAAGTTAATCGGCTGCAACTCAGAGCAAATACATTGTTAAATGCCAAAATGGAGTAGGTACAGCTGTTAGCTGTTGCTAAAATGTATGCATTGCTTGCTTCTCCAATGGGAGCAAAAGGGAGGGAGGAAGTAGAGGGGGAGGGGAGGAGAAGAGCAGAAGAAAGGAGCAAGACAGAACACCGGCCATACATGAAGATGAGAAAGGGAACTTCAAATTCAAACTGTGATAGAAATGAAGAAATGAAGAAAAAGTTCAGGAACTATGAGAAAGAACACAATGAGGACTTGAATTTAGAATGTGAGACTGAGATCAAGGACAGTCTCCTAACCTAATAATTATTTTGTGTGTGTGTGTGTGTGTGAAAGAGAGAAAGAGAAAGAAGGAAGGTGGCTGGGTTTACCTAGAATTAGGGTGTCTGAATGTGAGAGAATGAGAGAAGCCAAGCATATTTGCAAGAGAGGGTTAGTAATAATTTACCATGGATAGGAGGGAAATGGAGGCTGGATGAGGGATGAGTGGATATAAAGTAGCAGGATCAGTGGACTGCAGGCCCCAGTGAGATCCAAAAAGCGTTGCAGGGAGGGCACTTAAGCATGTAACCTAGAGGGATAAGGGGTGGTAGTAGGAGAGTGGCTATGTGACTGGTGGTTTTGGAGATGGTATATTTTCTGGTACCTACAAGGTGCAGGGAACGAACTGAGCTGGCTGAGGTGGGGAGGTCCTGGTGCTGGGCTGACTCATCTCTGCAGACACTGAAATCACCTAAAATGATGACAAGAGTTAGACAACTGTCCAGAAGATGTTATGTCTCCAGTGAACTAGAAATTGATAGATGCTAGTAATAAAAAAAGGAAGATGACGTTTGGTGTAACGGGGTGGCAGAAACCTCATAGGAGGAGATTTGCAGATATTTCGGGGAGAAATAATTTGAAAGTGGTACTGGGGATTAAAGTTGCTGATCTCTAAACACCAAAATATGAGGCATGTGGCATATTCCATTAGAGGCAGCTACGGGGGATGCTTCCACAACTGTGAAAGGAACTCTGTGAAAAGAAGCAAGAATGCAGATGAGAGCTGATGGTGGAGCTGGTGTTCCAGAAGACAGAGTGGAAGTGTTGGGGAGGGAGCACAGGGGTCAGGGATGGGTAAGTTAGGAGACAGAGCTCAAGGGAATGGTCACTCTTACTGGGCATGGGAAACAGAGTGGCTAACAAGATAAGTAAGCAAAAAGAAAACAGTAACAAGTCTTAGAGGAAATAGCATTTGAGATAAAGCTTGAAAGAAAGACAAGTATGATGTAGACAGGTTGACAGCTTACTAGGTAGAACAATGATTCTCAACCAGGGACTATTTTGCCTTTTAGGAGACACTGGACAATGTCTAAAGACATTTTTGGTTGCTACAGGTATTCAGATAGTAGAAGCCAGGTATGGTGCTAAACTAAACATCCTACAATGCATATGGCAGCTCCCCACAACAAACAAGGATCCTGCTCAAAGTGTCAACAGTACCACGATTAAGAAACCCTGAGGTAGAGGAAGCAGCAAAGGCAAGGCAATGAGGAAAACTAGAGGAAACTGGGAAAAGGAGAGTTTGGCTTAAGTACAGGATGCCAGCAGGGGACCAGGAGAGAAAGCTAGAAAGGAAGAGAGGATCACACTGCAGGCAGCCACGGGAACTAGCCTCTACCTTAGAGGATGAAGAGGAGCCACTGAAGGTCTTTGAGCAAATCAATGTTACAATATCACTGAGTTGGGAGGCTTTATATACACTTGGAGCCTTATCAATAATTTATCTTTTCAGTTTACAAGCACTCTCAAGTATGTATTTAATCATTCTTTAATGCTTTATTAATGGCTCATCTCCTTATTAGAGCAGTCAAGCCCTGGATGAGACACATCATGTCCCACATTTGACCACACACACAGTAGGCTAGCTTGAAATTCAGACTTAAAGCTGCATGGCTTTTAACAGCCTGTCACACACCTCCTTCAACTACTAACAACAGAGAAAATATGAAAAACTTTAATTTCCTCTGTCTTCATCCCCAGTGTCTATTTACAGGCGCTGATGAAGAAAAGAAGTGGCAGGAAGCATGAGCCAGAAAAACAAAAAAAAAGGCCTGAATCAAGAAGTATCTGGATTCCTCCTGAAAAAGTGAGCATAAACCATACTGCTAGATTTTGGAAATATTCACTAAAGCTAAAACATGGCTCGCTATTCTTCAATTATTTTAACCCTCCTCTTCAAGAAGGAAATCATTACTAACAACTTAAGCTTCTAGATTTGTACCAGTTTTTAGCTGCTCTGTAAGTTTGTTTGGATCACTTCAGTCAGCATTACTTTCAGTGATGATGGTAATTTATAAAAAGCAAGGCAATCTGTTTCTAAAAAGAAAATATTAAACTTGATTTAAGTTTCCTTTCCTGTTCTTCTCTCTAAAAATAAATTAGACACCAAACAAGGTCAGCAAGGCAATAATGTCCTAAAATGAATCAGATCTTTTCTGTCAGGTAAAGAATTTAATCTGCTGGCAGGTTTTCTGTTCAGAATGATATCACAATACCAAAAAGTCACTTATTCCTTCTCTAGTGTACCAAATGAAGCCCTAGTGACGTTAAAGAGCTAATACTATTTCAATGGCACTTTGTTTATACTTTGGGAAGGCTTATTCACCAGACAATATTTCAGGGAACATTTATTAGAGAGAGAAGCCCAATTCTTCAAACCACATGCATGGATCAAGCTAGATAAATCCTACAATGGGAAGAATCTTCTATTATCAGGAAGGAGACAAGAGTACATCCCTCCCTTTACCCTTAATCAGCTCTGAGAAGTGCTTCCCTCTCTTTACAGACCAAAAAGAGGGCTAGAGGCACTCAGAGAGATTGCAGAGTATAAGAAATGTTACCAAAGTGTAAATAAATTAACTGGTATCATCTACTAATAGATAATAAATTCAGCAAAAATGAGATAAAGGCAAATGGAGGGATTCTACTAAGCGAATTTTTACTGAGAGCTACATTTTATTTTCCTTCTTTAAGAAAGAACACTTTAGGAGACACACCTTTGTAGACAGTGGTTTCCATCACAGAAAGTTAAGAAAGTGGCCGGGTGCAGTGGCTTACGCCTGTAATCCCAGCACTTTGGGAGGCCAAGGCGGGCAGATCATAAGGTCAGGAGATCGAGACCATCCTGGCTAACACGGTGAAACCCCATCTCTACTAAAAATACAAACAATTAGCCGGGCGTGTTGGCGGGCATCTGTAGTCCCAGCTACTCAGGAGGCTGAGGCAGGAGAATGGTGTGAACCCGGGAGGCAGAGCTTGCAGTGAGCTGAGATCACGCCGCTGCACTCCAGCCTGGGCAAGAGAGCGAGACTCCGTCTCAAAAAAAAAAAAAAAGTTCAGAGAGCTCACATTCTTTCCCATCTGTTATCAGCTACAATAAATTCTCCCTTCCATTTCGTGCAGAATACACTTATAAAGCATATTTTTAATTTAATGTAGTCTCATGGTCCCCTACAATGAGTGAAGATTTTGTCTCATAAGATAATTGTATTTTTATCCAACTGGGAAGTCAGTTACCTTTTTCTAATATTTTCAGGGGTTGAAGGCCATATATAATAACATGCCTCGTATCTTAGGCAATCTCTGTCAGTGGGGTCATTTATTTCTCTACATATGTATGCTTTTATTGTAAAAAATAATACAGTGATAACTGGAAGGCTTCTGGATTCTATTTGTTTATAGATCAGAATGGAAGGAAATCACAGCTAACCTTTATGATACACTGATTATGCTCCAGATACTGTACTGGATACTTTGCATGTGTTCTCTCATTTGATTCCTCACCTTGCAAGGCAGGAACTACTAACAGTCCCATTTCTACAGATGAGGCTAAATTTGCCCAGCTGGTCAGTGGTAGAATCAGGATTGGCATCCAGATCCACCTGACCCCAGAGCCTGCATTCTTAACCATGAGGCTCCACTGTCTTTCTTTGCAATTGGCTTGCTTGTACTTTCCTTCCTTCACTCATTCAAATATGTACTACTAGAGACCAGGTGCAGTGGCTCAGGCCTGTAATTCCAGTGCTTTGGGAGGCCAAGGTGGGGGAACTGCTTGAGTTCAGGAGTTTGAGGCTATAGTGAGCTATGAACATACCACTGTACTCCAGCCTGGGTGACAGACACACACACACACACACCACTAGACACCAGCATTGTGTCAGGACTTGGAGCAAAACCAGTTAATAGGGAAGACAGAGTCACTTTACACACACACACACACACACACACACACACACCACTAGACACCAGCATTGTGTCAGGAGTTGGAGCAAAACCAGTTAACAGGGAAGACAGAGTCACCTTCCCCAAGAGCTGACATTCTACTAGGGTACAAAGACAAGTAAATAACCAAGTACACAGAATAGTGGTCATTGTATTCTGGGGGCTTCCCAGAAAAAAGAGGTGTCAGTTGAGACCTGAAGGGTATGTAAAAGTCAGTTCAGCGAAAGGAGGTAGGGGAAGCAAAGAGGTAGGGGAAGCAAAGAGGTAGGGGAGGATCTGGGGCAGAGGAAACAGCATGTAAGCTCCATGTGGCGGGAGCACAAAGGAAGAGATGGGGGTTCAAGAGAGTTACGGCTAGAGCACTTGGCGGGGACCAGACCAGAAAAGGCCTTGTGCACCATGACAAAAAGCATGCGATTCTTTCTGTTGGTTATAAGGTGCCACAAAGAGATTTTAAGAAAGGGTGTGATAAGATCTCATCTTTAATTTAGATGTTAGGATGTTGGCCATCTGGAGATTTAACAGGAAGGGAAGAAGACTGGTGGCTATAAGACCAGTCTGGCAACTGTCATGATAAAGTAAGCAGGAGGTACTTGCAGCCGAATCCAGAGTAGCTGCAATGGAATGCACAGAAGTTGATGGTTTCAAAAAGTTTTTAGGAGGGGGTATCAGGAAGATTTGGGAACTGATTGGATGTGAGGTGTGAGAAAGAGAGGAGTCAAGAGTGACTCTTGGAAATGACTTGACAACTGTGAAGATGCTGTCACCCACTAGGATAGGAAACAGCAGAATGAAGAGGTTTTAAGGAAAGATAATGTGTTGAAATATCTGTGGGATATGGGGTGAAATCCGTGAGAGGTCTAGAATAAGATACATAAATTTGGGAGCTGGTAGCATAACTAATGTAACTGACAGAAGCTGTGGAAGTGGCCAAGTCAATGAAGTACTCAAGGAGAGTGTATTACATAAAAAAGGAAAAGGGCTGAGTACAAAATCCTGAGCTTTACCCACACTTATGGGACATTGAAAAGAAAAAGGGACACAAAAGTAGGAAGTGTCAGATGCTACCTAGAGGTTAATTAAGAGCCAGAAGGGCAGGAGGTTGTGAAAAGTTCTGGGAGGTAAGGACTAGGTGTGTCCATGGGACTGGGTGTCTGAAACAAGGTGGAGGTGATGGACAATGCAGTTAACTATTAAATGGAACAGATAAATATTAAAATCAATTTTGAAAATTATCTGTGCAAAGCACTCTTTATGTGTTTGATTATAACAGATTCATTAAAAAAAAATCAGAGACCTCTGGAGTCATGACTTAAAGCACAATTCTCAAGCTTGTCTGGTCACTAGCATCCCACTGAATCTCTCCCCTATTCTTGCTCTGGTTCCTTTGGTTTTTTTTCACTCTGGCATCAGCTGACTCCCACTACCCCCCATCCCATGTCCACTCTAAAGCCGATCCTCCTTGGTATTCTTTCACAGAGCCCCTTATGTGTTTTTTCACAACTCAGAATACTCTTCATGATGACATATTTTCTCGTTTATTTTCTCATCCCCAAGGGGCTGCAAACTCCACAGGGCAGAGACGTCTAGTTTTGTTCATATAGGCACATGACAACTGTGCATAAATATCCGGTGACTGAATAACCAAAATGGCAGCATCATTTTTGTAGCAGAATCTGAAACTCACCGAATCTTTATATAGTGTTTTCAAACTGAAGATGATTATCCTTTAGAAGGTCATGAAATAAATCTTATCAACATCTAAAAATTCACTTGTACCACAGTATAAATAAGCATTGTTATATAAAAATGTTTATATGTCTATAAGTATATATCTGTAAAAGTGCATGGTGTAACTATGTGTGTACAGGTTATGATATAAAATAAATTCTTATTATAGTTCTGTCAGAAACATTTTAAAGCCACCACATCAAGTTACATGATATTATCCCCACTTTTACAAATGAGACAGTCTCAAAAGGGACTTGCCCAAAATCAAGGCTGTGGGGAGAACCTAAACTGTGCCCTGTTTGGATGTCACAACCATTGCTCCCCACAGCATCCCGGCTCTGGCTGCCCGACCCAGTGCACATGGGGGTTCATGTTCACTTATCCCTCTGGGATGACAAATATCTGAGAACTATTTCCACTTGGTATCAAATGCCCAGTTGACTAAAATGATTCTGTCTATCTCAACAGCTTTTATAGACTCGATTTGCTGGTCAGTGATTTAAATGACCAAATTAATCACGCACATAAGGAGGCTATGTTTTTTAATTCTAAAATTATATAATATAAATGTGTGTCAAATATCTTTGCATAGGACCAAAGAATAAATGTACAACATTATTATCTTGTGTGCTGAAATATAATTCTTTTAAACACATGGGAAAAGAACCATACTTCATGCAACAACTACAAACTATCTGAACCGAAGCAAGAACCACAGAAATTCCAGTGTTATTCCTATGCAATAACTAATATACTGCACTATTATAATAAGAAAAATAACAATATAAATTTACTGCTTTTTAAAAGATCATAAAGAGGGTCTATAAATGCTTACGGTCAACAAAGTTCTGTCTGCAAAATTATAGTAATGTAATAAGAACTCATTGTACTTGACAAATTTTTTTAAAAAGATCATATTTGCAGTATTTATAGAATTTGCCCCCTCCCTTTCCTTATAACACACAAAATAATTGGTTCAGTCACTTAATTACACCAAGCCAACAATACCAAGGTTACCTACCTTTTTTTTTTTTTTTTAACTGTAAGTAAGGACTCAAAAGTTAAACACTGTGTGGAAGCAACCAGATAAAGCCAGAATGTGGGCTGTTCTAGGGTCCACTGTATTATATTATAATTGGCCCATATGGGCCAATTCTATAATACAAGTGTCCTGGACTCTTCAAAAAGTCATTTTCATTTTTTTTTAAAAAAAAGGAGGTTAGGGGGTGACGCTTTAGCTACATTAAAAGAGACTATGGAGAAATAACCACTAAATGCACATGTATGTTTTCACTGGCTCCTAAATAAGAGAAGAAAAGTTGTGAAAGATATTTTTAAGACAACTGGGAAAATATGAATATATGTTGGTTATTAGATGACATTATGCAATTACCATTAATTGTCTTAGATGTGCTAATGGCACTGTAGTTGTACAGGAGAACATCCTTACTCTTCAGAGATGCATGTGCAAGTATTTTATAGGTGAAGTGTTAAGATATTTAATACTCACTTTTAGACAGTTCAGGGAAAAAAGTTGATTTTGATCTCTCTTGGTACACACACACACACACACACACACACACACACACACACACACACACAGAGGGAGAGACAGAAACGCTTACTCTAGGTGGTTTCTCTAGGTCAGGGGTCCCTAACCCCCAGGCCATGGACCAGAACTGGTTAGGAACTGAGCCGCATGGCATCACCCTCAGAAGGGACCATCTAGTTGCAGGAAAACAAGCTCAGGGTTCCCACTGATTCTACATTATGGTAAGTTGTATAATTATTTCATCACATATTACAATGTAATAATAATAATAGAAATAAAGTGCACAATAAATGTAACGCCCTTGAATCATTCTGAAACCATCACCTAGGCCTCGTCTGTGGAAAAATAGTCTATCAAGAACCATTCTCTGGGGCCAAAAGGGTTGGGGGCTAGTGCTCTAGAGACAACATGAAAAATCCTCAAGAACACAGACAGTCCCTTCACAGACCAGATTATGGTAAGTGCACTTATTACTGGGAGCCTTTCCAATCTGCCTTTAATGGCAAGACTTGATAAGTTAAAAGAAATATACATAACACATAAGAGAGTATAATTCAGCTATGATATAAATAAGGTACATCTAAGTACTGGCATGGAATGACTTCTAAGAAATTTAGTGAAAAATGAAGTTACAAAATAGTATAGGGCCCCCTTTATTGGTAATCATTTAAAAAATGTGAAATAACTCATATAAGCTAAACAACATATTAGAGATATAAAGACTAATAAATACCCTATTCCCTTAACAAACAGGTAGCCCCTTTGCCACTCAATTCTAGCATGTCTCTGATAAATCTTTTTTCTTCCTCCTCTACAAAGGTTACTTTCTTTTTATTATTTCCCTTCTTCTCTATAGTTTATGACACATACACGTATGCATACACACATGCACATATACATAGTATTTAGTTTTGCATGAGTTTGAACTTTACCTAAATGTTATCACTTTTCTGAAATTTTTTTTTGCTCAGCATTGTTTCTGTGACTCATCCATGTTAATATGTTTAAGCTTTAGTTCTTTAATTTTGTTCACTTGTAATCAAAGCAGTCTTTCCAATTAATACTTTCTGCAAATGTCACAAATGTAAAATGTTATCTTGTGGTTTTAACTTAATTTCTCTGATTTCCATACATGTTAAACACATATGTTTATTGGCCTTTCTTATTTTTGATTTGCCCATTTATATTTTTTTCCCATTTTTTTCTAGTAGTTTATCTTATTTTCTTGATTTATAGGAGTTCTCCACTTTGGAACTCAATTCATGGCTGGTCATATAATATATGTCACAAATATCGTCTCCCAATTTGTGGCTTTCCTTTCATTATATTGTAATGACATCATCTGATGAAAAGTGGTTTTATATTTTGATATACTCCCTATATCATTTAAAAAAACTCCATAAAACAAAAACCTCGTATATTTTCTTGTATGTAGAGAATACACATAGAAGATCAATCTGGTATACACAGACCAAAGCAGTAGCTATATTAATATCTAGAGTTTCAGTTAATATGAAACTTTTGCTTTCTCCACCATATGTCTGTAATGTCTAAGTATTTAAAGTGAGCATGTACTAGTCCATTCTTAACCAGGTGACCACCTAGGGAGTTTAAAAATAGGTTTTAGGCTGTTTATGAATAGAACATTTTATTTTTGTGGGCAATATATATCCATATTTTCCCAGTTGTCTTAAAAATATCTTTCACAACTTCTTTCCTTCTTTGTTTAAGAGCCAATGAAAACGTACATGTGCATTTAATGGTTAAAAAATTTTATGTTAACATTTATTTTATATCAAATGAAAGTTTAGAGGCAGAAAGGCCCTTGGGCTCCATGGAGAAGCTGCTGAACCTCTGTATGTCAGTTTTACAATATGTGTACTGGGGTTAATAACAGAACTTACTCTGTAAGGTGATTGTGAGGATGAAAAAGCAAATACATATACAGTGCTTAGAACAGTGCTAGCCTCATCTAAATGCTCAACAAATGGTAGTTATTATTCTCATTATTTATTCATGACTGTATTTCAGATAAAGACTAAACGTTTGTTGCAGGTTTGATGCTCTGACTTTTTGGGGGGATGAATAAGGGGGGTACTTTCCTGGATTAAGTCCTGGTTCTAATAATAGATACTTATAATTATGAAATAAGCAAGATGTAATATAGCTACAACAGAATATTTCTGTGAAGTTTCTCTCAGAAGTGTTTAGTCCAGGAATATATGTGTGTACACATACAGAAGTTACGGCATACTTGAAATAAAACATTTTCCATTACTTTGTCTCTCTGGTGCCCCTTCCTTATCAGAGAACATAATGATAATATCAGAAACAACTGCAGTTTTTAGTAAACAGGTCTCTTCATCTTTGCTGATAAAGATCAACTATTTTTTAGAGCAGAATTTGAATCAGTTCAAATGATGCATTTAGAAGCGATTTATATGATAACCTTATGATATCTTAAGGTTGGAGTGATTTAATTTGTATTTTTAGAAAAGAAACAAAATTCTTGAAAAATGTGTCTGTTATTTTCTATGTCTGCTTAGATAAAATTCCCACAGCCAAAGTATCTAAGCATTGTATGTATTTCTGAAAATCTTCTGGGGTTTTTAAAAGGAAGCTCATTCAATAGTGTATGTTTGAACTTCTGCAAACTAACGCCAATTTCATCAAGAGCTCCTTTTGTTAGTTGTTAAATCTTTAGCTGAAAAAGGCCTACCAATTAGGGACAGTTTGAGTACTTAAAAATATGCTAGCTGTCCTTAAGGTTCTCTTTTCTCCCCCAAAATGTGGCTATTCAACAGGTATCTGTCAAGTCCCTATTTGGTGGCAGGCACTGTTCTGGGCACTGGAGAAATGACAGTGAACCGAAGAAACAATCTATGCCCTCATGGAGTTTGCATTCTAGTATGGGAAGAAGCAATAAAAACATTAAGTATATAGTATTTTAGCAGGTGAAAGGGCTTTGAAGAAAAACTAAAGAAGGGTAAGGGCAAAGGAGAGTGTTTGAAAGTTGTGATTTTGAATATAGCGACCCTCACTGAGAAGGAACATAACATTTAAATAAAGATGTGAAGAAGGTAAAGTATATTTTGAGAAATAACTTGAGGGAGGTGATCTGGATATCCGCAGGAATAATATTCTAGGCAGAGAAAATAGTTATTCAACCCAAGTCCTAAGGTTGGACCTTGTCTTGTATTTAAGAAACAATAAGGAGGCTGGCAGGCTAGCTCAAGGCATCAAGCGGGAAAATAGAATGGAAGGTCGAGGAGATAATGGTGGGCCGAGTAAGTGTGGCCTAGTAGGCTGTTTTAAGGACTTTGGCTATTTATCCAAATGTAATGAAGAAGCCACTGGAAGATTTTGGGAAGAGTCATTTACATTTATAACGGATAATGGGAGACAAGGGTGGAAGCAAGGAAACCAGTAACTGAAACAATCCAGGTGAGAAATGATGGCGACTTGAACCAGGAGGTTACAGTGGAGGTGGTAAGAAGTGAACAAGTTGTGGAAATATTTCAAAGGAAGAATGAGCAGGATTTCCTTGCAGACTTGATATTGGGTGTGACAGAAAGAGGCAGCAAGGATGACTCCAATGTTTTTTATGTTTTGAGACAGAGTCTTCCTCTGTCACTCAGGCTGGAGTGCAGTGGTGTGATCTCGGCTCACTGCAACCTCTGCCTCCTGGGTTCAAGTGATTCTCGTGCCTCAGCTCCCTAGTAACTGGGATTACAGACATGCCTGGCTAATTTTTCTTTTTGTATTTTTAGTAGAAATAGGGTTTTGCCATGTTGGCCAGGCTGGTCTAGAACTCCTGGTCTCATGTGATCCGCCTGCCTTGGCCTCCGAACGTGTTGGGATTACAGAAGTGAGCCACTGCGCCCAGCCAACTCAACATTTTGACAGAATTGGAAGGACGGGACTGCCATTTAGTGAGACGGGAAGCTTAAGGGTTGAGGTGGTTTAGGAGGAAAGATCAGGGATTCATTTTGGGAAAAATAGTCTGAACTGTCTATCAGACATGGACATAAAAGTGGACATGGCTAGTAGGCAGTTGCTATGTGGCTTTGGAGCATAGTGGGACGTCTAGCTTGGACATATACATACATATGTTATTAGTATGCAGGGTTATGACCCAGTAGATGGTGCTTATTAAAGCCATGAGATCACCAAGAGTGTGCAAAGAAAGAAAAATAAGACTCCTGTATAGCTCCACTAAATATACTACAAACAACTGACACTCAGGGTATTACTGTACATCTGGAGCTGAAATTCCACTGCATTTTAAAACGCAAATCAGTGTCTTTAAAAATCAAGTTTAAAATTTTCAATACAGAATGAATAGAGTGATGCCAGGCTATAACCACTTCCTTGAGGTTTATGCTTTAGTATTATTTGAGTCTGGTGATCTTGTTTTTTCGTCTTTGGTTCCTAGCACAATGCTTGGAAGAGTAAAGTCTCAGTAAATAATTTTGAATTTGATGAATGAATGAATGAAAAGTATGTGTGATATTAAAGAAATTTTCAGGTTATGTTTCCCTTGGCCGATGACATAACACTTGCCCTTTTAAATGTCCAACAGGTCCCATCCACTCTGCACAAAGAAGTTCCTAAGCAGGCATTCTGAGTGTGAGCTTACAAGTTCTAAAAGTAAAACATATGCTTGGCTTGACCAATAAAGGTGAGGCTAAAGGCCATGTAAAGTGATATCTTTCCAGTTTTACAAGAAGTAGAGAAATGATCTAATAAAGAAAAAGGTAAAGAGTCCCTGGGGTTGAGGACTATATATTTAATATCTCATCAATAGACCAGACTCTAATTCCTTTATCTCAGGGCCATAGTCAGAACCATGATAACTATTTTCCAAAAAAAAAGAAAGCAAAAACAGGCGTGGTGCTCAGAGAGACAGTTCTAATTTATGTGACTTGTCACAGCTGAGATCTTATCTTGACTGGATATATGTCTATATTGAAGATATTAGATTATTCTTTCTCATTATTTGGGACAGTGATCCCAGTCAGCCAAAGGTAACTGCGTAGGGCAGGAGTTTGCAAGCCTTTTAGTTTTAGGACCTCTTTATACGTTTAGAAATTATTGAGGACCTCAGAGAGGTTTTGTTTATGTGATCTATACCTGTTGATTTTTACCATATTAAAAATTAAAAGACATTTTTAAAACATATGAATACAAACACATATACGTAACGTGTCAGAGTAATGAAGTCATTAAATGTTATGAAGTCTCTCGAAAATGCTAATATATACTTGTGAAAGAAAAAGAGCAAAAAAAGCAAACAATTTTTTATGGGTTTTATGAAAAATTATTTTGACCTCCTGGATCCTTTCAAAGGGCTTGTGGCCTAGGGGAAAATTAGGGTTATCATAACAAGACTGCAAAAAGAGCCAAAATTCAG
The DNA here is from genome assembly GCF_000001405.40 of Homo sapiens. Classification (NCBI taxonomy): domain Eukaryota; kingdom Metazoa; phylum Chordata; class Mammalia; order Primates; family Hominidae; genus Homo; species Homo sapiens. The sequence goes on from NC_000016.10 coordinate 47,409,172, forward strand.
CTTTTGACTTCTGCAATGAAGTTTTTGAGTCTCTCGAGAGAAAAACTATGGAAAAATTAGATCTGTGCTGCTAAATAAGGAATCCTCAGGGTCATCAAAACAGAGAGATGAATATCTAAAGATATAACCGAAATACCAAAAAAAAAATCCAACTGGATCACAGATTTAAATGCAAATACATAACAAGACACATACACACACACTATATATATATATATATATATATATATATATTTTTTTTTTTTTTTTTTTTTTTTTTTTGGAGACAGAGTCTCACTCTGTCCCCCAGGCTGGCGTGCAGTGGCACGATCTCGGCTCACTGCAACCTCCACCTCCTGGGTTCAAGCAATTCACCCGCCTCAGCCTCCTGAGTAGCTGGGATTACAGGCGCACACCACCACACCCAGCTAATTTTTGTATTTTTTTTTGTAGAGATGGAGTTTCACCATGTTGGCCAGAATGGTCTCGATCTCCTGACCTTGTGATCCACCCGCCTCGGCCTCCCAAAGTTCTGGGATTACAGGCGTGAGCCACTGCACCTGACCCCACAAAAAAAATTTTAAAACTTGTTTTAAAAAATCTTACATACAAATGGCACTTTCCAAGCATGACACAAAACACATATCATGACAGAAAAGATGAATTTGATTAGTAAATATTTAACAATTCTATATAGCCAAAAAAAACCTGTTATGCAAAGTAAAAAGTTATACAACAAGCTGGAGATATGTAGAGCATACATCAAAAAGCAGGATTAATTTCCTTAAGACACAAAGAACTTTTAGAAATAAATATTATTAAAAGACAAGAAAAAAACTCAGGTTGGATGCAGTGGCTCATGCCTATAATCCCAGCACTCCGGGAGGCCAAGGCAAGAGGATCGTTTGAGCTTAGGAGTTCAAGACAAGCCTGGCCAACATAGTGAGGCCTCGTCTCTACCACAAAATAAAAAGAAAAATTAGCCAGGCATGGTGGCATGCACCTGTAGTCCCAGCTACTCAGAAGGCTGAGGTGGGAGGATTACTTGAGCCCAGGAGGTTGAGGCTCCTGTGAGCTGTGATGGTGCCCCTGCATTCCAGCCTGGGTGACAGAGACCCTGTCTCTAAAAAAAGAAAACCCTCTAATAGAAAAATGGGCAAAGTATGTAGTAAATAAGCAATTCCAAGAAAAATAATTGTAAATGGCCAGTTAGTATATGAAAAGCTATTTAATAATATTAATTATATAATTCAGGAAATGGTAATCAAAATAAGATATAGAGTGATTCAGCACAAGACGGCTGACTAGACACAGCCAGGAAGCGCCTCTCCCACTGAGAAAGACTAAAATATTGAGTAAATCAACATACTTTGAACAGGTCTTTTGAGAGAAAACACTGAGAGTTGGCAGAGAGGTGACGCAGACAACAGGTCTGAAGAGGGAGGAAGCTGGAACCCTTGCCTGGCCTTACTGAGCACCTTGACGAGTTCCTGGCCCTAAACAGCTCCTAAGGAAGGTGTGAGTGAAGGAACTGTGGCACAGCCCGCTCTCAACACGAACCTCTCGGATCTTGGCTACAAGACACCCCACAACCCCCATAGACGTTGGAATTGGCAGGCAATCTACCTGGAGAGTAGGCAGAGACAGAGATTGAGCCTGCGCAGAGGTTGAGGGGTTTTGCGTGCAGGGCATCTGTGGCAAAACATAGCAATGGGGACCCATTCCCCAAGGCTCTCCATCTTCTTCTGGGTAGCTCTAACCAGGGCCAGGGAAAGAGCAGGGTATGTTTGTTTGCCACCCCATCCGCCAGCCTCTCCCAAGGCCCCTGCCTGGCAGCTCCCACCAGAGCATGCCCACAGCACAACCTCCGCTGAGCAGTTCAAGTGCTTTGCTGCCAGCCCTACCTGCAGGCTTTCCAGTGACCCAGGGACAGTGGACAAAGCTGCAGGTTCAGGCCCCAGGTGAGAGCACACAGCTCAGGAGTGCCAAACTGAGATCTGTGGCTGGCACTTGAATGGAGGAGGAGCTCCACTCTCAGAACACTGAGAAAAATGAGACACAGATTTGTGGACTGGCATGGGAACTGGGCATGCCTCCTTCCACAGGTATGGGCCAGGAAGGGTGTCGCCCATATGCCAGCCACAGCCTGTGACTGAAGTAGTCCTACAACCACAACACAACCCCAGTGATTTGGGGGCAGGAGGCTTGGAAGACAAAACTAGCTGGTTGGGGCAGATACCGGGGAGGCCACCAGAAGGAGACTGGTGGAGGGAGGGTGTGCTGGGTGGTCCCAAAAACTGTCTTGCTGAGTGACAAAACCTTGGGCTGTGGGCGCCATACCGGCTGCACACTCAGGGAAATAACGCCCTGCCCAGAGGTCCCCTGCCCTTGACCTACTGCATGAACAGACCACTTGCAGACATACCCTATAACCTGCTCTGACTCTGCCAAGCAAAGATGGACGACCAGCAGGACTCTGAATGCTGGTCTCATAGTGACCCACCTTTGACTCGGACAACCACTAAGGAAAGGGGAGGTACAGCCCGCCAGGACCCCCACTGGAGCCAAGGAAAGATGGGTGCAGTCCTAATGATTGGAGGTGGCTCCCATACGGCCTGGGAACAGGTCTGGCAAGGAGGTCATCATTGCCACCCTAGTCTCCCCAATCACAGAGCGCTCTTGCAAATGTAGTCAAACACAAAAGAGGCGCACTGCTGAGTAAGTTTACCTGCTACACATTACTTTTAAGTGCCATCTACTGCATAGCAACCTATATTACACCACCAAAAAAAATTCTTCCAGCATACATTGACTGTGAAACCCAATGCAGAAATCTAGCCACAAATAAAGATCCTGTACAGAGCTTTGGACCTCAGAAATAACCCAGAAACAAAGCCAATATTCAACTTAAACCACAGTCAAACCCTCAAGGGAAATACAGAACATAAAAACAAAAAGCACCATCCAAACAACAGCAAATTCAAAAAGATAAAGGAATACCAGCCCTCTCAGATGAGTAAGAATCAGCACAGAACTCTGGTAATTCAGTCAGAGTGTCTCCTTACCTCCAAACAACTGCACTAGATCCCCAGCAACACTTCTTAACCAGATTGAAATGGCTGAAATGACAGTCATAGAATTCAGAATCTGGATGGCCAAAAAAAATGAGATCCAGGAGAAAACTGAAACCCAATCTAAGGAATCCAAGAAAATGATCCAAGAGTTGAAAGACGACATAGTCATTTTAAGAAAAAAACAAACTGAACTTCTCAAGTCAAAAAATTCACTACAAAGGCTGGGCACGGTGGCTCACTTGAGGTCAGGAGTTCAAGACCAGCCTGGCCAACATGGCAAAACCCAGTCTCTACTGAAGATTTAAAAAAAAAGAAAAAAAATAGCAGGATATGGTGGTGTGTGCCTGTGGTCCCAGCTACTTGGGTGGCTGAGGCATGAGAATCACTTGAACCCAAGGAGGTGGAGGTTGCAGTGAGCCAAGATTTGCGCCACTGCACTCCCTCCTGTGTGACAGAGCAAGACTCTGTCTCAAAAAAAAAAAAAAAAAATCATGAAACAGTTGGAAGAATTAAAAACAGAATAGAACAAACTGAGGAAAGACTCCCAGAGCATGAAGACTGGTCCTTCAAATCAACTCTGCCAGACAAAAATAAAGAAAAATGAATTTTGAAAAATGAACAAAACCTCTGAGAAACATGCGCTTTTATAAAGAAACAAAACCTACCACACATTGCCATTCCTGAGCCAGTAGGAGGCTGTAAGCAACTTGGAAAGCATATTTGAGGATGCAGTCCATAAGATTTCCCCCAATCTGGCTAGAGAGGTTGACAGGCAAATTTAAGATATTCAGATAATTCCTGTGAGATACTATACAAGATGACCATCCACAAGACACATAGTTATCAGAATCTCCAAGGCCAACATGAAAGAAAGAAGCAGCTAGAGAGAAGGGTCAGGTCACATACAAAGGAAACCCCATCAAGCTAGCAGTGGACCTCTCAGCAGAAACCTACGAGCAAGAAGAGACTGGGGGCCTATTTTCAGGATAATTAAAGAGCAGAACCAACCAAGAATTTGATATTCTGCCAAACAAAACTTCTTCTAAGCTAAGGAAAAACAAAATCCTTTTCAGACAAGCAAATGTTAAGGGAATTCATTCCCACTATGCCAGCCTTACAAGAGTTCTTTAAGGGAGTGCTAAATATAGAAATGAAAGAATAAGACCTGCTAACCACAAAAACACTTAAGGCCAGGTCAAATGGATCACACCTGTAATCCTAGCACTTTGGGAGGCCAAGGTGGACAGATCACTTGAGCCCAGGAGTTCAAGACTTGCCTGGGCAACACGGAGAAATCCTGTCTCTATAAAACGTTTAAAAATTAGCCTGGTGTTGATGGCACACATCTGTAATCCCATCTACTTGGGAGGCTGAAGTGGGAGGATCACTTGAACCCAGAAAGTTGAAGCTGCAGTGAGCTGAGTTGGCGCCACTGCACTCTAGCCTGGGCAACAGAGCAAGACTTTGTCTGAAAAAAATACTGTAGTACATAGCCCACAGATACAATAAAGCAACTCCAAAATCAAATAAAATATCATTTGATTTGCAAAAAAATAAAACCGTAAGGTGCAGGGACTGTCTAATACTCCTAGGATTGCACAAGAACATACAGATGTACTTATTCTCGCTCTTATCCCCCAGGCTAGAGTGTGATGGTGCGATCTTGGCTCACTGCAACCTCTGCCTCCCGGGTTCAAGTGATTCTCCTGCCTCAGCCTCCCGAGTAGCTGGGATTACAGGCGCCTGCCCCCATGCCCGGCTAATTTTTTAATTTTTAGTAGAGTCGGGGTTTCACCATGTTGGCCAGGCTGGTCTCGAACTCCTGACCTCAGTTGATCCACCCACCTTGGCCTCCCAAAGTCCTGGGATTACAGGCGTGAGCCACCACGCCCAGCCGAGATGTACTTATAAAAAGGTTTAACAGAGCAATGCTGCAAACAAACAAACAAAAGAAATACATAAATGCCCACCAAGAGATGAATGTTTAACTGAATTTTACAATCCATATGTAATGGAATAATACCAAGGATCTATTTTTTTTTTTTTATCCCAGTTCTGGGAGGCACAAGTGGGCAGATCACTTGAGGTCAGGAGTTCAAGACCAGCCTGGCCAACAGGGTGAAACCCTGTATCTACTAAAAATACAAAAAAATTAGCTGGGTGTGGTGATGCATGCCTGTAATTCCAGCTACTAGGGAGGCTGAGGCAAGAGAATTGCCTGAACCTGGGAGGCAGAGGTTTCGGTGAGCTGAGCTCCCGACACTGCACTCAAGCCTGGGTGACTGAGTGAGACTCTGTCGTAAAACAAAAAACAAAAAACAAAAAACAAACAACAACAACAACAACAACAAAATCCCCCAAAACAATAACAACAAAAACCCAGGTCAATCCATATGTGTCAATATACTAATAAATCTGAATTAAGAAAGAATCACAATTCTATACACAATTCCATTCGGATAAAAAAGGAAAATGTGCATGTATCTGCAAAGAACACTTCAGGAAGAAGAAAATGAAGATAGTAGTTGCCTCTCCTTTATATACTTTTGAACTGTTTTAATTTCTTACCTTAATTATACTACTTTTAAATAATTCAAAATAAAATAAAATAAAATAAATGTTGAGTTCATAGCCTTCTGTTTTTACCACTATAAGTTCACCTTATTGAAGCTTAGCCATTTTCATGGCTTCAACAATATGGAAGAACTCTACACTTTTTAGGCTCTGACCTTGATCTGTTTTTCAGGCTCTAGGGACAAATTGAAACTGGGTGCCTGCATGAATATCCCATCCATTGCCTCAAATACACTGTTGTCTAAAATCAAATTCTTCAAATCAAGAATATCAAGGGATATTAATGTTCCCATGTGTCTGCAGTTTCAACCATAAAAATCTTCATTCTCAGCCGTCCTCATGATACATATATTCCATTGTTGGACAAGAACCTGGATGCTGATATTTTGTCATTGTTTCCTCAATGCAGATGCTTATTCTTTAGTTATGAAATGAGGTGAAAAGATAAGGTTGAGTTTCCTTTGCAAGAATAAAGGAATATAACAGAGTCGACTTTAGGTAACAGATGGCCACTTCTGCTATGCATGGAAGAGTGGGGTTACTAAAAGACAGAATTTATTTTCTTAAAGTGGATTATCGAAGAAAGTGAGACAATCAGAATGACATGATCAGGTTACTATAAAGAATGTGGTATTAAAGAACTTCAGTCCTTGAAGACTATTTGGAAAACTGTAGCAGAGATGAATCGGAATTGCCTGTGGTTGTATATAAATGCCTTGGTTGTCAGAATAACAGAATTTGCAAAGCAGAGAATTTAGGAAAAGCTAAAAATCAGTAATAGAAAAAACAGAAATGGTTTTCACATATGAAAAAGGAATTCCATTTCAATAATGTAAGATATGCATATCAAAATCATAATGAAATACCATTTTTTCCAATCATAATGATTGGATCCAATCATCCAATGATAATTCAAAAAAGGTAATACCTAGTGCTGGCAAAAATGAGAGAAATAAGCACTCTCATGAGCCTTTCTTCAGGGCAAGATAAGTGTTTCACCTCTTTAAAAATCTTGCCGTGTGCAGTGGCTCATGCCTATAACCCCAGCACTTTGGGAGGCTGAGGTGGGCGGATCACCTGAGGTTGGGAGTTCGAGCCCAGCTTGGCCAACATGGTGAAACCCCGTCTCTACTAAAAATACAAAAATTAGCTGGGCATGGTGGTGGGCGCCTGTAATCCCAGCTACTCAGGGGGCTGAGGCAGGAGAATCCCTTGAACCCAGGAGGCAGAGGCTGCAATGAGCCAAGATTGCACCATTGCACTCCAGCCTGGGCAACAAGAGCGAAACTGTGTCTCAAAAACAAAACAAAACAAAACAAAAAACACCTTTATACTTGTTTAACCATTTATTTCATATGCAGAAACTCTTCATGAGATTATGAGCGATGTCCACAAAATCAGGCACCAGAGCAATAAAAATAAAATAAAAATTTAAAAAACCAGAAACAACATACATAACTTAAAAAAAAAGAGATGTTAAATAAATTGTTATAATCATATAGTGGATAAGTCATTAGAAGTCATATAGATTTGACTATTTAAAAAAATTAAGAACTAAAAATATTTAAAAAGAAAAAACTGAGAATTCATACATTACTTGTTTTTTCTTCAACAGGAAGTTCTCTTTATATTAAGAATTTCAGCTAAAGCTTATTGTTTGCAAAAGTTTTGTATGTCTGATATAGTTTAGATGTTTGTCCCCTCCAAATCTCATGTTAAAATCTGAGCCCCAATGTTGGAGGTAGGCCCTAGTGGGAAGTATCTATCTGGGTAATGGGAGTGGACCCCTCATGAATGGTTTGGTGCCCTCCCCATGGTTCTGAGTTCATTCAAGAGCTGATTGTTTAAAGGAGCCTGGCATTCCCCCCTCTCTCTCTGTTCCTGTCTCACAATATGATGTGCTTGCTCTCCCTCTGCCTTCCAACATTGGTGGAAGCCTCCTGAGGCTTCCCCAGAAGAAGCATGGAGAACCATGAGCCACAATAAACCCCTTCTTTGTAAATTATCCAGTCTCAGGTACTTCTTTATGTCAACACAAAAGGACTAACACAGTGTTCTAGGAATGAATATATTCTGGACAATGAGAAGTGTATACCATTTTATAAAAATTGGCCAAATTCTTAGCTAAATTTGTAGGACATGACAGTCCCAAGATAGCGGGACTACTGCTTACTATTACCTGTTATTGCTACATAGTAGTTCATAACTAATATGCACTTATTTCATTCTGCCACACATAATGGCTAGACTTGTCAGCTACTCCCAGTAAACTAAATTGTTTTTGATGGCTGATGGCACTTCTTGTCATCTTTGTATCTCATACAATGAATAGCAGAGAGGCCTTTGCATGAGGCAGGTACTCTGAAGGTTTGCTGAAATGATTTCAAAAGCAGAAACAGGGTTCTATATAACACAACTACAATAATTAACATTTTAAAACTTCCTCATATAATTTCTGAAAGATCACTCATCAAAGATAATTGCTATACATTTTATACAACAGATTAAGCAAATGCCTCTCATACATGTGTATAATATATAATGATCAAACTAGGATATTTAGGACATCTATCATCTTGAATATTTATTTCTGTGTGTCAGGAACACTTCAATTCTTCTCTTCTAGCTACTTTGAAATACAGAATATACTGTTGTTAACTACAGTCACCCTGATGTGCTATTGAATGTTAGAACTTATTTCTTCTAACTGTATATTTATACCCATTAACCACTCTTTTTTCATCTCCCACTCTACACTTTGCTTCTGGTAACTATTATTGACTATCTCTATGAGATAAACTCTTTTAGCTCCCATATATGAATGAGAACTTGTGATATTTGACTTTCTGTACATGGCTTAATTCACTTAACATAATGATCTCAATACACATGTTGATGCAAATAACAGGCTTTCATTCTTTTTTTATGGCAGAATATGATTCCATTGTGTATATATGCCATACTTTTTCCATTCATTAGCTGAAGGACACTCAGGTTGATTCCATATATTGCCTATTTTGAGTACTATTGCAATAATCATGGGGGTACAGATATCCCTTCAATATACTGATTTCCTTTCCCTGGGATAAATACCCATTGGTGGGATTGCTGGATGGTATGGTAGTTCCATTTTTAGTTTTTGTGTGAAACATCCATACTGTTTTCCATAATGGCTGTACTAATTTACATTTCAAACAATGTATAAGTGTTCTCATTTCTCTGCATCCTCAGCAGGATTTGTTTGAGATTTTTTTTTTGATCTTTTTGATGACAGCCATTTGAATAACAATGAGATATTTCACTGTAGTTTAAATTTCACTGATGATTAGAGATGTTGAGCATTTTTTCATAAACCTATTGGCCATTTGTATATCTTTTCTTGAGAAATGTCTACTCAGATCCTTTGCCCTCTTTTCAATAGGATTATTTGCTTTCTTACCGTTGAATTCTTTGAGTTCATTGTATATTATGGATATTTGTCCCTTGCCTAATGAACAGTTTCCAAATATTTTCTCTCATTATACAGGTTGCCTCTTACTCCGCTGACTGTTTCCTTTGAGGTGCAGAAGCTTTTTAGCACAACATAGTCCCATTTATCTTTTTTTTGTTTTTGAAATTTTTTTGTTTGTTTGTTTGTTTTTGAGCTTTTGAACTCCTAGCCATAAAATCATTGCCTAGACCAATATCCTGAAGTGTTTCCCTTATGTTTTCTTCTAGTAATTTTATAGTTTTGGGTCATTCATTTTGAGTTAATTTTTTGTATATCATGGTGGGGGGACTAATTTCATTCTTTTTCATACTGATGTACAGTTTTCCCAGCACTATTTATTAAAGAAAGTTTCTATTCCATGACGTATAATCTTGGTGCCTTTCTCAAAATTCAGTTGGCTGTGGAATTATTTCTGGGTTCTCTATTCTGTTCCACTGGTCTTTGTGTCTGTGTTTGTTTTTATACTAGTTCTATGTTGTTTTGGTTACTATAACTTTGTAGTATATGTCTGTAGCACATTTTAAACTCAGGCAGTGTGATGCTTCCAGAATTGTTCTTTTTGCTCAGTATTGTTATGACTACTCAGTATATTTTGTTGTTTCATAAAAATTTTAGGATTGTTTTTCCTATTTCTGTGAAGAATGCCATTGTTATTTTGATAGAGATTACACTGAATTTGTAGATTGCTTTTGGAAATATGGTCATATAATGATAATAATTCTTATGGTCCATGAGCATGAGATATCTATTTTTAATCTACTAACATGCATATGTTGAACCATCCTTGTATTTCTGAGATAAATCTCACTAGTTCACGTTGTTTTATCTTTTTGATGTGTTCTTGGATTTGGCTTGCTAAGTTTTTTTGATTGGTTTTAGAGACAGAGTCTGTCTATGTTGTCCAAGGTGGAGCGTAGTTGCTATTCACAGCTGCAATCATAGTGTATTGTGGCTTTGGCCACCTGGCCCCAAGGGACTTCCTTCTTAATTTTTTTTTTGAGACAGGGTCTCACTCTGTCACTCAGGCTAAAGTGCAGTGGCATAATCATTGCTCACTGCAGCCTCAACCTCCCAAGCTCAAGCAATCCCCCCATCTCAGCCTCCCAAGCAGCTGGGACTGCAAGAGCATGCCACCAAGTCCAGCTAATTTTTTAGTACTTTTTTGTAAAGACAGAGTTTTGCCATGTTGCCCAGGCTGGTCTTGAACTCCTGACTTCACGCGATCCACCCAACTTGGACTCTCAAACTGCTGGGATTATAGGCGTGAGCCACTGCACCTGTTCCCTTGCACTTTCACGGCCTTACTTCAGGTCTTTTTTTTTTTTTTTTTTTTTTTGAGATGGAGTCTCACTCTGTCACCCAGACTGGAGTGTGGTGGCACAAAGCTCACTGCAACCTCTGCCTCCCAGGTTCAAGCAATTCTCCTGCCTCAGCCTCCCAAGTACCTGAGATTACAAATGCCCACAGTCATGCCCGGCTAATTTTTACATTTTTAGTAGAGATGAGGTTTCACTATGTGGGCAAGGCTGGTCTTGAACTCCTGATCACAAGTGATCCGCCCACCCCGGCCTCCCAAAGTGCTGGGATTATAAGTGTGAGCCACGACGCCCGCCCTACTTCAGGTCTTATTGGGCAGACTCTTTCACCTTTTTTTCTTTATCTTCTCTTTTTTTTTTTTTTGGAGACCAGCTTTTGCTTTGCTGCCCAGGCTGCAGTACAATGGTGCAATCATGGTTCACTGCAGCTCAATCCCAAAGTGCTGAGATTACAGGCACGAGCCACCATGCCCTGCCTTAATTTATTGAGTAAATGGTTGACCAAGAGCATGTTGTTTTATTTCCATGTACTTGTACAGTTTCCAAAGATCCTCTTGTCATTGATTTCTAGTTGTATTCCATTGTGGCATGAGAAGATGCTTGATATGATGCCAATTTTTAAAAATTAGTTGATTTTTTTTATGTGGCCTAACATCTGGTCTGTCCTGGAAAAGTAATAATATTCTGATGAGAAAAATATGTATTCTGTAGCTGTGGGATAAAATGTTTTGTAAATGTCTGTTGGGCCTATTTGGTCTAATGTACAGTTTATATCCAATGTTTCTTTATTGACTGTCTAGATGATCTGTGCAACAGTGAGAGTGTGATGTTGAAGTGCTGAACTATTAATGTACTGGATGGAGTCTACTATAGTTTAGAAAGCACGTTGACATCTGATTCACAATGATGGAGGTGGGCCTAAGAGGAAGCGTGAGGATCATGGGGGCAGATCCCTTATGAATGTCTTGGTGCCATCCTCACGGTAATGATTGAGTTCTGTATTAATTTCCATAAAAATATCCTCGAGATCCTGCTGTTAAAAAGAGACTGGTACTTCCCTCTCTCTCGTGTCCTATTTTTTGCTACATGATCTCTGTGCATATCAGCTCCCTTTCACCTTCCACCACAAGTGGAAGCAGTCTGAGCCTTTTACCAGAAGCAAATGCTGGTACCGTGTTCCTTGTAAAGCATGAAGATTTGTGAGCCACCTAAACCCCTTTCCATTACAAATTACACAGCTTCAGGCACTCCTTTATAGCAACACAAATGGATTAAGACAGAGTCTATCTCTGCCTTTAGATATAATAATATTTTCTTTATGTATCTGGGTGCTCCACTGTTAGATGCGTATATATTAAGATTACATTATCTTGCTGAATTGTTCTCCTTATTATTATATAAAGACCTTATATGTCTCTTTTTTGTTCAATTACCTTTCATCGAATATAAGTATAAGAACTCTTGCTCATTTTTGGTTTCTGTTTTCACGGAATATCTCTTTTCACCCCTTAGCTTTCAGTCTATACATGTTGTTACAGGTGAAGTGAGTGTTGTGTAGGCAGCATAAAGTTAGGTAGGTCATTTAAAAGAATCCATTTAGCCAGTCTAAAAACGTATGTGTGTGTGTATATATATGTATATATACACACATATATACATACATATGCACACACACACACACACACACACACACACACACACATACATATTTTTTTTTTCTGAGATGGAGTCTCGTTCTGTCACCAGGCTGGAGAGCAGTGGCGCGATCCTGGCTCACTGAACCTCTGCCTCCCAGGTTCAAGCGATTCTCCTGCCTCAGGCTCCTGAGTAGCTGGGACTACAGGCGCGTACCAACATGCTCAGCTAACTTTCTGTATTTTAGTAGAGACAGAGTTTCAGAATGTTGGCAAGGATGGTCTTGATCTCCTGACCTCATGATCCGCCCGCCTTGGCCTCCCAAAGTGCTGGGATTACAGGGGTGAGCCACCATGCCCGGACTAGCCAGTCTATATTTTTAAGTGGAAAATTTAAGCCATTTACAATCAAGGTTATATTTGATAGGTGATTAATTATTCCTTTTTTTTAAAATTATACTTTAAGTTCTAGGGTACATGTGCACAACGTGCAGGTTTGTTACATAGGTATACATGTGCCATGTTGATTGGCTGCACCCATCAACTCGTCATTTACATTAGGTATTTCTCCTAATGCTATACCTCCCACAGTCCCCCACCCAGCAACAGGGTCTGGTGTGTGATGTTCCCCGCCCCCTGTCCATGTGTTCTCATTGTTCCACTGCCACCTGTGAGTGAGAACATGTGGTGTTTGGTTTTCTGTCCTTGTGACAGTTTGCTTAGAATGATGATTTCCAGCTTCATCCATGTCCCTGCGAAGGACATGAACTCATCCTTTTTTATGGATGCACAGTATTCCATGGTGTATATATGCCACATTTTCTTAACCCAGTCTATCATTGATGGACATCTGGGTTGGTTCCAAGTCTTTGCTATTGTGAACAGTGCCACAATAAACATACGTGTGCATGTGTCTTTATAGTAGCATGATTTATAATCTTTGGGTATATACCCAGTAATGGGATTGCTGGGTCAAATGGTATTTCTAGTTCTAGATCCTTGAGGAATCACCACACTGTCTTCCACAATGGTCGAACTAACTTACACTCACACCAACAGTGTAAAAGTGTTCCTATTTCTCCACATCCTCTCCAGCATCTGTTGTTTCCTGACTTTTCAATGATGGACATTCTAACTGGCATGAGATGGTTTGCCAGTATTTTATTGAGGATTTTCACATCGATGTTCATCAGGGATATTGGCCTAAAATTCCCTTTTTTTGTTATGTCTCTGCCAGGCTTTGGTATCAGGATGATGCTGGCCTTATAAAATGAGTTAGGGAGGATTCCCTCTTTTTCTATTGATTGAAATAGTTTCAGAAAAAATGGTACCAGTTCCTCTTTGTACCTCTGGTAGAATTCGGCTGTGAGTCCGTCTAGTCCTGGACTTTCTTTGGTTGGTAGGCTATTAATTATTGCCTCAATTTCCAAGCCTGTTATCGGTCTATTCAGAGATTCAACCTCTTCCTGGTTTAGTCTTGGGAGGGTGTATGTGTCCAGGAATTTATCCACTTTTTCTAGATTTTCCAGTTTTTTTTTCCCATAGATGTGTTTATAGTATTCTCTGATGGTAGTTTGTATTTCTGTGGGAGTGCTTTACTTCCAATTATGTGGTCAATTTTAGAATAAGTGCGATGTGGGGCTGAGAAGAATGTATATTCTGTTGATTTGGGGTGGACAGTTCTGTAGATGTCTATTAGGTCCGCTTGGTCCAGAGCTGAGTTCAGTTCCTGGATATCCTTGTCAACCTTCTGTCTTGTTGATCTGTCTGATATTGACAGTGGGGTGTTAAAGTCTCCCATTATTATTGTGTGGGAGTCTAAGTCTCTTTGTAGGTCACTAAGGACTTGCTTTATGAATCTGGGTGCCCCTGTATTGGTGCATATATATTTAGGATAGTTAGCTCTTCTTGTTGAATTGATCCCTTTACCATTATGTAGTGGCCTTCTTTGTCTCTTTTGATCTTTGTTGGTTTAAAGTCTGTTTTATCAGAGACCAGGACTGCAATCCCTGATTTTTTTTTTTTTTTTTTTGCTTTCCATTTGCTAGGTAGATTTTCCTCCATCCCTTTATTTTGAGCCTATGTGCATCTTTGCCCATGAGACAGGTCTCCTGAATACAGCACATCAATGGGTCTTGACTCTATTCAATTTGCCAGTCTGTGTCTTTAAACTGGGGCATTTAGCCCATTTACATTTAAGATTGATATTGTTATGTCTGAATTTGATCCTGTCATTATGATGCTCGCTGGTTATTTTGCCCGTTAATTGATGCAGTTTCTTCCTAGCATTGATGGTCTTTACCATTTGGCATGTTTTTGTAGTGGCTTGTACTGGTTGTTCCTTTCCATGTTTAGTGCTTCCTTTAGGAGCTCCTGTAAGGCAGGCCTGGTGGTGAAAAAATCTCTCAGCATTTGCTTGTCTGTAAAGGATTTTATTTCTCCTCCACTTATGAAGCTTAGTTTGGCTGGATATGGGATTCTGGGTTGAAAATTCTTTAAGAATGTTGAACACTGGCCCACACTCTCTTCTGGCTTGTAGGTTTTCTGCTGAGAGATCCGCTGTTAGTCTGATCGGCTTCCCTTTGTGGGTAACCCGACCTTTCTCTCTGGCTGCCCTTGACATTTTTTCCTTCATTTCAACCTTAGTGAATCTGACAATTATGTGTCTTGGGGTTGCTCTTCTCAAGGAGTATCTTTGTGGTATTCTCTGTATTTCTTGAATTTGAATGTTGGCCTGCCTTGCTAGGTTGGGGAAGTTCTCCTGGATAATATCCTGAAGAGTGTTTTCCAACTTGGTTCCATTCTCCCTATCACTTTCAGGTACACCAATCAAACGTAGGTTTGGTCTTTTCACATAGTCCCATATTTCTTGGAGGCTTTGTTCATTTCTTTTTACTCTTTTTTCTCTAACCTTGTCTTCTCACTTTATTTCATTAATTTGATCTTCAATCACTGATACTCTTTGTTCCACTTGATCGAATCAGCTATTGAAGCTTGTGCATGCATCACAAAGTTCTCATGCCATGGTTTTGCAGCTCCATCAAGTCATTTAAGGTCTTTTTTACACTGTTTATTCTAGTTAGCCATTCGCCTAACCTTTTTTCAAGGTTTTTAGCTTCCTTGCGATGGGTTAGAACACACTCCTTTAGCTTGGAGAAGTTTGCTATTAACGATCTTCTGAAGCCTACTTCTGTCAACTCATCAAACTCATTCTTCGTCCAATTTTGTTCTCTTGCTGGTGAGGAGCTGCAATCCTTTGGAGGAGAAGAGGTGCTCTGGTTTTTGGAATTTTCAGCTTTTCTGCTCTGGTTTCTCCCCATCTTTGTGGTTTTATCTACCTTTGGTCTTTGATGTTGGTGACCTACAGATTGGGTTTTGGTGTGGATGTCCTTTTTGTTCATGTTGATGCTATTCCTTTCTGTTTGTTAGTTTTCCTTCTAACAGTCAGGCCCCTCAGCTGCAGGTCTGTTGGAGTTTGCTGGAGGTCCACTCCAGACCCTGTTTGCCTGGGTATCAACAGCGAAGGCTGCAGAACAGCAAATATTGCTGCCTGATCCTTCCTCTGGAAGCTTTGTCCTAGAGGGGCACCTGCCTGTTTGAGGTGTCTGTCGGCTCCTGCTGGGAGGTGTCTCCTAGTCAGGCTACATTGGGGTCAGGGACCCACTTGAGGAGGCAGTGTGTCCGTTCTCGGAGTTGGAACGCCACGCTGAGAGAACCACTGCTCTCTTCAGAGCTGTCAGACAGGGATGTTTAAGTCTGCAGAAGCTGTCCGCCGCCTTTTGTTCTGCTATGCCCTGCCCCCAGTGGTGGAATCTAGTGGCAGTAGTCCTTGCTGAGCTGCAGTGAGCTCCTCCCAGTTCGAGCTTCCAGGCCGCTTTGTTTACACTGTAAGCTACTCAAGCCACAGCAATGGTGGATGCTCTTCTCCCTGTCAAGCTGCAGCATCGCAGGTTGATCTCAGACTGCTGCGCTAGCAGTGAGCAACACTCCGTGGGTGTGGGACCCGTGGAGCCAGGCACGGGAAGGTATCTTCTGGTCTGCTGGTTGCTAAGACCGTGGGAAAAGCACAGTATTTAGTCAGGAGTGTACTGTTTCTCCAGGTACAGTCTGTCACGGCTTCCCTTTGGCTAGGAAAGGAAATCCCCTGACCCCCTGCAGTTCCTGGGTAAGGCGACACCCCACCCTGCTTCAGCTTGCCCTCCTTGGGCTGCACCCACTGTCCAACCAGTCCCAATGCAATGAACCAGGTACCTCAGTTGGAAATGCACAAATCACCCGTCTTCTGCGTTGATCTCACTGGGAGCTGCAGACCAGAGGTGTTCCTATTTGGCCATCTTGGAAGTGACGCTCCTTTTTTTTTTTTTTTTTTCCAGACAAGGTCTGCACTCTTGTTACCCAGGCTGAAGTGCAGTGGCATGATCTCAGCTCACTGCAACCTCTGCCTCCCAGGATCAAGTGATTCTCCTACCTCAGCTTCTTGAGTAGCTGGGGTCACAGGCGTGTGCCACCATGCCTGGCTAATTTTTATTTTTGATAGCGACAAGGTTTCACCATGTTGCGTAGATTGGTCTCAAACTCCTAAGCTCAAGTAATCTGCTTGCCTCAATCTCCCAAAATGATGGGATTACAGGAGTGAGTCACTGCACCTGGCCTATTCCTTTCATTTTATGAATCGTTTTCTGGTTGTTTTGCATACGTATCCTTTGTCCTTTCTTTATCTCTTATTGTTTATCAATGAGATATGGTGGTTTTCTGTACTGGTAACATTTACTGGTAACATTTGAGTCCTTTCTCTTTTTTATTTGTGTGTCTGAGCTACCAGTGAGTTTTATACTTTGTGTGATCTCATGATGGTAGATACTGTCTTTATGCTTCCAAATGCAGGACTCGCTTAAGAATTTCATGTAGGGCCATTCCAGTGGTAATGAATTCCCTCAGCTTTTGCATGTCTAGGAAAGACTTATTTCTTCTTCATTCACTTTGCTTGTGCAGATGGGTAGCAGTAGCCCTGGTGGCGGCTTACTTAAATGCAAAGTCAGTATTGTTTAAGGAAGTCTCATACTATTGAACTAAAAGTACATTTCTAAAGCTTCATTAAGATAGATTTTTCCTAAAAAGGAATTGTAAGAAACAAAAGTTTGGATGTGTGTGTATAACAAAAATAAGATTAAAAAAATGAACCTATAAGTATAGAATGTTCTCATCTTGAAAAGCAAGTTTCTAAGACAACTTCCATTGCAATGTAGTCAACACCTTATTATTGAGGTTTTCATGTGATTTGGCATACCAGATAAACCACACTAAAAATAATATGTTTTCTTTTCTTAAATTCTCCCCTCTCCTCCCCACCAAAACATACCAAGCATATTGAAGTACCTAGAATCTTAGATTCATAAAAAATTTACTAGATAAAAGGTTAAATTTGTGGTTTTAAGTCAGTAAAATCCACAGTGTATTTGGGCACTAAATATTTTTAACTTTGAAAATCGTACGTCAATAATGAAAATGTTGTAGCAAAAGTCATAATCAATCCAGAATTAAGAGGTTTAAATTATGCAATATTATTTTCTACCTGTTTCTCAATGAAAATTAGGTTTTGCATCATGGAATACTTTTAAAGAAAATAAGTTTTATTACATCTCACAGCCACTAGGCCTGCTTTACTCATTTGCAATTAGTACATTATATAAAAATGTAACTGTAAAATCAGACTGTTAAGTGTTTGAATGCTCACAAAAACAGGTGGGAAGTGGGGGCGGAGGTGGGGAAATCAAGTATTTATCTTGCCTGTCTCAACTGTACTGCAAGTGACTAAAGAACTGAGGATGGGAGTTCTTTTTAACAGAAAATTTAGCTAATTATACCTGCAGTAGAGTGACAGATTTAGTGTGTCACAATTTTGCAACTCCTGTTGAAATAATGGGGCTGACAATAATCATTCATACCTCCTAACCATTAGAGAATACTGTAATGGATGATCTATGCTGAGGAAAACTGAACCTACTGATCAATTTTAATATCACAGAAGAGAGAGAACTTAAACTGTATCACCTAATGAACTGAAACATACAGCAACACCTAGGAAATATTCTTGATATTCCCACTCCCACCACCCACAAAAGAATTCTGATTCTGTGGCTGGGCGCAGTGGTTCATGTCTGTAATCCCAGCCCTTTGGGAGTCTGAGGTGGGTGAATTGCCTGAGCTCTGGAGTTCGAGACCAGCCTGGCCAACATGGTGAAACCCCGTCTCTACTAAAATACAAAAAAATTAGCTGGGCGTGGCAGCATGCGCTTGTAGTCCCAGCTACTTGGGAGGCGGAGGTTGCAGTGGGCAGAGATCGCACCACTGCACTACAGCCTGGGCGACAGAGCGAGACTCTGTCTCCAAAAAAAAGAATTCTGATTCTAGGAACATAGTAACATGTTAACTCCATTGGGATACAATCTGAAAAATCCACACAACTGTACAGCACAGATGTGTACAGCACAGATGGTTTCTCTACTTCGGCATGAACCTTGTTTAACTTCCTGATTTGATAAAAACATGTCGGAGAAAATCTGGGCATTTTGAATAATGACTAGATATTCAATGACATTAAGAAATTGTTGTTGATTGGGTGTGGTGGCTCATGCTGGTAATCCCACCATTTTGGGAAGCCAATGTGGGTGGATTGCTTGAGCCAAGGAGTTCAAGACCAGTCTAGGCAACATAGGGAAACTCTGTCTCTACAAAAAATACAAGAATTAGCCAGGCATAATGGCACATGCTTGTAGTCCTAGATGCTCTCGAGGCTGAGGTGGGAGGATAGCTTGAGCCTGGGAGGCAGAGGTTGCAGTGAGCTGTGATCGCATGTACTACTGTGCTCCAGCCTGCGGAACAGAGTGAGACCCTCTCAAAAAAAGAAATTATTGTGTAATTTTTTTAGATTTCAAAATGATCTGGCAGTTTTAAATAAAAAAGTCCTTGTAATCTGAGATACAGATGGAAATATTTAAAAGTGAAATTATATGTTTGGGATTTACTTTAAAATTATCTTTGATAGGAGGAACTTGTAGGTGCATTTACAGGGGAAACAAGATTGGGCCATATAATTGTTGAAGCTAGGTGACGGTTAAATGTGCATATATTATAATATTCTGTCCAATTTTCTGTTTAAAATTTTCCATGATAACAAGTTTTAAAAGCCTGTGAAATTATTCTTGTACATAAGCTAAAGATTTTTCTTATTGTTAAATTTGTAGCACATATTATTTTAAAAATTTTTAATAAAAAAGGTAAAAAAAACAGCAGGCAACATGTGCTGAAATTATCATGAATTCATAAAAAGTAGAGAATTCAAATTCTGAGGCAGTTATTAATGAACAACAAAAACAACAATAGCTAAAGACTTATTTATTACAGTCAGTACTTTTTCCATGTTTCCAAATCACTGACTTTCTAACATCCTTTAAACATTAATTTCAACATTTACTTCATTAGCAATTAAATACAAAGTGTACAGTAAATAAAATCCCATACTTCTTTGGTAACTCAAAACAATTCCAGATTTATGTGCAACTCACCTGCTGTAAAATCTTCAGTCAGATCAATAAATGCATGAGAATGTGGAATTCGCATTTTACTTGTAGTGGTCAATGCTGGATGCCATGATAAATTCCTAAAAAATAAAATAAAAATACTTTTCTTAAGGCAAACATCAAATGAGCATTATTTTAAAATAAAAATCTCTGCATGCAAAACACTTAAATTTATTTATTTTCATTGATATATTCAACATACAATTCATTCTCTTAAAGTGCAGTGAGTGGTTTTTAGTATGTTCACAGTGTACAATCGTCACTACTATATAACTCCAAAGCATTTTCATCACACCAAAAAAGAAATTGTGTACTCTATTTCCCCTTATTGGCAACCACAAATCTGCATTCTGTCTCTATTCAGGACATTTCACATAAATAAAATCATACACTATGTGGTCTTCTGTGTTTGGCTTCATTCAGTTAGAATAATGTTTTCAAGTTCATCCATGTTGAAACATGTATCAGTGCCTCAGTTCTTTCTATAGCGGAATAATATTCCATTGTATGGGTTTACATTTTGCTTATCCATTCATCTGAAGATCTGGCTTGTTTCCACTTTTTGGCTGCTACAAACATTCATGTACAAGTTTTTATGTGGACATATGTCTTTAATTCTTTTTGGTATATACCTAGGAGTGGAATTGTTGGGTCATAGAGGAATATATGTTTAACTTTTTGAGGAATTGTTGAACTGTTTTCCACTTCACCATCTTACATTTGTACCCAGCAATGTAGGAGAATTCCAGTATCTCCAAATCCTGTCTTATTCTTGTCCATTTATTTTATTACAGCTATCCTAGAGGGTGTGATACAGTATTTCACTGTGGTTTGATTTGTATTTTCCTGATAGCTAATGATGCTGAACATGTTTGCTGTGGTTACTGGCCATCCGTATACATTCTCTGGAGAAATGTCTACTCAAATTATTTTTCCATTCTTAAATTGTGTTATGTATGTTATGTATTGCTTTACTGCTATCCATCCATCGATCCATCCATTCATCCATCCATCCATTTATTTTTAGATACACGGGTCTTACCTTTTTGCCCAGGCTAGTCTTGAACTCCTGGCTTAAAGGGATCTTCCTTCCTTGGCCTCTCAAAGGGCTGGGATTATAAGACCATTACCCTCAGTCCCTGTTGGTGCGTTTTAAGAGTTCTTTATATAATCTGGGCATTAGGCCTTTATCTAGTATATGACTTGTCTCCTAGGCTGTGGGTTGTCTTTTTACTTTTCTTTTTTTTTTTTTTTTTTGAATCAGAGTCTCGCTCTGTCACCCAGGTTGTAGTGCAGTGGTGCGATTTCCGCTCACTGCAACTTCCGCCTCCAGGGTTCAAGCGATTCTCCTGCCTTAGCCACCCAAGTAGCTAGGATTATAGGCATGTACCACCATGTTTGGGTAATTTTTTGTATTTTTTTTTTTTAGTGGAGACAGGGTTTCACCATGTTGGCCAGACTGGTCTTGAACTCTGGAGCTCAGGCAGTTCACCCGCCTCGGCCTCCCAAAGTGTTGGGATTACAGGCGTGAGCCACCATGCCCGGACATCTTTTCACTTTCTTGATAGTACAAGTTTTTAATTTTGATTAAGTCCAATATATCAATTTTTCATTTCTTTTTTGTTCTTTTGGTACCATATCAAAGAATCCATTTCCTAATGCAAGGCCATGAAAATTTGCCTGTTTTCTTCTAAGAGTTTTATAGTTTTAGCAGTCATATTTATTATCTTTAATCTTTTTTAAATGAATCAGAAAATAAATGATTAATGTCATACAAGGTTTTCTAATATTGTGGAAAATAATAATGATTCTCTTTTACAAATATTAATTCTAAAGTTTTGGACCATGCAGAAGAATAAATTGAAGTCCCTACTTCACACTACATACAAAATTTAACTCAGAATGGATGAAAGAACTAAAAGGATCTCTGGAAAACAGTTTGGCAGTTCTTCAAAAAGTTAAACACAGAATTACCATATGATCCTGCATTTCTACGCTTAGCTATATATCCAAGATAATTAAAAATAAGTAAACAAACAAATACTTGAAAAATGAATGCTCCTAGTAGTGCTATTCACAATAGCCCACAAGTGGAAATAACACGAATTCCCATCAGTGGATAAATGGATAAACAAAATGTCATATATCTATACAATGGACTATTATTAAGCCATAAAAATGACTAAATTACTAATACAATACAGACTAGTACAAAATGGATGATCCTTAAAAACATACTATGTGAAAAAAGGCAGAAACAAAAGGTTACGTACTGGAGAATTCCATTTATGTGAAATATTCATAATAGTTAAATCTATAGAGACAGAAAGCAGATTTGTGGTTGTCAGGTGCTGAGAGACAAAAGGGAGTGATTGCTTAATGCAGGGTTCCCTAACCCTTGGGCTGTGGACCACTACAGGTCCATGGCTTTTTAGGAACTGGGCCACACAGCAGGAGGTGGGCGGCAGGCAAGTGAGCATCACCTCATGAGCTCCGTCGCCTGTCAGATCAGTGGTGGCATTGGATTCTCAAAGGACTGCGAACCCTATTGTGAAATGCACATTCAAGGGATCTAGGTTGTGTGCTCCTTATGAGAATCTAATGCCTGATGATCTGAGGTGGAACAATTTTATCCCGAAACCACCCCCACCACCTGGCCTCTGACCCTGTCCATGGAAAAACTGAGTTCCATGACACCGGTCCCTGTTGCCAAAAAGGTTGGGGACTGCTGGCTTAGTGGGTACAGGGTTCCCTTTGCAGTTATAAAATGGTGTGGGATCCAGATAGAGCTGATGGTTGTGCAAAATTGTAAATGTACTAAATGATACTAAATTGTACACTTTATCAATTATACACCTAGGGATTCTATGATAAATTTAAAGTTTTATGTTATGTGAATTTTATCTTACTAAGGAAAGCCCATAGCACAAAGTTTCCATTTATCTCTCATTCAGTTTCCATTAATATTAACATCTTATACAACCACAGTATAAATATCAAAACCAGAAGGTAACACTGGTAGTACTTCTATCAACTATAGAAGAAAGAGCAAGTTTAAATAAAGTCATTCCCCTATAATTTCTCACTAGGTGAGAATTCCCCCATTTACCAAGGCTCTACTCAAATCAGCTTTCTCCAAAAGATCTTCTCTCTTCTCTGTTTTCCTGCCACACTTTTCCTTCCTAACAGCATTTTGGTTTGCATTAAAGTTACTTTAGGAACTTTCTCTTTGATGCTGTAAAGCTTCCCCAGAAACCTTGACTCATCAATATCTGTAGCCACAATGCCTAACCAGGACCTGGCTCCCATGAAATGTCAGTGAATGCCGGCTAGACTGAACCTCAGTCTCAAGCAGCATTTCCTATTCTTCTCTACTGCAGTTAGAAGTCACTACCGTTTTCATAGTAATATGTTCCAGTCCAATATGAAACCACAGATATGTCATCTCCATAGAGCAATTTAAGGCTATTTAAGTCCAACTTAATTGTCAACGCAGTATTCAACTGACTGGATAGCAAACAAGGTTTATAATTGTGAATTTGGTATTGATGTCTTTGGAAATCAGCAAGACACAATGGACTAATTTGTTCTTGGCAGGTGGAATCTGGGAAAAAGAATAAGCATTCATCAGGAGAAAATTTTCTCTACACAAAATGTGTTCTACAAACAGCAACCTCTTTCCAATAGCCTTCTACACATATTTTAGCACAAGCAGGGCCTAAACACACTTTAACCTAAATAAGACAGTAAAATCAAAACCAAGCAGTATTCATACAGACTAATTTCATTATTTTAATCTGAACTCTATAATATAAAGTCATGGTAATAAGAAAATATTAAAATGAATTGAGAAATTGCATTTAGCATATGTTGTAAGGTAATTCACGCCAAGCAACTGATTTGATTATTCTTTCACCATATACAAGGTTAGAAATCTTTAAAATAGTTTCACTTATATCCAATTTAATAATGACTGATTAACTTATTTTTAAGATAGACCATTTATTCATCAGTTCAATAATTTCTAAGCATTAAAGTATTTTAAATTACTAACAAAATAATCAGACTTGGGTTAAAGATTCTCTGACAAGTTTAACCCAAAGTAATTTCAGAAAACTTTCCTAATTTTGCCATCAAATTCATGTTATAGGCCAAGAATGATTAAAAACACAGACTTTTATAGAGTAAAGCTCAATGAGGTTGATCACGTGGCTCTGTCTCTAACCTGAGCAGTTACTGATCTCATTCCCTACAAATTTTTTAGTAGGCTAACTCTGAAATAAATTATGGCTAGAATTTTGGAAAAACTCAACTACCTTGTGACATTTTTTCCTAGGAGCTATTAAACCAAATGTTTATTTCAAAGGAAGACTCTAGAAAAGTGATAAATCAGAAGTCATAAAGGGACAGACCATCAGCCAAATTGAGCATAAAGATGTGTTTTATTGGGCCCATATACTCCTTTAAGAATCTTGAATTCATTGCTATAACTTAAAAAGAAAATCTGATTTCATATACAAGTCTGGATTTTCAGCTTCTCTGGAAATATCAGAAATATCAGAAGGTCTGGCAACCAACTGGCTTTGTTCAGACAGAGCTAGCGTCTAAAGACAACCCAAGTGTTAATTTTCCCAAATTGCTTCACTCACTCTGGTTTCCTTCCTGGCGCCTAACAAATATGAATTTGCCACTCCTAACAATATATTAATTGCAATCTTGCCATTTTGAACATTTAAAATCAACACTTAAGTTCTTCACAGTATTTTAAGTTTTATACTTATTGCCTATGTTTTGCTATTTTACAGTTACACCTCTTAAAAGGCAGCAGCTGATCCTTAAGAGTTTATTTTATACGGTGTCTATTTACTGTTCTGATGTTTACCAAAGGTGTACAGAAAATGAAAGAACAGTTGTTTCTTTTTGTGGTGCATTTTAAGATGAATAAAAACTGAATATATATATATATATATATATACACACACACACATACACACACGTATAGTTGTCAATAAGAACTAAAGTGAATAAATAAAAACTGAATATATATATATATATATATATATATATATATATATATATATATATATAGTTGTCAATAAGAACTAAAGTGTTAATAGGTTTATAGTTGAAAGTAATATTCATTAATCCTTCTACCGTTGAAGTTGCTCTTTGGAACTGGCTAGCCATATTCAGAAAATGGAAAGTAGACCCCTTCCTTACACCACATACAAAAATTAACTCAAGATGGATTAAAGACTTAAAATATAAAACCTAAACTATAAAAATCCTAGAAGAAAATCTAGGCAATACCACTCAGGACACAGGCATAGGCAAATATTTCATGATGAAAATGCCAACAGCATTACAAGAAAAGTAAAAATTGACAAAGGGATCTAATTAAACTAAAGAGTTTCTGCACAGCGAAAGAAACTATCATCAGGGTGAACTGACAGCCTACAGAATGGGATAAAATGTTTGCAATCTATCCATCTGACAAAGTTCTAATATCCAGTCTATAGAACTTAAACAAATTTACAAGAAAAAAAAAAAACCATTCAAAAGTGGGCAAAGAATGTGAACAGATACTTCTCAAAAGATGACATTCCTGTGGCCAAAAAACACGAAAAAAAAGCTCAACATCACTGATCATTAGAGAAATGCAAATCAAAACCACAATGAGATACCATCTCATGCCTGTCAGAATGGTGATTAATAAAAAGTCAAAAAGCAACAGATTCTGGCAAGGTTGTGGAGAAAAAGGAACACTTTTACACTGTTGGTGGGAGTGTAAGTTAGTTCAATCATTGTAGAAGACAGTGTGGTGATTCCTCAAAGACCGAGAGGCAGAAATACCATTTGATCTACCAATCCCATTACTGGGTATACACACAAAGCACACATATGTTCCTTGCAGCACTATGCACGATAGCAACGACATGGAATCAACCTAAACCCTTGTCAATGATAGACAGGATAAAGAAAATGTGGTACATGTATACACCATGGAATATGGAATATGATGCAGCCATAAAAAGAATGAGATCATGTCCTCTGCAGGGACATGAATGTAGCTGGAAGCCATTATCCTCAGCAAACTGACACAGGAACAGAAAACCAAACATTACATGTTCTCACTTATAAGTCGGAGCTGAATGATGAGAACACATGGACACATAGGGTGCGGGGAACAGCACAAACTGGGGCTTTTGAGAGGCAGAGGCTTGGAGGGAGAGCATCAGGGAAGAATAGGTAAGGGATGCCGAGCTTAATACCTAGGTGATGAGATGATCCATGCAACAAACCACCATGGTACACATTTACCTGTGTAACAAACATGCACATCCTGCACATGTATCCCTGAACTTAAAAGCTAAAGAAAAAAAGTTGCTCTTTGTACAAATTATAGTTTTTCAGCAATAAAAAGCAGATACCATATTTTTCAAGCAACTGAACTCACATAAAGTATAATATTTTCATATATGTGCCCAACTCCATTTGAAGGCTAAGGTCACACATAAAAACTGCTCTGATTACAAAAAAAGAGAAACAGAGGAAAAAGTGGGTCATTCTAAGCCACACTGAGTGTATCATTGACATTTCTTGACCTCTGTAGAAAATTCCAATTACTAGCTTTTCCCGCACAAGAAACAAAATTATATCAAAGTTTTCTAATTTGTGGGCATCATCACCCTTAATCTCAAAGAATGAATTTGTCAAAGAATGAATTTAAATGTAATTAATGTCAGCTGTAGCTTTTGGTTGCCTGTGGTAACTGTTCTTCATATGACTGCTAATCCACCCACTTTTGAATGATCAGCTTATATTGAATTATCATTATTTAAGTTATCCAGGTAAAAGCAGTTACTAGGAGATGGTTCTGGCATGAAGAAGAATCTACTTCTCCAGGCTGCCTAGTTCTTTAGTCCTGCGGTCTTCAAACATCTTTGCCCAGATATGCTTCGAAAGAATTTTGAATGCTGAAAAACTATATACCAGCTAACACATTAAATAATTTCTAAGAAAACAATCTAAACGTTTTCATCAGCACAAATAGCTGCAAAATAGGTAATATTTGAATCTATTATAATTATTAAAATTTTAAAATAAAATGATTACTTTAAAAATGCATACAGTGGAATATAAATATAATTGAATTGTCATCCATCCCCCATCATCCACAAAAGAATTCCAAAACAAAACAAAAAAAACACATAAAGGTCTACTTGAATATTCAGAAATTGTACATCTTTCCCTTTTATCCTTGAACTTGTACTTCCATTCCATTTTTCTCAGAAAACTTTATCATGATGTAAAATGATTTTATATGTGGATTCTTTTTAGTGATGGTTCTGGGATAATTCTCCAAACAAAAAATTCATCTATGAACTATCATATAAAATAAAGTTTGTATACATATGTAACAAACCTGCACGTTGTGCACATGTACCCTAAAACTTAAAGTATAATAATAATAAAATTAAAAACAAATCAGCTAAAAAAAATAAAGTTTGCATTTAATTGGTTTTGCTCATGGATCTCAGCGTTTAAAAAAACTCCCTTTGAAGTTGAATTATTTAAACTGTCAGCAAACAATTGATGAAAATACATTTTATTAGTTTGATAATTAAGCCAAAGGTAAAATTTTATTGGAAACGCATTTTTAAGAGTGATGAACAAAGCTTTAAAATATATTAGTTTATTTATCCTTAAAATAATATGCATTCTTGCTAGAATGAGACAGTATCCAGGCATACAGTCTACTCTTACTTTTCATTTTCATAGATGTAAATGCTAAGAAATCTTGCTCATGTGAAAAGGCAGATTAGAATGAAAAAAGGTTTATTACAGCAAGGATTCTCAGTTTTTTGAACCCCTCTGTAGTCAAATATAAAAAAATCACAGTTACTTATCAACAAAAATAACTTTCAGTGCTCTATCCATTAGGTCTTCTTCCTTTAAGCTGTTCAAAGTAAGCAGCTGGAAAGCCCCTGAGTTGTAAAAGGATGCATAATCAATTCATTAGACCCATTTGCTTCTCAATTTTTGAGAAGTAAACCAAAGGCATTACAAACGTTTATCAAATAACTATAAGCACCACTAAAAAAATAACTATTAGCTATACCAATTACTCTTCATTTAGAGGCACCTCATTTAATCAAGTAAAAGTAGGCTAATAAAGGGTTTGAGAAATCTTTTTATTGTATCTTTGCCAATAATATACGGTTTAATAAAATATTTCTACTTTTTTTATGCTTTAATATATTTTGATCAAAATATTCCTGGAAATGTAATATTAAGAAACTATTCTTAGTTTTTTAGGTGTGATGAACATGTTGTGATTATGTATTTTTGAAAACAAATCTTTAGGTGGACACAGTGGCTGGCACCTGTAATTCCAGCTACTCAGGAGGCTGAGGTGGGAGGATTACTTGAGCCTAGGGGTTCAAGACCAGCCTGAGCAATATAGTGAGATCCTATCTCCAACAACAATTTTAAAAAGTTAGTCAGGCATGGTGGCATGCATCCATAGTCCCGGCTACTCAGGAGGCTGAGGCAGGAGGACTGCTTGCGGCCAGGAGCTCAAAGCTGCAGTGAGCTATGATCGTACCACTGCACTTCGGCCTGGGTGACAGAGTGAGAGTCCATCTCCTGAAAAAAAAAAAAAAAAGCCTTATCTCTTAAGGATATATGTTGAAATATTTATAGATTCAAAATGTCCAAGGTGTAAAAAAAGGAAAATGGAAGAAAAGTTGTGGATGAAAAAATAACTGGGTATGAGCTGGTAACTGCTGAAGCTGGGTGACAGGTACATTCTATTAGAAGCATACTCACTGTCTCATTCAGCTATCTTTCTACATGTTTGAAATGTTCCATAATAAAATGTAAGGAGTTGGGGTTGGAGCCAAGATGGCCAAATAGGAACGGCTCCAGCCTACAGCTCCCACTGTGAGTGACGTAGAAGACGGGTGATTTCTGCATTTCCAACTGAGGTACCGGGTACATCTCACTGGGGAATGCCGGACAGTGGGTGCAGCGCACCGTGTGTGAGCAAAAGCAGGGCGAGGCATCGCCTCACCTGGGAAGCGCAAGGGGTCAGGGAATTCCCTTTCCTAGTCAAAGAAAGGGGTGACAGATGGCACCTGGAAAAACGGGTCACTCCCACCCTAATACTGTGCTTTTCCAACGGGCTTAACAAACCGCACACCAGGAGATTACATCCTGCACCTGGCTCGGAGGGTCCTATGCCCACAAAGCCTCACTCACTGCTAGCACAGCAGTCTGAGATCAAACGGTAAGGCCACAGCGAGGCTGGGGTAGGGGCGCCTGCCATTGCTCAGGCTTGAGTAGGTAAACAAAGCGTCCTGGAAGCTCAAACTGGGTGGAGGCCACCACAGCTCAAGGAGGCCTGCCTGCCTGCCTCTGTAGGCTCCACCGCTGGGGGCAGGGCACAGACAAACAAAAGACAGCAATAACCTCTGCAGACTTAAATATCTCTGTCTGACAGCTTTGAAGAGAGTAGTGGTTCTCCAGGCATGCAGCTTGAGATCTGAGAACAGGCAGACTGCCTCCTCAAGTGGGTCCCTGACTCCTGAGTAGCCTAACTGGGAGGCACCCCCCAGTAGGGGTGGACTGATACCTCACATGGCCGGGTACTCCTCTGAGACAAAACTTCAGAGGAATGATCAGGCAGCAGCATTTGCGGCTCACCAATATTCGCTGTTCTGCAGCCACTGCTGCTGATACCCAGGCAAACAGGGTCTGGAGTGGACCTCTAGTAAATTCCAACAGACCTGCAGATGAGGGTCCTGACTGTTAGAAGGGAAACTAACAAACAGAATGGACATCCACACAAAAAACTCATCTATACGTCACCATCATCAAAGACCAAAGGTAGATAAAACCACAAAGATGTGGATAAAACAGAACAGAAAAACTAGAAACTCTAAAAATCAGAGCACCTCTCCTCCTCCAAAGGAATGCAGCTCCTCATCAGCAATGGAACAAAGCTGGATGGAGAATGACTTTGACGAGTTGAGAGAGGAAGGCTTCAGAAGATCAAACTACTCCGAGCTAAATGAGGAAGTTTGAACCAATGGCAAAGAAGCTCAAAACTTTGAAAAAAAATTAGACGAATGGATAACTAGAATAAACAATGCAGAGAAGCCCTTAAAGGACCTGACAGAGCTGAAAACCACGGCACGAGAACTACGTGACGAATGCACAAGCCTCAGTAACCGATGCGATGAACTGGAAGAAAGGGTATGAGCGATGGAAGACGAAATGAATGAAATGAAGCGTGAATAGAAGTTTAGAGAAAAAAGAATAGAAAGAAACGAGCAAAGCCTCCAAGAAATATGGGACTATGTGAAAAGATCAAATCTACGTCTAACTGGTGTACTTGAAAGTGATGGGGAGAATGGAACCAAGTTGGAAAACACCCTGCAGGATATTATCCAGGAGAACTTCCCCGATCTAGCAAGGCAGGCCAACACTGAAATTCAGGAAATACAGAGAACACCACAAAGATACTCCTCGAGAACAGCAACTCCAAGACACATAATTGTCAGATTCACCAAAGTTGAAATGAAAGAAAAAATGTTAAGGACAGCCAGAGAGAAAGGTCGGGTAACCCACAAAGGGAAGGCCATCAGACTAACAGCTGATCTCTCGGCAGAAACTCTACAAGCCAGAAGAGAGTGGGGGCCAATATTCAACATTCTTAAAGAAAAGAATTTTCAACCCAGATTTTCAAATCCAGCAAAACTAAGCTTCATAAGTGAAGGAGAAATAAAATACTTTACAGACAAGCAAATGCTGAGAGATTTTGTCACCACCAGGCCTGCCCTAAAAGAGCTCCTGAAGGAAGCACTAAACATGGAAAGGAACAACCGGTATCAGCCACTGCAAAAACAAGCCAAACTGTAAAGACCATGAAGGTTAGGAAGAAACTGCATCAACTAACGAGCAAAATAACCAGCTAACATCATAATGACAGGATAAAATTCACACATAACAATACTAACCTTAAATGTAAATGGGCTCAATGCTCCAATTAAAAGGCACGGACTGGCAAATTGGATAAAGATTCAAGACCCATCAGTTTGCTGTATTCAGGAAACTCATCTCACGTGCAGAGACACACATAGGCTCAAAATAAAGGGATGGAGGAAGATCTACAAAGCAAATGGAAAACAAAAAAAGGCAGGGGTTGCAATCCTAGTCTCTGATAAAACAGACTTTAAACCAACAAAGATCAAAAGAGACAAAGAAGGCCATTACATAATGGTAAAGGGATCAATTCAACAAGAAGAGCTAACTATCCTAAATATATATGCACCCAATACAGGAGCACCCAGATTCATAAAGCAAGTCCTTAGTGACCTACAAAGAGACTTAGACTCCCACACAATAATAATGGGAGACTTTAACACCTCACTGTAAACATTAGACAGATCAACGAAACAGAAAGTAAACAAGGATATCCAGGAACTGAACTCAGCTCTGCACCAAGCGGACCTAATAGACATCTACAGAACTCTCCACCCCAAATCAACAGAATATACATTCTTTTCAGCATCACACCACACATATTCCAAAATTGACCACATACGTGGAAGTAAAGCACTTCTCATCAAATGTAAAAGAACAGACATTATAACAAACTGTCTCTCAGACCACATTGCAATCAAACTAGAACTCAGGATTAAGAAACTCACTCAAAACCGCTCAACTACATAGAAAATGAACAACCTGCTCCTGAATGACTACTGGGTACATAACGAAATGAAAGCAGAAATAAAGATGTTCTTCGAAACCAACGAGAACAAAGACACAACATACCAGAATCTCTGGGACACATTCAAAGCCGTGTGTAGAGGGAAATTTATAGCACTAAATGCCCACAAGAGAAAGAAGGAAAGATCTAAAATTGACACCCTAATATCACAATTAAAAGAACTAGAGAAGCAAGAGCAAACACATTCAAAAGCTAGCAGAAGGCAAGAAATAACTAAGATCAGAGCAGAACTGAAGGAGACAGAGACACAAAAAACCCTTCAAAAAATCAATGAATCCAGGAGCTGGTTTTTCGAAAAGATCAACAAAACTGATAGACCGCTAGCAAGACTAATAAAGAAGAAAAGAGAGAAGAATCAAATAGACGCAATAAAAAATGACAAAGGGGATATCACCACCGATGGTACAAACTACCATCAGAGAATACTATAAACACCTCTACGCAAATAAACTAGAAAATCTAGAAGAAATGGATAAATTCCTCGACACATACACCCTCCCAAGACTAAACCAGGAAGAAGTTGAATCTCTGAGTAGACCAATAACAGGCTCTGAAATTGAGGCAATAATTAACAGCTTACCAACCAAAAAAAGTCCAGGACCAGATGGATTCACAGCCAAATTCTACCAGAGGTACAAGGAGGAGCTGGTAACATTCCTTCTGAAACTATTCCAATCAATAGAAAAAGAGGGAATCCTCCCTAACTCATTTTATGAGGCCAGCATCAACCTGATACCAAAGCCTGGCAGAGACACTACAAAAAAAGAGAATTTTAGACCAATATCCTTGATGAACATTGATGCACAAATCCTCAATAAAATACTGGCAAACCGAATCCAACAACACATCAAAAAGCTTATCCACCATGATCACGTGGGCTTCATCCCTGGGATGCAAGGCTGGTTCAACATACGAAAATAAATACACGCAATCCAGCATATAAACAGAACCAAAGACAAAAACCACATGGTTATCTCAATAGATGCAGAAAAGGCCTTTGATAAAATTCAACAACCCTTCATGCTAAAAACTCTCAATAAATTAGGTATTGATGGGACATATCTCAAAATAATAAGAGCTATCTATGACAAACCCACAGCCAATATCATACTGAATGGACAAAAACTGGAAGCATTCCCTTTGAAAACTGGCACAAGACAGGGATGCCCTCTCTCACCACTCCTATTCAACATAGTGTTGGAAGTTCTGGCCAGGGCAATCAGGCAGGAGAAGGAAATAAAGGGAATTCAATTAGGAAAAGAGGAAGTCAAATTGTCCCTGTTTGCAGATGACATGATTGTATATCTAGAAAACCCCATCGTCTCAGCACAAAATCTCCTTAAGCTGATAAGCAACTTCAGCAAAGTCTCAGGATACAAAATCAATGTGCAAAAATCACAAGCATTCTTATATACCAAAAACAGACAAACAGAGAGCCAAATCATGAGTGAACTCCCATTCACAATGGTTTCAAAGAGAATCAAATACCTAGGAATCCAACTTACAAGGGATGTGAAGGACCTCTTCAAGGAGAACTACAAACCACTGCTCAATGAAATAAAAGAGGATATAAACAAATGGAAGAACATTCCATGCGCATGGGTAGGAACAATCAATATCGTGAAAATGGCCATACTGTCCAATGTAATTTATAGATTCAATGCCATCCCCATCAAACTACCAATGACTTTTTTCAGAGAATTGGAAAAGACTACTTTAAAGTTCATATGGAACCAAAAAAGAGCCCACATTGCCAAGTCATATGGAACCAAAAAAGAGCCCGCCTTGCCAAGTCATACAGAACCAAAAAAGAGCCCGCATTGCCAAGTCAATCCTATGCCAAAAGAACAAAGCTGGAGGCATCACGCTACCTGACTTCAAACTATACTACAAGGCTACAGTAACCAAAACAGCATGGTACTGGTACCAAAACAGAAATATAGACCAATGGAACAGAACAGAGCCCTCAGAAATAATGTCGCATATCTACAACTATCTGATCTTTGACAAACCTGACAAAAACAAGCAAAGGGGAAAGGATTCCCCATTTAATAAATGGTGCTGGGAAAACTGGCTAGCCATATGGAGAAAGCTGAAACTGGATCCCTTCCTTACACCTTATACAAAAATTAATTCAAGATGGATTAAAGACTTACATGTTAGCCCTAAAACCATAAAAACCCTAGAAGAAAACCTAGGCATTACCATTCAGGATATAGGCATGGGCAAGGACTGCATATCTAAAACACCAAAAGCAATGGCAACAAAAGCCAAAATTGATAAATGGGATCTAATTAAACTAAAGAGCTTCTGCACAGCAAAAGAAACCACCATCAGAGTGAACAGGCAACCTACAGAATGGGAGAAAATTTTTGCAACCTACTCATGTGACAAAGGGCTAATATCAAGAATCTACAATGAACTCAAACAAATTTACAAGAAAAAAACAACCCCATCAAAAAGTGGGCAAAGGGCATGAACAGACACTTCTCAAAAGAAGACATTTATGCAGCCAAAAAACACATGAAAAAATGCTCATCATCACTGGCCATCAGAGAAATGCAAATCAAAACCACAATGAGATACCATTTCATACCAGGTAGAATGGTGATCATTAAAAAGTCAGGAAACAACAGGTGCTGGAGAGGATGTGGAGAAATAGGAACACTTTTACACTGTTGG
This sequence comes from Homo sapiens, assembly GCF_000001405.40. Taxonomy (NCBI): domain Eukaryota; kingdom Metazoa; phylum Chordata; class Mammalia; order Primates; family Hominidae; genus Homo; species Homo sapiens. Next base: position 47,443,298 of record NC_000016.10, read on the forward strand.
TGGGAGTGTAAACTAGTTCAACCATTGTGGAAGTCAGTGTGGCGATTCCTCAGGGATCTAGAACTAGAAATACCATTTGACCCAGACGTCCCATTACTGGGTATATACCCAAAGGATTATAAATCATGCTGCTATAAAGATACATGCACACGTATGTTTATTGCGACACTATTCACAATAGCAAAGAGTTGGAAACAACCCAAATGGCCAAAAATGATAGACTGGATTAAGAAAATGTGGCACATATACACCATGGAATACTATGCAGACATAAAAAATGATGAGTTCATGTCCTTTGTGGGGACATGGATGAAGCTGGAAACCATCACTCTCAGCAAACTATCGCAAGGAGAAAAAACCAAACACCGCACGTTCTCACTCATAAGTGAGAACTGAACAAAGAGAACACATGGACAGAGGAAGGGGAACATCACATACCGGGGACTGCTTTGGGGTGGCGGGATGGGGGAGCGATAGCATTAGGAGATATACCTAATCTAAATGACGAGTTAATGGGTGCAGCACACCAACATGGCACATGTATACATATGTGACAAATCTGCACGTTGTGCACATGTACCCTAAAACTTAAAGTATAATAATAATAAAATAAATAAAATAAAATGTAAGGAAAAAACAAAAAGAAATTTAGAACTGCTGATCTAGTTCATTCAATTTACAGAAAATATCTGCCATATAACGTAATTCACAAAGCCAGTCCTTCCTATAAAAGCTGTTTCCAAATGAAAGTCATTTTCTGCGAGAATGAGTGTGACCTTGTTTTTTATTTTCAATTCAAATAAATGTGCTAATATGTGTTTCAAGGAATATTATAAAAACTGCTGAGAAATGACTCAATGTATATTGTAGGACACATTGTTAAAAGCAGTCAAGAGTACAATAATGTAAATCAGATAAAACTGATTTATCTACTTTTATAAAATAGGTTATAAAAATAAGATTGTAAAGCAACATGCTATTTCTCATTAATTAACTTACAGCAATGCAATATAATGCAGCTAAAATAATTTATGTTACAAGAAATATGATAAAAGATGTAATAGCTCTTCAGTAAATTTATGTGCATAGTCAACTCTGGGGTCTGGCTTTTGGAGTACTTAGTGTATTGAAAAAAGAATAACACTATGCCTTTCTCATTTTATTAAACATGACAAACTTTTCCTATGAATTTAATAAAAGAAAAAGGTATATACTGTAAAAAATTATTTGGCTCAGAAGCCAACATGTAAATTTATATATTAGGTGATAGTATTATTACATTAACAGGATACAGAAAATAGTAAAAATAAAATTTCATAAGATAAAATAAGATGCTTCACTTTAAATGGAATTTTCTTGATATGATTTTATAAAATATGCTACATTATAGAAAAAGATACCAAATATACAACAAATTATGCAAAAGCTTTATCTACGAATTTGATGGTCCTAGAGAATATTCCAGTCACATCTGCAACAATCATTTTACCTTCCAAAATCACTTTGGCATGAAAGTTACCTTCTTTCCAATTAATGATCTGTCCTGGGATACAGTGCTAAGAACAGTTATAAGATCTGCTTTTTGGAAATTGGTTTTTCTTACAGATGCTCTCTTTTCTTTGCTCTCCCAAGGGTCTCTCTCAACAATAATGGATTTTTTGACAATACTCACGTAATGAAATGGCAAAGTCATTAAAACAAAAACTGTCATGCTACCACAACCCCACTCCAGTGCATCCGAATTCAGAATACATCAACATGGACCATGATGTCTGCTTTTGTATGCAAGCTTCATGTTAAGAGAAATGTACATTAAAAAAAAAAAAAAAAGAAAAACTGGAAGTTCTATTAGTTTGAGATATCTTAGTTAATTATAAGAGATTCCCCAGGCCGGGCGCGGTGGCTCTTCCTGTAATCCCAGCACTTTGGGAGAGCGAGACTCCGTCTCAGAAAAAAAAAAAAAAAAAAAAAAAAAAGATTTCCCCCACGTTTGATATCTATGGGTTTTCACATCCCAGCAAATCACCATTAGTAAGATTTAGGAAATGTAAGGAAGACAGCATTCTCATGTGAAGGAGAAAGTTATAGTGAAAACAGGTACACTCTCAGGCACATGAATTTTAGCTAAGAACACCTATGAAGCCTGAGATTCTAGAAGTTGACATGCTTAAAATGATCTGTATTTCCATATTTCTTTGCAAGTCTTTACTTATGATAAAGTAAACAAACACAGGCTAGCACATTGTGTTTTCAAAGATGGTCACATTATTTCCCATCTCACATGCTCTTTTGCATTCAATTTTGCCGTGCCTATATCAGGAGGTAGAGTCTATCATCTACTAACTCCACTTAATCTTAGCTAGTCCCATGACCTATTTTGACCAAGAGAATATAAAAGAAATGACACTTGTTTAACTTCCAGGATTGGATCTTAAGAGACATGCAGTTTCTGCCTATGTTTCATGGAATGCTTTTGAAAAGCACCCATTATGCTACAATGAAGTCCAAGCTAGCCATGGAGAGAGAGGTGGAGGCCATATGAAGGAGCACCACCAAAGGCCCCCTGTGACTTGTACCCCTTGTACCCCTGTGATGGTACAAGAACGAAGGCAAAAGCACAGCCTTTAGAACTTGGAAGATCCAGATTCAATTCCCAGATTTAGCATTTATTTACGTATTTGTGAGCCTGTGGTAGTCACTTAATCTTTGAATTAGACTCTTAAGTCACTGTTAGCCACACAAGCTATCTGTTGTAAGAAAGAAAAAAAAAAGAGGCAACTGATGTTAAGTGCCAACCCCAGACTTACTTGATAAACATTTAATGAAACAACAACAAGCTTGCTTGAGATACTCTTTGTTCTCTTATTTCCCTATCCAACTCTGAGCCTCCAAAGGGACAGATAAGCTGTACAATTCCGTGGTGTGCCTCCCCAGCAAGATACACAGAAGACTGGGAAAAGCATCACTAGAGAACAAAGTCACCCTGGTAAATTCCTCATGAATCACTCACTCTGGGCTTCAATGAGAACTCAAAGGTGCAGTTCTGGATAAATCTTAAGGACCTCTCAGCAATAATGTCTCAGGTACATAAGAGAAAATACGAAGATTTCTTACATAAGAGAAAACATGAAGATTTCTTTCAGTCATGTTTTATTATACTTTGTCCCAATGTTTCTACCTTCCTAGGGGGTGCAACAGTAAGACTACACCTAAGAGACAGCACTGACTACTAATACAGGCAAATACAGTGGAAGAACAGGCAGTCTGAAAAGAAGCACGCGTCCCACAGTTGAACGCACACCTCCAGTCAGGACTACTGTGAAACTCACTCAGGAGCTAGAACTCAGAGCTTAGGCCTCCAGACTGATAAAAATCAAGTATTTGTAAGGCATTTTCAACAGTGTATACACTTTGAAAAAATGCAACTAGAATCTAATGAAAGAGGACTTAATCTATATTTTCAGAAATTATGATTCTGATTCATTTCACCCTAAATTGAAATGGTAATAGATACTAATCTTACTCAAAGCCTGCTATATACATGGATTTTTCAACTATACTGGTTTTTTCTTTTTTTTTTTTTGAGATAGCGTCTCACTCTGTTGCCCAGGCTACAGTGCAGTGGTGCAATCACGGCTCACTGCAGCCTGGACCTTCCTGGATCAACAATCTTCTCACCTTAGCCTCCCAAGCAGCTGGGACCAGAGGAGTGCACCATCATGCTCGATTAATTTTTTCTTTTTCTTTGTATGTAGAGATGGGGTCTCCCTGTGTTACCCAGGCTGGTCTTGAACTCCTGGGCTCAGGTGATCCTCTTGCCTCATCCTCCCAAAGTGTTGGGATTACTGGCATGAGTCACTGCCCCTAGCCTATACTAGTTTTAATACATACACAGGTATTAACAGTAATGAAATAAAGCAAAATGGTTTCTCCCCAAACAAGGAAACAAAGTTTTAATACATTCCAATAAAAGGAAATGTTACTATCAATTTTTTTTGCACAGAAACTGTAACACTATACTTTTCTCAAAAGAAGATGATCTTTCTGAATTACAAATATACATCTAAAAATTATTAAGATTTAACTAAAAGGTGAGTAAATTTTGATAACATCTTAAAACCATTTACTTAGAAACAAACAATTTCACTTAAATATAATACTACCAATCAGAACATAAAATAAAGCAGTATAAGTCACCAAGAAATCTGAGGTAATTAACTTTTAAATTTTTATTTATTTATTTATTTTGAGACAGAGTTTCACTCTGCTGTCGCCCAGGCTGAAGTGCAGTGGTGTGATCTTGGCTCACTGCAACCTCTGCCTCCCAGGTTCAAGCAAAAATCTGAGGTAATTTAATTGACCCCTCCATCACATCTGGTGGGACTATAGGAAATAAAATTATAGACCCTTAAGAAATGAACATGCCACTTGAAATAACCACCATATAAGTCATCTGCTAAAAGTTTTTCACTGTTTCTGCAGTTTAACTTTGAAAAGAAAAAGGTTAGGGTGAGAAACACTGGGAAAAGAAATTAATGTATCTCTAATAGCACAGTTCCTTTAGGAAAAGAGAAAAGTTAGAAAACTGATGTAACGTTTCCATGGAAATACTGATTAGAAAAAAATACCTGATCTCTCAGATTTTAATAGATTCCTTTTAACAATAGTATTAAAAATATGAATGTTGTATGGGATGAGAGGGAGGGTGCTGCCAGGGGAATCTGAAGAAAATATAAATGATCTCAAAGTTATCTTTTTTTGTTATGGGTATTAACGCTGATTACAAAGTCAAAAGCTGCCTTGAGTATTATTTGGTTTTATTTTGTGTTATAAACCTCATCATAATTTTCATATTCTTACTAAACAATAGATTTAAGTGATACAATGTCACACTTCATTAAAACAAATATTTATAATATTTTCTGTAATGTATCAGCAAACAAACAAAATCAACAGTAAAACTGAAGGGTGATTTAATAAATCAGTCATTGGTTATAATGTGAGAAAATATGAAAGGCTAAATGGAAAAATGCAGATTTATTTCTTCTGGATTGATAGTAGCTGACTACATTTAAATAGAGAATACAGTTTTTTTGATAATGGAGGGGCAAAATCTACCCACACAACAGTTAAAAATGATTGCTTTCAGTGCTACTTATACCACATTCAATATTTTCATGCGATCACTTGTGATGTAAACAGTGTACGGCAAAGTATATATCTGTCACATACCTACATTAATATCTCCAAGTATACAACTTGGGCCTGACCCAGAACGTATTTGAACTCAGTACGTGAGTCAGAAAATTTTTTTTTTTTTTTTTTTTTTTGAGTCAGAAAATTTTAACAGACCAACATTATATTTGGTTTTGACTAAAATTACAGGTACAAGTGTTTTCACTTCAACATTAAAAACAATATTCTGAATGAGTATGCAACATCAGTTTCCAATGTCCTCTTATAGAAAATGCTCATTATCAATAACGTCACATCACTGCAGAAGCTGCTGTGACACTTAACAGCTAGGTGTTATTTCTAAGTAATATGGCACATTATTACATTATTTCAAGTCATTATAAGTGAAGTTGAAGCTCAAACTGAAGTCTCACCTTTGACCATTTAACACACTTCAATTACCTCCTGAACCTCATTAGATGCAGTGAGTGCCCTTCCTGTCCCTGTTAGATAACCCCACTGTACCAATTATAAGGAATTCTTCTGCTTATCACCACTGCTGTTTAGACTGATCATCTGCACCTTTAGTCCAGCCAAACTGGTTGTGCTATCTCAGATTTGCATGTCTGCACTAAGCCAGGTTATAGCAAGGGCTTTCTGCTATAATTCTACAGAAGCATTTCACACTGAATTTAAAGATCATTGCATGCTTCCCAAACCAAAGCGCTGGTCAAATTCAATTAAAGATAATCTTGGGTTTGGCATATCCATAAAGCATAATATTTAAGTTGTAAAAGGTAGATTTCTTGATAAATAAAAGATTAGGCTGCCAATCAAGGTCACGTGAATAACCCAAAATGTCAATGCTGATGACTTTTTCACTTACTCACCTATGTACATATCTTATCTGTTGTTTATAAAACTGACATTGCTTAAACGTAGTTTTCATATTTTAGTAACATATTAATATTTGCTGCCACAGGGGCATATTCAGCTTTCTGTTGTCTGAACCATGATATTGTTAGACTACAGTCATTCTAAACAATGCAAATTTCTGTCAGCTTATATATCTTCAAACTGGCATCAGGACAAATCTTAGATGCAAACTTATCACTTAGATATGGTTAGCTACTATTGTTTAATTTGTAACTGAGGTTCAAATGACAGATATCCTAAAATACCAGAGTATTATTACTCTAGTATATTGGACCAGAATATAACATATAAAAAATAAAGTTGGACATGTCTTCAGGCATGATGTTTTAAAATCTGAACTTGTTCATGAAGCAGAGAAAAAAAAATCTAATATAGAATTAAGAACAAATAAAGAAGCTATGGCACAATTCCATAATATTCTAAATAGTTTTCTCGCAGATTAAGTAAAAAATCTGTACAGGTAATAGAAGTTTTATTAATACTTTGTGAATTATCAACAATAGCTGTTTCACTTTCAATTTCTAAAGGTCAAACTACATCAGATTAAAGATATTCCAATTATTTCCCTGACTAAAGTGAAGTTACCACAAAATAAAACAGGCCAGAAGTCACCATCACATCCTCAATCACATGCCTGCCTTTGAAGAGAGGAAAAGAAAGGACAGGGTTTTCTGAGCAGTCCCCATTTGCTGTGGAAGGAGCGGAGTGGTGGTGGGGAGTGGACTGTGTTTTCCCTGCACCCCACCTGCACTCAATTCCTCTTGGATACGGCCACAAAAGCAAATCAGGATCTCCTTCCAATTTGTCTCTAAAGCAAGACTCTCTTCAAGATATTTTTCAAATTTTGGAGAAAAAAACAGGTTTCTCATTCAGGATTCACAATAATTATTTCAAAGTTCACTATTACTAGCATCAAAGCACCCATATTCTTTATTAAAAACCTACAGAAAAAGTAATAGGTGATCTCCCATCCAAGCACTAACCAGGTCTGACCTTGGTTAGCTTCCGAGATCAGAAGAGATGGGGCGCGTTCAGGGTGGTATGGCTGTAAACCAGAAAAAGTAATAGGAAATGTTAAAGTGTCTCTTCAGAATACCTTAAAAATTTTCACAATTTACTCCTCTGCATACCTACAAATCACATTTCAAAAATGAATCATAAAAACAAACTATTTCTATAAAACACAAAGAGAAAAGTCACTAGAGTTCCAAGTAGCTGGGAAAGACAGATTGATAAGGGTGGTCCTTTGTACTTTCAGAAAGACAAAAAAGTAAATAAATGTGTTCTGTACTCTTGAACTAAACTTTACCTTATCAGATACAGAAAAAAAATTAACCGGGTTGAAGGTATCTTATGAAAAGTATCTTGCTATCAGGAATTCTTGTGCTACGAGACCAGTTCTATTTAAATCCAGAGTAATTACAATGGATATCTTGGAATTGCAAGATTCCAGGCACTTTTCCCTAAGAATTGCATACTTAGATAGTAAGAGAGGCCTAGCACACATACTGGTGAAGGACAATGTATTCACTGACAAGTTTCCAGAGCTTAGAGGAGTGCTTATATTACTAGACCGTTATTGACTGCTCACTGAACAAATGACAGAAAGAAACAAATCTTATCAATTAAAGTCTAGCAGCTAACATGACTAAGGTACTAAGATAGGGAGGATCCACTCAAGACTGCAGGTATCCTCCCTATTTACGTGAAATCTATCCATTTCAAAAACATTTAATGAACCAATATTTAAATGGGGACCCGTAAAGTTTCAATCTCTAATTTTTCAAAGAGATAAAAGGAGTAAGCTGGCCCTTGGAAAGCAGGTGCAGGCCAAATCCAAACTATTTGAGAAAGCTTATATATATTAACCAAATGCCCACTTAAAAATCTTTAAAAACAAGGATTCCAATGAGCTATTTTTTCTCCAATGGTTAAAGTAGAAGCAATATATACGATTAATTACATAGTTATAACCATATTTACTCACCCTCCTAATAGTATCTGTGGCTGGTTGGATTCATTTGTGATACCAAAAATATCAGGAATTAGATCACCATTGAAACTGAAAAAAAATTAAAACAATAAGCAGCTATTTCTTTAAATTCTTACTTCTAATTTAGCTTTAAAAGAAGCAGTAACTTTTGGGAAGTGTGGTAGACATTACAATGCTCGCCAGTATCTAGTGATAAGTATTAAGTCAAATGTCAGCACAAGTGACATGTGTCACTTTTAGGCCAAAGTGTATAATTTCTGTTACCAGCCCCTCCAGCCCTCTCCAGGCTTGCCATGGCAATGAGAAGGCATTGTGATTCAGATGGACTAGCTACAAAGACAGTGGGCTCTCTGATGGCCTGACTCTAAGCAACAGCACAGAGCAGAGCCTGTTGTTGACCCACACTGGACATATAGTAAGAGCAAGAAATAAATTCGTTTTGTGAGATTTTGGGTATCTCTGTAATCTTTGCATTATCTAGACTACCCTTGAATGATAAGGATACAGCACTAATTCCTAGAAACTTACTTCAGAATCCTAAGCCAACTTGTTTACTTAGATGGGCTTAGGAGAAATAACCTAGAAAAATAATCCTAGTTGGTATAAAACTTCATACTGGCCATTGAATATTTTAACAACAATGAAAAAATACACAACTATGAAAGAAATCTAGCGGGGCACCGTTAAGAAGATTAATCCATGGATTTACAGTTCAGACTTCTAATGGCCACTGACACACTGCTGTATGGGTATGATTTTAATAACTGTAAGAAAGACAGTACTGGAAACAAGAATGTGGCCAAACTTTGCTCTAGTCCCGGGAATGATCTCGACCTCTACCAAAATACGCTGTCAGAAATTTGCAAATCCAAATTTACATCAATTATTTAAATCAATTATGCTGGTACATGAGTCTACAGTGAGAATATAAATGATAACACAAAGCAGGAGTTATATTATAAAAAGAACAAAAATTTCTCCTTAATATAGGAATCTTTCTAAATTTCTAGAGGAAACTGTATCCTAAATATCAAATATAACAGTTTTACTCAAAAACAGGTATCTTAATTCTTTCAGTAATGACAGCATAGATCCATAATGGACACATTTGAAGCGACTGAAATAAAAACACAAATCTCTTCTACTTTCCAAAATAATAAATTTCATTTTTCTTTGTCCTATCTGATGGCAAATAAATACAATATAATCAAAGGTACAGGCCTCTGAGTGAATTTAGTATTTTTATTACTAAGCAAAGTAGTTTCCTATGTGAAGATTTTATTTTATGTTTAAGTTTAAAATCGTTTCAAAGGAAGCAAGCCCATACTTACTCCATAATTAGTGGCTCATCTTGAAAAGTCCTATTGAGTATGGTCATATTGTTAGGATCTGCAAAAAAGATATATATATATATGAATTAGCAGGCATTTTATATTACTTTTGATATCTATGCTTAGGAAAAAATATTCTTCTACTCTTTTCTAGATTTATCTCTGATTTATTCCAACTATTATCATTAATGAGATACTATAAATCTAGTTCAAATGAACATCAAGCTTGCAAAGACAAAATATTGGGAGAATACATTCTACAGTGAAGACTAGCATTACAATAACCTCCTTTTGAGGTATGCATCTAAATATTTGCTAGCTGAGTCTTTGTCTTTACACAATTTAGTGCTAGAGAGGTTGACAATTAACAAGGTTTTGGTGTAAAGAAGGCCACATATGCAAAACTTCCTGGTTCTAAAATGTACATGCTTATATACAAGCTTTGTGCATGGTACTCCCTCTGTAAATATTTATTGACTTAATGAATATAATGTATCGCGATTACTGTTTACATTCCCAAATGGTGCAGAAAACATGACTGAAATTTGGCTCCATGAACAAAGTTGCCTATTTAGGTATAACTAATTGGCTTTTCAGATAAGGCTTGATGATTTGTGACTAGGTATGGTAGACTGACTCTCGAACCATACTTCAACTTTTTTGTGCTTTCCTGTGCTAAGGAGACTAGAAACCAAAAATAGCATTTTCCAGATATTGTGGCATCTGAGATGCTGAATAAAAGTTAAGCCTTGCCAATCAGATACACTGTGAGTCTTAAAGGCATGAATGAGGTAAAGGCTGTTTCTCTGCTATTTCTATCTGTGTCTGCTCACTGAATTTGGGAGTATCAAGAGACCAGGTGCAGCATTCATTTTGCTAGTGAGAATCACTGCAGGCACAGCATCATTCTGGCAGCAGTTGTGTAACTAGCCACTTCTGATAGGGGAAAGAGGCAGTAGCTTTTTTGATGATATTGGGATTGCTCCTGAAAGCTCAACCTAGAGTTTATTCTTTAGCCATCTCAATGATTCTGTGAGCCACTAAAATCCTTTAATAAATCTCTGTCCTCTTTAAGCTAGTAAGAATGAAGTTTGTCAGTAGAAGTGATCCCTGCCCAGTTCAGGGTTGAAAAAGAAAAATCAGGAAATAAACTTTGAAAAAAGGTTTTACAATTATTGACACCCAAGAACAGTATTTTTGAACTGATTTCAGAACAATATTTTGTTACATTTACCTTCATATTCAATGATAAATATTAAAAATTTTTAAAACAAATTCACCTAATGTTTGATTTTGTCCCCAGAAGATAACAGCTCCTAATTCACTCTTGGCATAATTTTTGGGAAGATATGTCAGAAGGACATCCATTTGAGAATCTCCATCATAATCCCCAGGGACTACACTTGTTATCAATGCACTGTGATTCCTAAAAGAAACAAGCATTTACAAATATCAGACAAGTTGTAATGGAAAAGGACAATTCTGTATTTCTACCACACAAAAATATTTTCAATGAAAAACTTAAAACTTAACAGAACTGACTGATTGCCTTCTCTTTCCTATCTTTTCATCCATCATGTATTTAGACCTCTTTGGTCTAAAAAAGAGTTCAGAATGAATGCAGAATAGTCTCAAGAAACAAGACAAATCTGAAATATGTCGAGAGAAAACGTGTTTATTATGTTCAAGCAATGGCTAGTATAGCCCTTCTATATAGTTCCTTTGTCAAGGACACCAAGACATTCGGATGGTGTTTCTAACAAATGGAGGCTCATAATTGCCAAAGCAGTAAGCATTATCACTGGGATGTTTTCAATTAAAAGATATTATTTATAAAATATTTAGTTTGGATTTTAACATAAATTCAAAATTTACAGTAAAAATTAAAAGAATCATTTTATTTCTGAAAGCTAGTAAATTAAGAATGGAATTTTTTTTAACGAAACTTGGCAATCAATATAGCATCCAAACATATATATCTAACTTTATATGTATATTTTTATTTTTTCCTTTTCATAGGTATTGATATATTTTTATTAACAAAATAATTCTAAAATTATTTATATGAATCTTGAAAGCTTAACGTCCTGCAGTCTTATTATCTGAGCGACCCAAGCAAAAATTAGGCCTTTAATTCATTTTATACTTAATTCTACTCAGATGAAATAGCAAGACAGCAAATTTCCAATTAGACTATAGATAATTACTTTCTTAATGCATCAGTGGTAGTTCTTTCTCCCTCTCACTCAGCAAGGTAAGAACCAAGTGGTGTATTTCTGGAAAGTCTCAGGAATTAAGGATTTAAATTACAGTAATGGGTAAGGTTTTGGCCTTAAGCTAGACACAGGAGTTAACCAAAAGTCTACAAAAGGAACAATTTAACCCTTGCCCACAGCTCTACCCTATTTCTAGAATGTTAGTCTGTCAAGAACATACATGCAGGGCAAAAGATAGTAGACTAGTCCCACTAGGCAATACATTTCCAATTATTTCTTTTGCACCTTACTTGAAAATGTGAGTAGACACCTGCCTTCTGAAGAAAACTTTGACTATTAAAGAGAGCTAAAACAAATAGCAATAAGGAACCTGAAGAAAACAGAACTAATGCAACAAAAGAAAACTTCAAAATTACACTTAAGAGAAAAAAGTCTGTCTATAAAAAAAAAAACAAACCAACAACAGTATGCTAAAAGACAACATCAGTAAGAAAACAAAAGAAAAACCTCGGAAATTAAAAATGTGACACCTGGCTGGGCGCGGTGGTTCACGCCTGTAATCCCAGCACTTTGGGAGGTGGAGGTGGAGGTGGGTGGATCACTTGAGGTCAGGAATTTGAGACCAGCCTGGCCAACATTGCAAAACCCTGTCACTATTAAAAATACAAAAAGTAGCCAGGCGTGGTGGCGTGCATCTCTAATCCCAGCTACTTGGGAGGTTGAGGCAGGAGAATCGCTTGAACCCAGGAGGTGGAGATTGCAGTGAGCCAAGATTGGACCATTGCACTCTATCTAGCCTGGGCAACAGAGCAAGACTCCATCCCCCACCAAAAAAAAAAAAAAAAAAAAAAGGACTTAGAATTTAAAAGAGAAAGTTGAGAAAACCTCCTGCAAAGGAAAATAAAACAAAACTAAATGATAAAAATAAGAAACAGATAAGATAAAGGAATAAAGGATGAACCCAGGCAGACTAATCAACTGATAGAAACTCCTAAAAGAGACAAAAAAATTTTTCAAAGAAATATTTAATAATGTAAGAGTATTTCAAAAAGCTCCCAAGGATAGAGGCCTCTAGCTTGAAAGGGCCCACATAATGCCTAGCATAATAAGTAAAGAATAATCATTCCTGTAATTGCAGCACTTTGGGAGGCGAAGGTGGGAGGACAGCTTGAGCCCAGGATTAGGTGCCTACAGTGAGCTATGACTGTGTGACTGCACTCCTTTTTCACCTGGGTGATAGAGAAAGACCCTGTCTTTATCAAAAAAGAAAAACAAATCTATACCAAGGCACATCATCATGAAATCAGAACAAAATAGAAAAAGAAGAGACTCCAATAGCTTCCAAAATTAAAACAATTTACATTTAAAAGATTAGGAGAAAGAAGAGGGTTGAATTTTAAAACTGCAACCCATGAAGCTAGAACACAATAAGCTAACCAAACTTTTAAGAGTGGGTAGATGCCGGGCGCGGTGGCTCATGCCTACAATCCTAGCACTTTGGGAGGCCAAGGCAGGTGGATTGCCTGAGCTCAGGAGTTTTGACACCAGCCCGGGCAACACGGTGAAACCCTGTCTCTACTAAAATACTACAAAATTCGCTGGGCGTGGCGTTGTGCACCTGTAGTCCCAGCTACTCAGGAGGCTGAGGCAGGAGAATTGCTAGAACCAGGGAGGTGGAGGTTCCAGTGAGCTGAGCTTGTGCCACTGCACTCCAGCCTGGGAAACAGAGTGAGACTCTGTCTCTAAAAAAAAAAAAAAAAAAAAGTGGGTAGAAAAACTTTTTGGATGTGACAGGACTTATCAGGCATCCTTTCTCAGGAATTTCTGGAAAGACACACCCCCGTGAAGTAAATGAGGAAATTTCTTTTTTTACATGGGGAAATTCCCCACATAGTAAGTCTACAAAAGGCCTGGAGAATGAATCCAGACTGGATAGGAATGTAGAGGATCCAATGGGAAAAACAAAAATGCAGGATAGGTATATGGCAGATATGATGGAATATCTGCAAAGAAATTAAGGGTATGTACATAGAAAACTATGCAATCTATTTTTTAAAAAGCAATCATTTATTCCAGTAGGGCAAGCTGCACAAAAAATGAAATACTGTCCCAGCACTTTGGGAGGCCGAGGCAGGTGGATCACCTGAGGTCGGGAGCTCGAGACCAGCCTGGCCAACATGGTGAAATCCCATCTCTACTAAAAATACAAAAAATTAGCTAGGCATGGTGGCAGGCACCTGTAATCCCAGCTACTTGGGAGACTGAGGTGGGAGAATAGCTTGAACCCGGGAGGCAAAGGTTGCAGTGAGCTGAGATGATGCCAAGGCACTCCAGCCTGGGCAACAGAGTGAGACTCTGTCTCAAGAAAAAAAAAAAAAGAAAAAGAAAAGAAATACTGTACATTACTTGGTTCTGAAGTACATAGACACCACATGGTTAAAAGGTAAACAATGATTACTAATTTAACAAAAAATTATGATTTAATTACACTGGGACAATGTAGATAAATTATGTTAGTTAAAAAACAAGAATTGAATATTTAAAAATGATAATTCAAGAAAATTAGTGTAAAATTTTATTTTAAAATATGGTAATAAACACTAGAAGAATCAGCTACAGGTTTTAAAAGTGGTTGCATCTGAGAGAGAAACAGGGGTGTGGGGGAGAATAAGGGTGAAGAATAGTTATTTTTACTTTGAAAAATATTTTAAATTATAACACAAACAAGAGTTTCTAAATTTTGAAAGTGCATTGCATTAATAAAAAAATTAATTGGGATATTTGTTTTAACTTATCAGAACACATGCCATTTACATCTTTTAAATTTCCTTAATTTCTAATAAAAAAAAAATCACCTCTATGCAGTTAGTTCACTTCTCATATACACTCAACTTCAGTTTCTTCCCCACTCCAAGCATGCTGACATTCACTACCCAAAAACACTTCTCAAGGGAAATAAGTTCCTGTTTATCCATTTATAACTTTCCCCTCAAAGTTCTAGTTCAAGGCCATTTTTCTTTTTAACATGAGTTTGAGTTTACTCAAAATACTGTAGAGTCTGAGAACTAATCAGCCCACACAGGGACTTTTTAAATACAGCTTCCTAAGTAGTCTTTAATCTTCTACAAACCAATTCATTCTGCATATAGTTTACAAGTAAATCAATTTAAAATACTGTTTTCATCATCTCTCCTTTGCACAAGGACCTGATGATTCCCCTCTTCTAATGGGACAGCATTCAAACTCTTTTTTGTATCTGAAGGCTCCCAGTCTGCCCTTCTTATCTCATGTTCTTAGTCCTTAACTCCCCGAAGTGTACCTTCCACTTTTGTCAGGCAGATCTTTCTACCTCCTCTTCATAACATGCTGTTCTTACTTTTATCTCTTATAAATGCTCTGTCCCCAAAATTGAACTTCCAAGTTGAACGTCTTCACCTAACTTTTTATTTATACTAAGGTCAAGCTCAAGTTCCATGACTCTGGAAGCTGCCCCTTTGGCCTGCACTGACCCATCTCTTCTTGCTTGAATTCAGACAGCCACGAATGCTTGCTTCAAATGAATGTAGTTTCAAAACTGTGTTGGGTCACTATCATGGAGGTAGAGGTGTGGGAGTGGTCATTGTTTCATGCAATGCCAACCACAGAAAAGAAAAATAACTATTACTTGAACATTTTAAAAATTCAGATAATTAAACTTGAATTCCTTCCAAGTCAACCTTAAAAACTCACCATCAGTCAATTAAACAAAAAAATTAGAACACTGACTTTTTCCCCACTGCAAAATAGGCCCCTCTTCCACAAAACACAACACATGGCTAATACAATGAGACTACTGTGAGTGACTGCTGCCTCAAGATGAGGCACAGAACGAGACACATTCAAGAAGGGATACGAGGGATACGAGATTGCAAGGAAATAAAGGGTGTTTATATAGAAACAAACCTGGATCCACTCAAATTTATTTCTTTAAAGTCATTTTTAAACTTTGGTATTTTCACTATTTTTCCAAAAAATCACTTGCTACTCATACCTCACAAACAGTGGTTTTGCATCCCAACACTAAGGCTGACTTTAAAGACAACCAATCAGCTACTGCATATCCATTATTATATTAATGACTAAAGTTTTATCAAAATAATCATATTTGTACTTACTTGAAAGATACCTTTACTTTGGGTTTAAAATAGGGTGCATTCTGGTCTGCCAAAAAGACGATTAAGTCATTTCCTAAAGAAAACAAATATATGATATTAGAAAAATGTTTGTTGATAAGATATCTAATCAGTGGTTACAAGAAGGTTTCTGGGCACTGTTCTCAACAAGAAAACTTTTATTCTACTCCAGTTCATCTGCCCTCTCAAGCATAGTCCCACTAGTCCAATGGAGATGCCTAACATTATATCACAAGTTCAATGTTCAAAGTAGCAGAGAAATAGAAAGGATGAACATGGGAAAAAGCAGCTGATCAAGAGAAACTGAAGCCAGTGGATTCTGCGAGGAGTCAGATTGGTTGACTTAAAAGAACCATATAAAGATGCCTTATAACTATACTACATGTCAAGACTTGTCTTCCCCGAATCTAGCAATGCTGTCCCTTGTAAGGCTGTTTGGTTCATTACACAGATGCATCACACCAAGGATGCAGGGACTCCCATTGTAGATATCTGACAAAGACATAATTAAGCATGTGAGCACAAAATGCTGAATCCTCCAAGACCCTCCTCCTATGGGGCCATCCTCCAGAGGGTGACACATTCTTGGAGCTCAATTAGCACTCATTGAGACAGACTTTTGGAATTGTTTAATCAAACACAGGCCATCTTTAAAGTCAAGGCTACTCTCTGTATCCAGTTTGGACACAGCAGCAACAGGTTTGGCAGTACACTGCAAAATGAGGAGTCAAAAAGATTGGGAAAATATTCAGGGTTTGTAAGAGGTTCCTGCATCCCCGCAAGGGCTCCAAGAAGTCTGGTTCAGGATCCTGTCAGGCAAGCTCTGAGTAGCTCTTCCTTCCTTCCTTCACAGCATTGATCTTTAAGCAGCACCTGCTTCTGTAGGTACTCAAGAACCCTAAGACCCCCTAATGCCCACTGTCAGCATCAAGATTTACAAAAAAGTTAGTTTAACGATTGTCAAAGCAAAGAATTTCCAAGAACAAGTTAGCAAAGAAAGTAGACATTTGGAACACTAAGGTGATGACCAAGATGAGGAAGGAGTACACGAAAGAACAGGCAGCTCAAGAGAGAAATTTCTGTAGTTTGAGACTGCTTTCCCAAGGAGGCATTGGGTTTATCAGTGGTCCCTGCAAAATGCTTGTGTGAGCTGTTTAGTGTTTAGGCCCTTGGAAGGGTACATTCGCTTCATAGAAAGTTGTGGCCTTGACAAAGAAAGGGGTGGGCGAATTAGGTAGGTGGGGAGGCAAGAAGAAGCCCCCTATGAGAAGAGATTGTCAGGTTGCACCTTTTCATGTTCATCAACGGGGAAGGAAGACTGAAGCAAAATAGAAAGGAATGAGTGGGCCTTGGGAGCGAACGTTGAGGCAAGCTACAAAGATTCCTAGGAATCAGGAAGCACTTTGGAAAACAGGTGATTCCATGGGGAGGAGGGGGTAAGGTGACTGGGTGAGGGCCGCAGACTTCTTAGGAACAAAACTGAGGTGCTGTCAGGGCTTTTGAGGGTAGGTCAAACTGTAGGGTAGCTGGGTCAGAACCTGGGGTTGGAAAGGGTGGTGCAAAAGGACAAGCTGTTAAGAATGCTAAAGGGAAGGCCACAGGGCTGGGAGAGAAGGACCAGGAAATGCAGAAGGACCGGCCATTGGGCAATGGGTTTGGGGAACACCGGGAGAGGCACACGGACAGCGAACAGAGGGAGGGCCCGGCAAGCACTGACTTTCCCGCAGCACGAAGAGATCCGTCTGCTTGTCGGAGTTGAGGTCCCCGAAAGCCGCAAGGGTGCCCCAGGCCTCGGCCCCAAAGAGCTCGGCCGTGACGTTGTGCAGCGCCCGCGCTGGGACCGGCCCGACTCCCAGTAGTGCAAGCCCTGCGAGGAGCGGCGAGAAGAGGGCCCAGGAGCTCGGGAGCCGGCCCGCCGCCGCCATGGCAGCCCCTCAGCCCCCGCCCGCCGGCCCAACGCCGCGCTTGACGACAGCCGCAAAGCACCGCGTTACCGGCCGAGAGAGTGGCGCGCAGCCCCGGGACGCGTAAGAGCCGCTGCCGGCTCCTTTTTCTCTCTCCCACTAGGGCTGCCCTTCCGACGCTAAAAAAGCAGTGGAGCTAGGGTGAAAGCCGCCCTCACGCTCACTTCCGGCAGGCGCGCCTCCCGACAGTGTCGTGCGGGGGGCGTGGCCCGGCATTGCTGACAGGCGGCCCCGGGGGCGGTGGCCAAGGCGGCGACCGGAGCGCGATGGCGGGGGCGGCGGGACTCACGGCAGAAGTGAGCTGGAAGGTCTTGGAGCGAAGAGCTCGGACCAAGCGCTCAGGTTTGGCTGGCTGGGGCGCCGCCCCCCACCCGAGTACCTTGGGTGGTGCTTCGCCTCAAGCGCCTTGGCGGGAGGCAGGTGGGGGCCCTGGGAATGAACCTGTGCCCCGAGTTCCTCCTTAGAAAGCAGGTGGCGGCCCTGGCCTTGTTTCTAATATCTTCCTCCACCTCTAAAAATTAGGTGGCAGAGCCAGCTCCACTCTGCGTGTGCCCCCGACTCTATTCCGCTTGTGAGCCCCACTCGGAAAGTAGGCAGCGGTCCGGACTTCCCTTAGAGTCTTCTAACTTAAAAATCGGGCGGCGGCACATTCCTGGGAAAGGGAATGTGTCTTCCCTGTGAATGTGTCTTTCCTGTGAATGTTCTCTGCAAAAGTCAGATAGCTTAATCAGACCAAGTCAGATGTAACTACGATCTGGCTGCAGAAAGCCGGCGTCTGGGCTCCTTGCTTTATGTCTTATATCCCTTTTACATTCCCCACAGGTTCTAAGCAGTAGACCTGTCATCTATCTAGCAGAAACTGAAGGAGACTGGGCCTCAGATATTGAAGAGTATAGTTAGGGCCCAGAAAGAAAAGGGCTTCTTAAGTGGCCCCAGGTTGTGTGGTTTCCAAACCCGAAAGCATAGAGGTCAGAAGGTGCCTTGCAGGCAGTTTTAACAGTTCCAAGTGTCCCGAACTGACTTGTTCAAATTGCAACGTCATGACTTGTGGCGTTATTAAAACTTCCTGTATTCCTGGTTGGCTGGATATAATCTTGAACAAAAGGCATGCACTTAAACAGGAAAGGTGAAAGGCGGAATGCAGGTTTTCAGCTAAGGAGCTTCCCTTTTAAAGAATTGATGAAGTGTCATTATTGGGGGTGGGTGTGAAAGGTGTTAGCTAGGAAAATTAACTTTGCACTTGCATTGATATTAAGAAATTATTTTCGGACGGGCGCGGTGGCTCACGCCTGTAATCCCAGCACTTTGGGAGGCCGAGGCGGGCGGATCACCTGAGGTCAGGAGTTCGAGACCAGCCTGGCCAACCTGGTAAAACCCCATCTCTACTAAAAATACAAAAATTACCTGGGCGTGGTGGCGGGCGCCTGTAACCCCAGCTACTCGGGAGTCTGAGGCAGAAGAATTGCTTGAACCTGGGAGGCGGAGGCTGCAGTGAGTGGAGGTCGCACCACTGCACTCCAGCGTGGGCGACAGAGTGAGACTCCGTCTCAAAAAAAAAAAAAATTATTTTCTCACCTAATATGTTCTCCTTACGTTTTGGGCTTTTCCTATTTATGAAGTTCTTAGTTGTCTGTTGTGCACACTGACTTTTTTTTTTTTTTTTTTGGAGAAAGTAAATCTAATTTCTGAAAATCTAATTTCAGAAATCATACACCGAACACTCTGTTTTTTTATACCTTACAAAAAGTTCAGCTTTATATACTTAGGGTTATAGTAAAATTACCATCTATGAAGTATGAGATAATTTTTTCAAAAAGTAGTCCTTAGTACTACTAAGAATCAATAAAGTGACTTGGAATAGTCACATGTATTTGTTTCACACTTTTTCTTAAATTGTTTTTGTGTGATATAGAAATACTGAGTTGGCTACTAACGATGTGGCTATCTGGATATAAAAAGTGTTATTGGATTGGTTATGTCTGAACAAAGAGAATAACTGGAGTTTTCTTACAGGGACCTGAGTACTGCCCCCAACATATATTTTTGCAACATTTCTCTTTAACTTTCATAAGCTCATAGAGTTGATTTTCTTCGTCAGTCTTTGTTTCCTCTGAAATGCATGTCATAACAGTAAGCTTTGAAAACCTTAATTCTCTTTTCTTAGCTGAGAAAAAAAATTCTAGTGTTAACTGTTGTTGAGTGCAGTTATTTAAATCCACTTTTATGTGCAAAGTGCATAGTATCAATGTTGAATGTTCCTGTATGTTTACATCATAGTAGTAAAGAGATACCACTTGAAGTTATTCCTCCAAATTAATAGTTAAATTTGAGGTTTCAGATTCTTGTAAGTATATGAAGTACAGAGGATAAAGTTAATAACTCGAGTTAATAACTTCCTGTATCATTAAAAGCAATCAACTTGATTCTGTTTGTTACTTTTAGAAGAATATATAAATGGAGCTTTGTTAAACACTTGACTAACCTGACTCCAGTATAGAGTCCTCCCCACAGAGTTCTGAGCATTGTTACATAGTAGCATAATTACTTCACTGCACAACAGAGGATACTACTTTTATGTAATGTCTAATAAGTGGATATTATATAGTTTCTATCTCATCCATATGAGCAA
The DNA here is from genome assembly GCF_000001405.40 of Homo sapiens. NCBI lineage: Eukaryota > Metazoa > Chordata > Mammalia > Primates > Hominidae > Homo > Homo sapiens. Next base: position 47,463,714 of record NC_000016.10, read on the forward strand.
GTGTAATTTATCAAAGCAAAGAAAATCACATTTTCAAGTCATAAAAGAGAAAATAAAATTATAATGATCCTCAGTTACTGCCTTTGTTGCATACTGCATCATGTTAATAACTGCTCACACTGCTTTCAATTAATTTAACACTGATTGCTTCTAACCTTTACTAAACAGTTTTAAAATTGCTATAGCTTAGCCTGCGACGCTTATGATTAGAGCCAACAATTTGAAATGGCCTGCTCACCTGATGCAGTCGTCTCTCCGTCTTCCGCTTTCTTAAGGTCTGGTAAGTGTTGTAGACCCCAAAAGGGTCACTTGGTAATTTTAAATACCTTTGTTTCTGAAGGTTGATTTCACTATAAGATATCATTATGTCTTTATTTCTTCTTTGGTGGGCCCAGGCCTGAGTACCCGGCTGGTGTTTTGTTTAACTTTGCATTGTGTTTTGAATGTGGCCTATTGTGTTCTTCTCATGTGGGATGTGAAAAGAACAGAGAGTGGAGTGCCTGCCCCGATATTTGCAAGCAGAGGCAGTTCCTTAGTGTCTGGGAGCTCCCATTGTCAAATGTGCACATAGCATATTTCTTAAATGATTTTTGTCTTCTTGCCACAATGGAAGTAACTTCTACAAATTAGGAAATTTTGGTCAACATCCCACTTATCTGTTCTTCATCAGCTTACTGTGAAGCAGGTTATTAATATACACGTTTTCACAGACAGGAAGCGACTTGCCCCAGGGAATATTTTGAGGCCATGTGCTTTGGCCTTTATCCTGTGGCATCCTGGTGTAAGGGCTGGAACAGATGTTGGCACAATGGCTCTTAGACCGTTGTGTTGATGCACCCCTTTGAGAGCTGGATGAAAGCTATGGAATTGCTCTTCAGACGTGTGCACAGGATTTTGGAAACAATTTCTGGGTGATTCATGGACCCAGACATGATTACCTATGCATTCCCATTAGCAACCAGGCCTTTGGATGTATTCAGTGTCACTTTACAGAACAAGCCACACATTTAGTTAGGTGGCCACATAGCTGAAATGAAAACTGAAGCATTTACAGCCCTTTTCTGTAGTTGTGGCCTAACTTGGGCCATTTAAAACCTATTATGTACTAGAAAACTCGGAGAAGCCTGCTGGTAAGAGATTACCTTTTCTATAATGCCTCTTAAGCAGAATATTTCAAGCCTCAGGACTCATGAACAGGCAAATGTGAGATGAGCACCCCCAAACACAGTGAAAACTCCTTGGCTTCACCATAGCCTTTCAGAAGTGTTTCTCCCTCTTCATTCATTTTCGTTTATATTTCAAGTCCTGTTCTGGCAAGATAGAGGAGGAAAATCTTAAAGAAAATAAATAAGAAATAACTTAAGGAAGAATCAAACAGGAGAAAACAAAAACTCTTTAAGGAACTAAAATGATTTCTATTTCTAGGTGTCATCTGCTAAATGACAAAATATTACATGTAACAATGCCAATTGATTTCTGATTTTATCTTTGAACTAAAAGAACAGGAGGACATATATCTCTAGACTCTGTTTTCTTTCCTTATAAGCACCAAGCTCTGTTTTCCATCTTGGCTTTTCTACTAAGAAGGAAAGTGGTTTTAAGCACTAGCACAGTCATTCAGTAGTAATGGGGAAATAGAATGTTTAAAGATAGCTTTTATGCATCAACAGTCCTGAAAATTTCTAAACCCAAGAACTGTGCTTTAACATTACATAGAGTGTTTGAAGGTATATACAAGACGCTTTTCCTGTACTGTATCATCAAATTGAAATAGAATGCACCAAGAAACAGACTAGAAAAATATCAAACTTTAGTGTTATAATCCGTTTTGAAGAATGATTCTTTATACATTACTTTCAATGTTGACACTTTTTTGGGAGTTCATCTAACCAAAACTTAGTAAAACTATAAAGACACACTTAAAATTTGTATCTGTTAAAATAATAAGTACCATACCTGCTGGTGTTAGGCTTAACTTTGCATTGTGTTTTGAATGTGGCCTGTCGTGTTTGCATTTAAGTACTCTGAGTGGTTTGCATTTATAATTTCTTACTTATTTAGAAATACTCCATTTATATTGGAAATGATTTGCTTTCCCCTATTGTAGTTCTTTGGACATTATCTTTATAGGCATATGTTTTATTGTGCGATTTCATTTGACAATTATTTTAAAGCACATCCTTGCTTCACAGCTGAGCTTTTCATTGGTACTTTGGCCAGAAACTATCCAGTATTGCCAAAAGTGAAAGCCAGTAGTATCTTGATTTTGAAAAATTTATTTTCAATGTACCTGCATTGTTTTATGTATTTTAACCCTTCATATTCCTTCTGGATATGTTTCTGCTTTTTGTTTTTTCTTTGTTTCTCCTCTTTATGGAATTTAGTGTGAATCCTGTATTTCTGTGTGTGCATACTTGAGTTGTGCTGTTACTACTAATGTACTAGTATTTGCTGTGGTTGAAAGAAATTTGTTTTGACTGCTTAAACTAAAAGAGGGATCTAGATATTCAGGTTTTTCTTTAAAGACCCTTGGAGTCAAATGTACAAAACCAAGAATTTATAAAGAAATTCAACAGCCAAAATAAATAATTATTAGAGAAGGAATGTAGCATTCAATACCTTAGATTGCTTCCGTTTCTCATGTGGCCACTACAGTTATATTAAGTTAGCATAGTTGGTCAGCTGTAGCAATCACCTTGGCAATACAGTTCAGTTACTTGGAATAATGGTTATAGCATATTGTGATGAGGTAGGAAACGGCTTGGCATTTTTGCTTTTATTCTTAAATGACAAAGATAATTTAAGAGGTTATTCCTTTTTATAATGGCTCATGAGCTTATCTACCTTGGCTCCCTAAGTTTATCAGCCAGCTGGTAAGTGAGCTTCAACATAGGACTTGAGTCTTTTCATTTACTTGTTTCTCTTTATGTTCTTTGATTAACTTTCTTTTGTTAATTTAATTTGATGGGCAAATCAGTACCTGTTAAAATTTTATTGTATATTCTGGGCAAAACAAAACTTTCAATTGTATATGCCTGATATTGTTTTTTTTAAGGAATTTATATAGCAGTCTTGTTTTCAGTTAACTAATCTAACCGTCAACTAATCAAAAAGATTCTTGTGATTGGAAGAGAACACAGGCCCGAGTCTCCTGAACTCTTGTGGGTTGTGGCCTCCTTTAAGAGCCTAATGAAAGGGTGTACATTTGGTGTTCACGTACACCTGGGTCTGATTCAGGCTCTGTTGTTTACTACCTATTTGATCCTGAGGAAGCTATATCTTTTTGAGATTCAGCTTCTTGCTTTGTAAAAATGATGTTAATAAAACCTACCAGGAGAGATTATTGTGAAGATCAAACAAGATGTTATATGCAAAACACCTGATATTTAGTAACTGCGCAATAAATTTTAGTTATCTTTCCTAAAAATATGTGTCTTTTACAATATTGCTGATGTGTATTAAAGACTAATGACTTATATACAACAAATATGATTTCTTATCTCTCTCATTTTGGTATCTACCCTCAAAATAGCCATTTTAAGTAAATCTGTCATGCTTAAATACAACTAGCTTGAATCAGATTACTCAGAATTTAATATTAATAGAGCTGTACTATTTAATATGGTCCACTCCATTTTGTAAATTTAGCTTTTATTTTACTCTACGTCCATCTTATTTTTGTCAGTAATCACTGTAACTCTAAAGAAATTGTTTCTGATAGTTTCCATGGAAACTCCTATTAGATTGCAGGTAGAGCAGTTGTTATTTTACGTATACTTAAAAGATATTTTTGTCTCAGATATGCACTGTGCTCGCTTCATGTAGCATGGAATTCTCAGAAGCACTCCTTAATTGTATCCTACTTGGACCTCTGACCTCTTACTAGGACCTGCCCTGTAATCTTATAAGATTTAGGAAATAGAGGCCATATCATATGACTTAACCCCCTTGGCATGAAGCTTATTGACCCTCAGGCTGTGTCATTATGCTCAGCAAAAATGATGCTTCACATTTCATAAGTGAAGTGGTTTCATGAAGAGCACAACAGCTTGTCTCACTGCTTTAGATTATCACCAGTACTCACATTGTGCATTCTAAAAGCGATTTTCCTTGTGCTGTTTTATCTTCAGTCTTTTGTGAAATGAGAGAGTAAGAGGAACTCCCTAGAATTTCTGATTCTGATCCAGGTATCTATGCACATTTCCAAATGGGTATATGGTGGGCATTTCAAATGTAACCGGAACAAAACAGAACTCTTATTTTCTACTCTTATTCTTATCCCAATCATGTTCTTCCTTAAATATACTTCATTTCATTAAACTAAACCATTATTCTTCCAGCTACTCAAGCTAAAAAGGTTATTCCTCTCTTTCCTTCAACCTTTTTATTCAGTTAATCTGTAAATCTTTCTACTCCACCTCTAAAACACATACCAAATTTGTTTTTCTTCAGCTGTACTCCTACCTCCCTAGTCCAAGCCACTTTTATCTCTGGTCCACACTACAGAAATAGCCTGAATTCCTGTTTCCTCATTCTTATCTCACTACAGTCTGTTCTCTGTCAAGCAGTGAGATGGGTCTTTAAGAAATGCAAGTCAGCTCATGTCACTTTCCTGCTTAAGGCCCTCCTATTGTATCTGTCATTACTTAGCATAAAATCTACAATCCCAGGCTCACGCCTATAATCCCAGCACTGTGGGAGGCCAAGGTGGGTGGGTTACCTGAGGTCAGAAGTTCGAGATCAGCCTGGCCAACATGGTGAAACCCTGTCTCTACTAATAATACAAAAAATTAGCCAGGTATGGTGGCATGCGCCTGTAATCTCAGCTACTCGGGAAGCTGAGACAGAAGAATCGCTTGAACCCAGGAGGTGGAGGTTGCAGTGAGCTGAGATCGTGCCATTGCACTCCAGCCTGGGCAACAAGATCGAAACTGTGTCTCACAAAATAAAATAAATAAATAAATAAAAATAAATTCTACATTCCCTTCCTTTGAATGACAAAGTCCCAGGTGACATGGCTTTTGCCTGCCCCTCTGACCTCCTCACAGAATTCTCCTCTTCTTCTCCACTGCTATCTTTGGGTCCATAAGATGCAATCTAATTTGCACTTTAGGCTCTGTAGTATAGCTTTTTAGGCTCTCTCTAATAGCTATTTTATCTGCCTGGAAAGCTCTCTATACTGCTGTTTGGGTAGCTTGTTCCTTCTGGTTGAGTTTTAGGTTCTTATCTTAAATGTAGCCTCTTTAGAAAGGCTTTTTCTGCCCACCCAATCTAAGTAGCCCCCAGACACATCACTCTTAATTTTAATTCTCTGTAGTGTCCTTATTATTAGGTAATTTTTCCCCCTTCTTAGTTTTCCTGTTCATCTTCATCCACTAGAATATAAGCTATATAAAAGCAGAGACTTACTTGTTTTGTGCATAGCTGTATCCCTAAAGTCCAGAAGAGTGCCTGGAACATAAAAAATGTTCAGTAAATCATATAATATCTATCACACTGGAGACTGTCCTGCTTCTTTTGAGAGACAGTGTCATAATATGGTTATTATATAGATGTTAGACTCGTACAACTAGGTTCAAATACTAGTATTGAATCTTACAAACTGTGAACTCAATAGCAAAGACATGGAATCAACCTAGGTGCCCAAAAACAGTGGGTTGGATAAAGAAAATGTGGTACATATACACCAGGGAATAATTCACAGCTGTGGAAAGAATGAAATCATGTCCTTTGCAGCAACATGAATACAGCTGGAGGCCATTATCCTAAGTGAATTAACACAAGAACAGAAAACCAAATACTACTGCATGTTCTCCTAAGTGGGAGCTAAACATTGGGTACTCATGGACATAAACATGGCAACAGTAGAAACTGGGGATTGCTAGAGGGGAGAGTGAGGGAGAGGGGCAGGGCAGGGGTTGAAAAACTAACTGTTGGGTTCTTTATTCACTGCCTGAATGATGGGATCATTCACACCCCAAACCTCAGCATCACGTAATATACCCAGGTAACAAACTTGCACGTGTACCCCTAAACCTAAAACAAAATTTGAAATTATTAGAAATAAATAAACAAAATGTTTTTCCCCCTAAAACCAAACAAATTGTGTCTAATGTTTTGCACTTAATTTTCCATACTATGGAGTGGAGATAATAGTATATCCCTCATAAGTTCTTTTGTGAAGATGAAGTAATGTCTGGAAGTACCTAGTGGTGGTAGTAGTAGTACTAATGATAATAATGATTTTTCATGCTATGATGACAGCAGTGACAACTTTTTAAGCAGCTAATCTTTATTGAGTACTTAATGTGTTACAAGTAGTGCTTTACATTTAAATCTCACAGAAATCCTCTTGCCTAGACCAGTTTGGTTGGGGAGACCCTAACCCAGCGGCGCTAGAGGAATTAAAGACACACACACAGAAATACAGAGGTGTGAAGTGGGAAATCAGGGGTCTCACAGCCTTCAGAGCTGAGAGCCTCTAACAGAGATTTACCCACGTATTTATTCACAGCAAGCCAGTCATTAGCATTGTTTCTGTAGATATTAAATTAACTATAAGTATCCTTTATGGGAAACAAGGGATGGGCCGAATTAAAGGAATGGGTTGGGCAAGTTAACTGCAGCAGGAGCATGTCTTTAAGGCACAGATCCCTCATGCTATTGTTGTATGGCTTAAGAATGCCTTTAAGCGGTTTTAGGCCCTGGGCGGGCCAGGTGTTCCTTGCCCTCATTCCTTAAACCCACAACTTTCCAGAGTGGGCGTTATGGCCATCATGAACGTATCGCAGTGCTGCAGAGATTTTGTTTATGGCCAGTTTTGGGGCTGGTTTATGGCCAGATTTTGGGGGCCTGTTCCCAACATCCTCTTTTGTAGGTGTTATTACTATTCCCTTTTGAAAAACTCACAGCACAGGGAAGTAAAGTAACTTACTTAAAGTCACCCAAACTCTGGCAGACCCTATTACCCAGCCACTGCTGCCTTCCTTCTCTTCATCTATAGTGCCTAGTACTCCATAAATAAACAACAGTGGTTACTACTGATGTCTTCTTGATGTTTATTGTTCTTCTTTCATTCATTTCTAATTAACTGATGTTTATTGGACCTCTCTGATGTAGGAAGTTTGTAATAAATAATAGTGGTTGAGAGAGCTAATAGCCTGATGGAATTTATGCAGAACTCAAGGCGACCAGTGCTTTTGTATACATTCACTCTGTCTCTCTCCTGGATTCCTCCAGTTGTTTCCTACTGAACTTTGCTACTAGAGCCATAACCTCTCCTTGTACAATCACCCTAGTCAATGCACACTATTGTTGCCTGGGTGATTTTTCTAAAATGAACTAACCCTTAAGTGGTTACTTAACACCACTCATCAGCTCTCTGTCTCCTGCAGGGTTGAAGTAGGGACTTCAAGGAAAGCCTCTCTGGAAGTGATATTTAACTCCTAGAAATAGGAATCAGTGGAGAAGTTGGGGTAAGGAGGACTCTAGGCTGAGGATCCTGGGGCTAGATAGAGCTGGGTATTTAAAGCGTACTGAAAAGGCCATTATGGGTAAAGCATTGTGAATGACAGGAATGGGTGAGAGGAAGGCCTGGGATGGGCAGGGTCTTGGGAGCCTTGAAGATGTTTGAATTTTATTATAAATGGAAGGGAAGGTGAAAATTTGAAGCAGTGGAGTTGTAAGGCTGGATTAGTATTTTATGATGATTCTCTGTCTGTTATGTAAAAATAGACTGGAAGGTGACAAAAAGGCGGGGAGCAACCTCATGGCCGAAGCTGTGTGTCATATAGCTCTATGTTTAACACCTGGCACCATGCTGGGTGCATAGGGCCACTCAATCTATGTTTGATAGTGAATGGCTGTGAAGGCACAGATATTGAGTATATCATCATTCTGGATTCAGAAGATGTGGCCACCTTGATTATGCATTAGAATCTACATATCTCTGACTCAGTAAACTCACTTTTGGAAGAATATTCCTGTGGCCCATTTCCTGTTAAACGGAGAATAAACTAACTTTAGAAAGTGAGTTTATTGAATCAGAGGTATAAATGGTAGGTAGGTTCTAATGCATAATTAATTAAGGTGCATATATACAAATATAAAATGTATATGTGTCACGAGGTCAGGAGATCGAGACCACCCTGGCTAACGTGGTGAAACCCCCTCTCTACTAAAAATACAAAGAAATTAGCCGGGTATGGTGGCGGGCGCCTGTAGTCCCAGCTACTCGCAAGGCTGAGGCAGGAGAATGGCGTGAACCCGGGAGGCGGGTCTTGCATTGAGCTGAGATTGCACCACTGCACTCCAGCCTGGGTGACAGAGAGAGACTCCGTCTCAAAAAATAAAAAGTATATGTGCGAAATACATGTGTGTGTATATATAGTAAAATCTTAGATACAGTTAGTTTTATATCATGATGCTATTCTGTTTTCACATTTTAAAATGGCATATTGACCCTTCTATTCTGAGGAATAGTCTGCAAAGCTACACAAGGTCCTTGATTCTTTGCTTGATTCAGGCAGAAGGATGCATTTAGACATTTAATTTACCTCTGAACAGATAATGGACTTTTAGAAAATATATGCAATTAAGACATATCTTTTATGGTTTTGGGACACATCTATTTTCAAATCCCTGATTAGAAAACAACTGCCCATTGCGGTGGCTCATGCCTGTAATCCTAGCACTTCAAAAGGCCAAGGCAGGCGGGCTGCTTGAGCCCAATTTGAGACTAGCCTGTGCAACATGACGAAACCATCTCTACAAAAAATACAAAAATTAGGCTGGGTGCGGTGGCTCACGCCTGTAATCGCAGCACTTTGGGAGGCCGAGACGGGCGGATCACGAGATCAGGAGATCGAGACCATTCTGGCTAACACAGTGAAACCTCGTCTCTACTAAAAATACAAAAAAGTTAGCGAGGCGTGGTGGTGGGCACCTGTAATCCCAACTACTCGGGAGGCCGGGCAGGAGAATGGCGTGAACCCAGGAGGCGGAGCTTGCAGTGAGCCGAGATCGTGCCACTGCACTCCAGCCTGGGCGACAGGGCGAGACTCCATCTCAAAAAAAAAACAAAAATTAGCCAGGTGTTGTGGTGCCTGGGATGGCTGGTTGGAGGTTGTGGCAGGAGGGACAGCTTGAGCCCGAAAGGTTGAGGCTACAGTGAGGTCGCACCACTGCACTCCAGCCTGGGTGACAGAGTGAGACCCTGTCTCAAAAATAAATAAAAAGAAAACAAGTAATAGAAAATTGTAACTGCATATATTACATATTTAGTCTTGAAGATGCTTTCTGATGGTTCATTGTAGCTTCTAGGATCTGTGTTTTTTTTTTTGTTTGTTTGTTTGTTTGTTTTTGTTTTTGAGACAGGGTCTTGCTCTCTCACCCAGGCTGGAGTGGAGTACAGTGGCACTGTCACAGTTCACTGCAGCCTCGGTCTCCTGTGCTCAAGCATTCCCTTCTGCTGGGCCTATAGGTGTGCACTACCATGCCTGGCTAATTTTTTTTTTTTTTTTTTTTTTTTTTTTTTTTTTATTGTAGAGACAAGTCCTCACTATTTTGCCCAGGCTGGTCTGGAACTCCCAGTCTCAAGCACTCCTCCCAACTCTGCCTCCCAAAGTGCTGAGATTATAGGCGTGAGCCACTGCACCTGGCCTCTGTGATGTATTTTGAATACATTCATACTTGTTCTCATTTTCTTTTTCACATTAGGCCTTCGTTGCCTTGATTAGAAATGGTTTTTAAAAGATGAAACAATTGTTGCTGTTTTTTATTTTATTATTTGTTACCTTTTTCTTATAGACTTTATTAGTTTATTTTACCAACAATCACATGATTATTAGTCCATTAAAAAAGAATTATTCTTTATGTTTAACTTACTGGTTTTATAGCTTTCTTCTCTTTCAGTTCATATTTCACAAATTTTCTTGAGGATGTTGGTTTGTGTAGATGAACAGTTGTGGTACCTAAACATTAAGTGATTTCCAACAGCCTTAATGAGAATTTTTTTAAAGTTATTTTTAATTGACAAATAGTAATTGTATATATTTACAGGGTACAATATAATGTTTTGGTATATGCTTACAGTGTTGGATAATTAAATCAGGCTAATTAACAAATCTGGCCCCTCACATACTTACTATTTTTTCGTAATGAAAACATTTAAAGTCTACTCTTCTAGCAATTTTGAAATATATAACGTTTTATGATTATAGCCACCATTCTGTACAGTAGGTCACTGAAGCTTTTGCCTCCTATCTAACTGAAACTTTGTACCCTTTGGTCAACATTCGAGAATCTTGTGTAATAATTGAAATTTGTCATTTTTATAGGTTCTGATATATGTCATATATGCTCTTTTTTCAAAATATATATCATTGATTTTTCATTTGTCATATAAAATCTTTTAAAGTTCTGATATATGTCATATATGCTCTTTTTTCAAAATATATATCATTGATTTTTCATTTGTCATATAAAATCTTTTAAAGTTTATTGTTTTACTCCCTTTGTTATTAATAGCCTCACAGTGTTTACATGGCCCTCCTTTTTGGCAATTTAAGATTCAAGTCTTGTAGCTCAGGACTGAAATAGGCACCAGCCATAGAGATGAACACTTATGCTGTTATTTGGATTATAGATCAAGTCTTATTGCTAAAGCTGTGGATGGAGACTAGGAAGGACAGACACAGAGTCTGGGATTGGGCTGTTGAGCTGTGGATAGTTCCTCTTCGTACATATTTTAGCTACCTGGTATGTTTTGAAAATATACTCATCAGGTGCTTAACTTGTATTCTTTATTATATTTCTGTCTTCCTCCAATAGTTGAACCAGTAAATAATTTTCTGTATACTAAAAAAAAATGTGGTACATTTACTTTGTATATTAACTTTGGTTGCATTAACTTTGTCGGCTCACTTGTAAATATCTGATGATTGATAAGTTATAAATCAACAATATGTCAAAAAGAATTAGCTTGTTGTGACTTCAGTCAGTGGACTATTTTCTTGTTTTTTTTTTTTTGAGATGGAGTTTTGCTCTTGTTGCTCAGGCTAGAGTGCAATGATGCAATCTCAGCTCACTGCAACCTCCATCTCCCAGGTTCAAGCGATTCTCCTGCCTCAGCCTCCCAAGTAGCTGGGATTACAGGCATGCGCCACCATGCCCAGCCAATTTTGTATTTTTAATACAGGCAGGGTTTCACCATTTTGGCCAGGCTGGTCTCGAACTCCTGATTTCAGGTGATCCTCCCGCCTCAGCCTCCCAGAGTGCTGGTATTACAGGTGTGTGCCACTGCGCCTGGACTATTTCTTTCATGGGGTTTTCTGCTTACAGGACAGCTTATTGTTAACTTTTTATAATTCGCATCTAAACTTTTAATGGCTTCTGATTTAGGATGATTTCAGTCTCATCTTTTTTTCACTGCCTGCTAAATAAGTTTTGTCATGAATTTCCATCTTTGTAGCTAAATGGGAGTCATGCAAGTCTAACTTCAAAAATTAAGGACAAGAGACTAAACCTTTAAATTTACTGTGATCTTTGATTTTAAATGTTTTGATATAAGTGTTTGCTGATATATTTTGAAGATGGAAGTTGGGACATCTCAAGTTCTAGCATGCTTTTTCTTTCTTTTTCTATCTCGGGAACTTGACCACAGATCTCGATGTCCTAATAGAGGCAGCCTTATTATTTCCTCTGTCCTTAAGCAAAAACAATACATTTAATAAGTTTTGAGTAACGGAACATTCTATGGCTAAATGACTCCAAAGTGGGCATCACTCTTAGGCTTTGGCCAACTTGATGCTATAGATTTGATTAGGGGACTTCATCTGGAAATTTGTAGTGAGAAACCCAGATGGAACTCTAGAGAAAATACACTGTGCATCATAAGGCTTTGCTAAATGTAGGAAATAGAACCATGCCCCATTTGGTGACATTTCTCTTAGCAAATTCCCATGCTTCCAAATAACATTTAAAAATATGTCGTATTTTTAAAATAATTATTTAAAAAATAATCTTAATTAAGCAGCTTTATTTGGTATTACGGTAAGCATTGATAGAGAGTGTTAATCATTTCTATTGATGTTCTTCCTGCTTTGACAGTTTTCCTGTTCAAATTGAGCCCCTTTTAACTGTGGCTTATATAAACATGTTTATTTTATTTTTAGAGTCAGGATCTTCCTTGATCTCCCAGGCTGGAATGCAGTCGTGCAGTCATAGCTCATTGCAGCCTTGAACTTCTGGGCTCAAGTGATCTTCTTGCCTCAGCCTCATGAGTAACTGGGACTACAGGCATGTGCCACCATGCCCAGCTAATTTTTTTTTTCTTGTTTTAGGGACAGGATCTTGCTATGTTGCCCAAGCTGGTCTCAAGCTCCTGTCCTCAAGCAATCCTTTCTTCTCAGCCTCTCAAAGTGCTGGGATTATATGAGTGAGCCTTGATTTTTAAAGTGTAAGGCCTTAACTTTCATTTGTGTTAAGCAGATTTTATGTAGTCCACTGGTAGTTTTCATGATAAATATCTTTAATATAGAGGTTTTTAAAATAAAAGCGTGTTTTCTTAACTTACGTATTTCTAACAGAAATTATTTTAGTTTTGTGGAATCTTTTTATATAAATTTCTTTCTGTGCCCATTCAGAGATCCTCTTGTTTGGTTATCTTTTTTTCATGGAAATACACAGTAAGGCTCAATTAGTTTGTTATACCCACTTTATCCCAATTCTTAATAGGCTTGTAGCTTTGATAATAATCATTTGCTCAATGACCTCAAGGATAAAAAGATCTATCAGGATGTAAGGTTTTAGTTATTATAATTTGAAGAAATAAACTATTTGAGAGTTAGAATTTATCAGTGCACTCTTTCTTCTGCTGTATCTCATTTTCATTATATTGATACTTATACCTAAGACCTATACCAAATTTAAGTCCTTCTTAGTTTTTTAAATTCTACTATTTAAATATTTCTTGAATATTTCCTCCCTTATGCATTACTGGTGTCACTGTCTTAATTCAAGGCCCTAGAATGATTGTTTTGACCCAAACTAGACTTTTATGCCTAGGGCTTACTCCCTGTCTAGCAGTCATTTGCTCTGCCAACAGATATATCTTCTAGAGTTTGGATCATATGATGCCCCAGTGGCTCTTCAGTTTCTAAAGAATAAAATGCAAACCTGGAATCTGCTGTTCAGCATCCTCCCTGTTAGACTTCTGGATACCTATCCAGCCTCCTGTCTTCCTCACATTCTCTGCTGCAATGTTATTAATGTACCTGGCAGTTCCCAGGAGGGTCACTCTCTTTCTGGCTTCTGCACCTTTATCATGAAGTTCCCTCTGTATTAAATAGCCTTTCTCTGTAAGCTTGGTGCACTCCATAATCTTTTATTCTGCTCTAGTGATCTCTTGTTTTTACATATTTTCTGACAACTCCCTTCTCTGCATTTCAGGTTTCAATTAATTGCTCTACTGGTTCCCATGACATTTTATACAGGCTTCTTTTGGCTCTGATGTCACTGCATTGCTATTAGATAATTATATATCTTTTTTCTTTACTAGGCTATGAAATCCTTCAGGTCATGGACAAGATTTGTTGCAGCTTTGTATAGCCCCTGATACAAGGCTTGGTGCTGGGGACTCAATGTTGAATAATAATACAAGTTGAATGAATTAATTAATCATGTTCGAAGATTAGTACAGTTTTGGTTCAGAATGAACTTTCCAGCACTATGTGTTGTCTAATAATTTAAACTTTTTACTTGGTGAATAAAATTCAGTTTATTTATTTTCCTGCAGGTTTTGAATAAGAACATATTTTCATAGTAAAAAAAAGTCTTCTACTGGTCAAGTCCGAAAAGTTTCAAAATTCAGACTCATAAAATAAATGTAATAAATATAACAAAATACTGACCTAGGTTTATAATAGCTTTATGACGTGGTGAGGGCACTTTTGATTTTTCTATTAAACTGTGGACAGCATCTCCAAGGCCAAACTACATGGCTCTGACTGCTTTTACCCCTTGTATACAAACTTTGAGCTATCTCTGTGTACTGATTTTTTCTTTCCCTGAAGAGAAAATGGAAGAAATCACATAGATTATTCATCTACATTGTAATCCAAATGTAAGTCACCAGTAGCATGTTTATTCCTTCATGCATAGGGTGAGTCAGTGCTATTTAATAGGCCTTGTGTGTCATAGTGTGAACTTTACCTAAGATACCGAGGAATTTGAACTTAACCATTTAAATTTCAGGAATATGGTAAAGAAAGAGAAAATTATATACTTTTAAATAAAATAGAGAAAAGCTTCCTAAATCTTGCCATCTAGAGTAAGTTTCAGAATAAGAAGTGATATAACATCTATTTCTGGAAAAGTCTTGAACATAGTGCTAAATAATGCACTAGAGAAAAAAATCTATGTTTTTACCTTAGACCTCTTTAAAGCAGAGTCTAGCAATTATCATGTATTTAATTTACAAGATGAGAGTTATTTTTATTCTTGTGAACTGCAGTTGTCTTCAACTAATATGGTATTGAAATGGAAATAGAAAGAAGTGAAATCTAGGTAAAGGACAGATGCGTCAAGTAACATGACAGCTGAAATGGTTCATTTACATGGCTGACATGGACAGAGTGCAGCGACCAATACCAGAATTGCTTAGAAACCCCTTCATATTTTGGGGAAAATTGTCATTAAAGCAGTATTTCTGATTTAAATGTTACCTTGGAAGCAGGTTATATATTGCTGTGAAATTTTTTTTTTTTTTTTTTTTTGCTTTACCTGAAAAAAAGAAACAAAGCATATTTCAGTGTTTAAATCCTAGGTCTTCCACTTGCTACCAGTGTGACCTTGGTTAAGTTACTAAACCCCATTTAAAAAAAAATCTTTAGAATGATAATGATAGTACCATTATTATTAGGAGAGTTATTGTGAGGATTAAATGAAATCATATGTAAATAGCTCTCAACAGTACTTTGCGTGTGGTAAATGCTCTGATATTGTTAGTTCTTATTAGGATGCTGATAATCATACTATAATGATATTATTCTTAACCTTTTTGAGCTCTTTGGTTAAAATTAAATTTATGTGTTTATATTCATTCTGGCATGTTGCATATTGACAGCACCCACTAAGCATGGTGTTCTGGGCACACTGGTGAATTACAGTAGCATAAAGAAATGACCTTGTCCAGAATAAACAGACCAAAATAATGAATGTATTTTAAAAATATCAGATCCCTGAATAGAGTCTGGAGATCTTGTTTTTGGTGTTGGTTTTATGCTTAACAAGCTCTGCATCCTTGAGCAAGTTGTGAATTCCTTCCACGAAATAAGGGACTTAGACCAGATACTTGTTAATATTTTTTTCTGCTTCAAAATATTATGGCACTCAATCATTGACTGTCGGGGGAGTTAGGGGAAAGTACTTATACGGTTTTAGGGCCGAGGCTGGATGATTTCAAGGTAGATCTTACAAGGTGGAGAACTGATTGTGATTGTGAGAGTTGAGCTGATGAGATAATAGCTTTGGATTTGTCAGTACGGTGATGCAAAGATCTTAAAGCAAGCTTTGATGAACAAGATGTTAGTTTTGATATTTAAGCTGTTTTAGTTGGTTCATGATCTTACTTTCTAGGGATTGTAGAGCTAGATTTTCCTAAGACAACAAAGCTGCTGTCTAATTTTGATCTCTGGCATCTTCAACATCTCACACCCTCTCTTCTTCCCTCCCCTCTTCTCTCTCATTTTTTTTTTTTTCGCAAGATAGTAGTACTATCACTGTAGAGCCTTGGATCTAATTAAATTCAGATCCAGTTAAGCGGGTTTGGGATAGGGCCTGAGAAACTGCTATTCTAACAAGCTCCCAGGTGAGGCCCTTGCTGCCTGTGGATGGCCTGCACTTTGAAGAGCAGAAGTCTATCTACAGCATCATATTTGTTGAGCAGCAGTCCTTTGTGCCATCTTCATCTCTTCTTTGTCTTCTAATTCAGATTGCAGATCTTGGGCTCTGAATTAAGCATCCTCATATTCCAAACTTGAACTTAGTCTTTGAATAAATATGTCATTATCTGCATCCCTGATTCCCACTGGGCATAACCCCACAGTTCCTGGGTGTGATCCATGGCTGTTTTTGCAGCTTCCTTTCACTGGTATGGCACTCTGCTTCTGTCAGTTTGCTGGTGTACTCCAGGTTCTGACTTCTGGCCTGGATTTACCTGGCCCAGATCCTTTTACTCATCTGAACCCACTTCAGGGTTCCATGTTGAGGCCATTGCTGTACATTGCTATAAACGTTAAAATTTCCAACTGTTGCTCTTGGAAATGAGTATATATATATACATCTCCTGTCTCATCTGTTTATCGTTCATGACTACAGTAATTAGTGATCCCTTCTGTGTCCTGAGGATCATGTAGTTCTCCTTTCAGTAGGGAGCTCTGCTTCAGGATGTAATGACTGCCTCCATTTTCAGAGAGTTGCCTAACCAATTGAATGGAAATCAGAGGTATAACTGGTTAGCACTAGAAGTTAAGCTGATTTCCGCCCGAGTCCAGTTTATTTTTCCACATGTGTATCTTTGAGAAACTGATGTGCTAATTGCTTAAAGGTCTTTGTGGAGGCTCTTTCTGATGCTGGTGGGATTGGGTTCCTTCCAGCCTCTTTCATATTTCATGCAGCTTATAATTTAAAAGAGAACAATAGTATTAAACACTGGCTTTAGAAGTTCTTTTTTTCCTAAGTATCCTTGTAAGATTCAACAATATTATGGAATGACCGTAAAAATAGTGGTAGGTGCTTCAAGAAATATAATTTTCTTTGAAAAGTAGAGGAAACAGCAAACAGTCTTCAAACTAACTACAAAAAACTGACAAGTTCAAGGCTGATTTCCATTGTAGTTTCATGTTACAGAAGTAGTTTAGTTTCATTTGCTGTAGTATAAGCTGAGTACCTTCAATATCCATTGTCATAACTCCAGTTTTCATTTCAATTTTTTGCTGCAATAAAATTCTTATAACTAAATTATAATGCAAATTAAAGTACTGCAAAATTTTAATAGACGTAATGTTCACCCATAGTCACATTCTTTCAGTTTCGTATTACATAAAAAACTAATAGTCCATAAAAATATGGTAAAGTTAAGCTACACTTAGAATAGACATGAAAAAAATTTTAAGCCAAACTAGATGGTCTGAATAGCATATTGAATGATGAATTAGAACTTAAAGAATGCCTATTATAGCTTTCCAGTTCTGTAATTTTAAATGTATTTATTAGAAAGTAGATTAATTTACATTTTGATGTCTTCATTATAATGTGGATGTGACAACTTCGTACTCATTTTATACTTCTCTATGAGATATTTGGTTCCTCTCCCAAGGGTCGTGAGTTTGCTTTGTCTCCCACAGAGACAGCATGGTTTTCTGGGATGTTTGACAACTAGCTTTAGTTAGGCATGACGGTTGTTAGTGACTTTTCGTGAAATTAAGGTTAGCTCTGAATAGTCATGCTTCAGAAATGATCATTCATTTTGGTTATGAAATTTTTCTTGAAGACTTATTAGCATCACTCCTGTGTAGCACAGGGTCATATTTTATTGGCGCTTTTATCCCTCATCTGACATAATTAATGCTCTTCCCTCTGGCATGGTTAGAAAAAGTGGTAATCTTGGTTTTCTGCAGCTCCTGCTCATAATCACTAAACTACCCATTGCAGCCCAAGGCTGCTTTAACTTCACATTATTTCACTTAGTTGTCTTTTTCTGTTTTTAAAAATTACTGATTATTTAATTTGCTGATTTAAAAATCATTATGTGGGTCATCCATTCTTGGATTGATCAAGAGGATTCTGACATTAACCTGACAAAGCCAATTAATCCAGAAACCATTGGTTTCCCACATTGTGCCCCAGTCCTGTCCTAAGTGCTGAAGTAGATGACAAAATTTAAGGCAAAGAAGAGAAGACAATTCGTATTTAATATGCACTGTGTGTTGCTTTATTTAAAATATTTCACTTAAGCCTCACAACATCCCTGTGAGGTTATATAATTTTCTCCACTTTTCAGATGAGAAGACCTAGCTCAGAGAGAGCCCAGGTCTTGAAAGTTACAAAGTGATACAGCTGTGATTGCAGCCCAGTTCTTCCTGTTTTCAAAACGCTTGTTGTTTCCATGACCTTTTAGCTATGAAGACCTTCCATGACCTTTTAGCTATGAAGACCTTCTGTGACCTTTTAGCTATGAAGACGTTCTCCCCTCCAGCAGTTTGTTGATACTCTGAGGGCTGGGGTAGGGGAAGGCAGTTTCTCTCTTTTACTTGATTTAACATTGGGTTTAACCTTATTCACTAAAGAATGAAAGCTGGCTTGTGAAAAATGTGGCTTGGATTCCGTATGAGAAAGTTTGGTCAGTTAACGATTATACTATAGGTAGGTCTTTGCAAGGCACTTCCTTAGACGGATTCTCAGGACAGCATTGGAGCAAATCACTGAAGTCTAGGGGTTGTACGTAAGTATAGTGTGGGAAAGGCTAATGCCATCTCTTCCTTGTTTCACTTAGCCAATAAACAAAACTTCAGTGTGTTTCTATTGGAAGAAAATTAACTAGCATTCATTACCTACAAACTCTGTACTGTCCTTCAGAAGTATATCTAGTTTTATTCTGGTTTTTATTTACAGTCAGCTTACTTTGCTAATTTATAGTTTATTGTGTTTTTTCCTGCTAACATTCAAGACTTCCCATATTCATTTTAATTATACAGATTATAATTTCTATACAATTTCTAATTGTAGTAGTAACATTCACATTAAATGTACTGCTGAATTTTGCCAAGACAAGAATATAGAACAGGCTTCATCAAAGTGTAAATGAGAAGTGGAAATGGTTTGGGTCTATTTTTCAAAATGCTGAATGACTTGAAAGTATTACTTCTGTACGACTTGCGTAGAATAATGTATGACACAATAAAATGCCTAATATAACATCTTTATCAGTATAATAACAAGACATAATACAATTAATTTTTTTTTTGAGATAGGTTCTGACTTTATCACCCAGGCTAGAGTGCAGTGGCAGTGATCTCCGCTCACTGCAACCTCTGCCTCCTGGGCTCAAGCGATTCTCCCACCTCAGCCTCCCATGTAACTGGGATTGCAGGCACACACCACCATGCCTGACTAAATTTTGTATTTTTAGGAGAGATGGGGTTTTGCCATGTTGTCCAGGCTGGTCTGGAGTTCCTGGGTTTAAATGACCCACCCACCTTGGCCTCCCAAAGTACTGAGATTATAGGTGTGAACCACCATGCCTGGCCTATTAAATAATTTCTTTTTTTTTTTTTTTTTTTTTGGAGACAGAGTCTCATTCTGTCACCCTGGCTGGAGTGCAGTGGCGTGATCTCAGCTCACTGCAACCTCCACCTCCTGGGTTCAAGCGATTCTCATGCCTCAGCCTCCCGAGTAGCTGGGATTACAGGCGCCCACCACCACACCCAGCTAAGCTTTGTATTTTTTGTATTTTTAGTAGAGACGCGGTTTCACTATGTTGGCCATGCTGGTCTCAAACTCCTGACCTCAGGTGATCCACCTGCCTCGGCCTCCCAAAGTACTGGTATTATGGGTGTGAGCCACCACACCTGGCTCTTTCTGTAAAGATTTAAAGTAGTATATAGTGAAGTTCTTTTCCCCTCCATATAATTCAGTTAATATGGTGAACTAAGACTCTGTCATTTAAGCCTTAGAAGTTTGGAATTTTAAATTTTTACTTGTAGTATAAGTATGAAATAATGACCCTGAGTTTCTCTTGAGAAATCTTATTATGTGTTCAGATTAGTATTATTCTCTATAAAGTGATCCACTTGTAAGGCTACATACGTTTATTCTAGTGGTGCTGCCATTGGTCAAATCGTTTTTTAATCATCTTTTTATATCATTCCCATCTCCGTTTATAAGCAATAGAATAACAGAACATAAGAGAATAGAATAGAACACACTCAATAGAAGAGAACAATGAATTACCTTATAGTTATAGTTAAGGTTATTGATGAGTGAGTCTTCACTTCATCTGCACTGATTCGTCACCTTATTCATTGTGGCTGAGTCACAGTAACTTTTGGTAAGGTTTAGACATCAGAGTATAGTAATTTCATTTTGTTAGTAAATACTTATTAAGCACTCACTATGTGCCAGGCACTGTTGGCACTGGGGTTACTTTGGTGAATAAAACAATTGCCATTTATAACATTAAATAACCACTTCTAAATGCATTTGTTTCCTAAAAAGGAGTTCCAAAACTTTATAGAAAGATTAGAATTGTCAGAATACAGCTCTGACCTCACAGAAATCATACAAAATCATAGTATATTATGGGAAGGTAGTATAAATAAGAAAGGAAAATGAAATAGCTAGTTGAGTGATTGCTATTCATAAGGTCAACACATGAAACATCAACCAGGTTTAATATCCTGAAATAGATTTTATAGGCCATGTTCTTTCTCTAAAGGTCACTGGAAGAACTTAATACCTTTTTATTAAAAATAAAATGGGAATGGTGGAATGGGCTTTTCACATATTATTTGGATAAGTTGAATAGGCAAATTTTGCTTCCTTTTTATGAAGTTATATTATTTCATATTTGCCATTTCTTATTTTACATGTGAAATATGTTTCTTACCCACCTTGCTATCCATCATGGAGAAACGTAGACTCTAAATCTTGAGGGTTCAAATGAAGTATAATAATAAATAGGAGTTGTTAAATAAAAGTATGTATATATGTATGTATGCATATACAAATAATTTTGGAGCAATCTCCTGTTTAAAGCAGAAAGTGAAAGCAAGGATTAAAGGCTCAATGCTTCTCAGTGAAGCATTTTTTTTGGTGAGGTTTCATAGTATAAGGAAAAGTGCACATGTACAGTTTGTCTTCACAGAGCCCTGTTTTCAAATTCAGACTGCCATTTAATAACTTCTCTGTGCCTCCATGTGGTATGACAAAGCCATTGTCATTTATTTATCTAGAGATACCAGTCTCACAGCTTTGTCAGGATGATGGGATGGAATAATGTATATAAACTATCTTGTGCAATGCATAAGTAGTTAGGCATTCAAATTTCCTTTTTCCATTTAAAAAATTGCACAAGTAGTAAATGCATATAATATTTTCATATAGCATTTTTACAATCAGAACTATAAAGAATAAAAATCACACTCCTTTCCCTAGTGGTAATCATTTTTAACAATGTGGTGTGTATCCTTCTAGGCATTTTAAAGTACTTAGTTATCTATATATGCATGTACATTTCAAATGTTATACATATATAGTTATTGTTGCTTAGCTTTTCAACACCTAGGATCATGCTAAACATCTTTTCTTCTGTAACATTACTTTTCCACACTGTATTTAGTCTTTCATAATCATATAGAACTACCTTATTCCTTAAACTGTCTTAACATACTTCATTGAATGAAGGTGTCATAATTTATTTATTTATTCCTCCATTGAGAGCACATTTATTCCATAATATTTTAAATTTCGGTGTATGGTGGAACTGTGCAGAAAATAAATCATGGTTTAAGTTTTGTTTCTTTTGTTCTCAAAGAGATATCAGTCATCTTGAAGATGCTCACAGTGCTGAATCTATGTATAGTATATTCAAATCTTTTTAACTATAGAGGTTAAGATGCATCCATTCTAAAGTGAGGAAGACAAATTTTCCAACTTGTCTAATCATGGAAATCTTGCTCAGGAGGTGGAACTACATTATTAAATCAGAGAATGTGGATGGGACAGTAGCAGGAGATAGGGTAGTCTGTGAGAATAAATTTGTAAACTGGTCATCAAAAGTTTCCTGAACACTGCTTCTTGGTCAGGACTTCATACATAGCAGAGCAACTTCACTGCTTTCTTTGGTTCGTTCGTATTTATTTATCTAGAGATAAGGTCTCACTCTGTCGCCAGGCTGGAGTCCAGGTGCGTGATCTTTGCTCACTGCAACCTCTGCCTCCTGGGCTCAAGCGATCCTCCCACCTCAGCCTCCTAAGTAGCTAGGACTACAGGCGTGTACCAGCACACCTGGCTGATTTTTAAATTTTTTTGTACAGATGGGGTTTCGCCATGTTGCCAAGGCCGATCTGGGACTCCTGGGCTCAAATGATCCTCCTGCCTTGGCCTCCCAAAGTGCTGGGATTATAGGCGTGAGCCACTGTGCCTGGTCCCTCACCGCTTTCTGTTGAAAGTCAGTGGTTGACAAAAGATTAAAAAAAAAAAAGTAGTAAAAAGAAAAAAAAAGTTTCCTGAAACATATTTTGTCAGCTTCTGTCCTTTTTCTTCCTTCCTACTAAACATTTATTGTCACCTACCATGTATTAGATATTGTTCCTGTAATTGATCGTCTTCCAATGTAGTATGGAAAATAACACATTAATCAAATGGTGAAAATAAAATGTATTGTGATCACTTTTGATAAACAAGCAGTGATTAAGGTTGCAGAAGATCGAACAATTAACTGCTGTGGGAATTAAAGAAGGCCTCCCCGATAATGTGGATCACTCAGTTCAGTTCATAAATATTTACCGAGAACCTCCTATGTGCCAGCATTAGAGATCCAAAGTTGAGAATGTATTGGATGACTTGTCCTTTCGCTAGTTTGTATCAGTGAAGGAGTAAATCGGAATTTTAAGAAGAAGAAATTATTGCCTGAAGATGATGTAATTTAAATTTCAAAACTGCTTGAAAATATATTGTATCTTGTATAGATGAGTCATAGGACAAACATATAGACTGTTGTTCTATGGGAATGCTTGCTGTCTCAGCAGCTCAAATATTAATGCCTTAATAATTTACTTAATAAGCCAAAGATGTAGTTTGCTGATAGACTGTATGTTCATATACAAGCCTCTTTCCTCTGCTCTCCCATGCCTACCCCGTCTGCAACCTTTGTGCCCTCGTCACCCTCCTGTGTGCATGTATGAGTACCCGGAATATACAAACCTCATGGAACTATGGGACTCTTTGACCTCTATGATAAAAGATCTTCGGATTATGCTTACTTCTTGATTATCTTTTTGGGGAACATCTTGGCCTAGGGATTTGGATTATTCACTGCTTCTTTGTACATACTTCTTAGTTTGTTAACTTCTGCAACACAGTCTTCAAAAATTGTACACCTCAGGCTTTCAGAGATTTATTCCTGATTCTGAAAAATTACTGTTCTTTACATGTCCCATAACTGGAAGATTATCTAATCACAATTAGCTAAGGCAGGAGAAGAATCTGAAGTTGGAAATTAGAACTGGTGAACCTCAAGTTGCTCAGTTCCCAAAATTAGAGAATCATTAATGAAACACAGGTGGTAAACACTGACTGATTCCTTCCCTGGGGTAAGATTCTATTTTCACAGATTTGGTGTATTTTTCTGCTAGAACCCAAAACCCAAAGAAATCTGAAAGTATGTTGTTTGTATAATATTTTTAACTTCCAGTATCAGTATCCAGTAGGGAGTGCTATGTAAAATGTTTTTTAAATCAATATATTGCTTCAGGCAATGAGGATTTTTGCAGACATTAATGCAACTATCCATAAAGCTCTATTATCTAAGCTATTTGTAAACATCATATGCCTGTGATAGGTTTGAAATTGTGCCTTAAAATATTATGTCTGTGAGAAAACATACCTAGACCAAATGTTATATTATTAGGTACAAGAGTTTATATATATATATATATTTTTTTTTTCTTTCCACCTTTTATTTTAGGTTGAGGGAGTACATGTGCAGATTTGTTACATGGGAAAATTGTGTGTTGCAGGGGTTTGGTGTACAGATTATTTCATCACTCAGGTAATGAGCATAGTACCCAATAGGTAGTTTTTCAGTCTTCACCCTCCTCCTACCCTTCCACCCTCAAAGAGGCCTCTGTGTCTATTGTTCCCTTCTTTGTGTCCACAGGTATTCAGTGTTTAACTTCCACTTATAAACAAGCATATGTGGTATTTAGTTATCTGTCTTTGCATTAATTTGCTTAGAATAACAGCCTCCAGCTCCATCCATGTTGCTACAAAGGACGTGATTCCATTTTTTTATGGCTGCATGGTATTTCATGGTATATAGGTACCACCTTTTGAATGAATCCAATGTTGATGGGCTCCTGCGTTGAGTCCATGACCCTGCTATTGTGAATAGTGCTGCAGTGAACATACACATGCATGTGTCTTTATGGTAAAATGATTTATATTCCTTTGAGTATATACTCAGTGATGGGGTTGCTGGATCGAGTGATAGTTCTAAGTTCTTTGAGACATCTCTGAACTGTTTTCGACAGTGACTGAAATAATTTATATATTCCCACCAGCAGTGTATAAGCGTTCCCTTTTTTTCCGCAGCTTTGCCAGCATCTGTTATTTTTTTGACTTTTTAATAATAGCCCCTCTCACTGGTGTGAGATGGTATCTCATTGTGGTTCTGAATTGCATTTCTCTAATAATTTGTAAGGTTCAGCATTTATTCATATGCTTGTTGGCTGCATGTATCTCTTCTTTGGAGAAGTGTCTGTTCATGTCCTTTGCCCATTTTTTAATAGGGTTGTTTAGTTTTTGCTTATTAATTTGTTTAAATTGCTTACAGATTCTGGATATTAGACCTTTGTTGGATGCAGAGTTTGCAAATTTTTTTCCCATTCTCTAGATTGTCTGTTTGCTCTATCGGTAGTTTCTTTTGCTGTGAAGAAGCTCTTTAGTTTAATTAGGTTCCAATTGTCAATTTTTGTTTTTGTTTTTGTTGCAATTGCATTTGGATTCTTTGTTATAAATCTTTGCCATGGCCTATGTCCAGAATGATATTTCCTAGCTTTTCTTCTAGGGTTTTTATGGTTTTAAGTTTTACATTTAAGTCTTTAATCCACTATGAGCTGATTTTTATACATGGTAAAAGAAAGGGATCCAGTTTCAATCTTCTGCATATGACTAGCCAATTATCCCAGTACCATTTATTGAATAGGGAGTCATTTCCCCAATGCTTGTTTTCTTCAATGTTGTCAAAGATCTGGTGGTTGTAGGTGTGCAGCTTTATTTCTGGTTTCTGTAGCCTGTTCCATTGGTCTATGTGTCTGTTTTTATACTAGTACCATGCTGTTTTGGTTACCGTAGCTGCCTTGTGGTGTGTTTGAAATCAGGTAGTGTGATGCCTCCAGCTTTGTTCTTTTCTTAGGATTGCTTTGGCTATTGCCTCTCTTTTGGTTCCATATGAATTAAAAAAATTTTTTTTTCTATTTCTGTGTAAAATGTCATTGGTAGTTTGATAGGAGTATCATTGAATTTGTAAATTGCTTTGAGTAGTATGGCTGTTTTTTTATTTGTATTTGTATTTTTTTGAGACAGAGTCTTGCTCTGCCGCCCAGGCTGGAGCGCAGTGGTGCAATCTTCACTCACTGTGACCACCTCCCAAGTTCAAGTGATTCTCCCTGCCTCAGCCTCCCGAGTATCTGGGACTACAGGTGCATGCCACCATGGCTGGCTAATTTTTTGTATTTTTAGTAGAGATGGGGTTTCACCATGTTAGCCAGGATGGTCTCGATCTCCTGACCTCGTGAGGAGAACTCCAGTGAGTTTAGAATTTAATGACAAATGTGTGATATGTTTTGAAACATAATTTCTCTTCCTCCAGTACTCATTTTTGCTAAAAAACAAAACGAAACAAATCATGATAGGACTGAGTTGTTTGCAACATAGACTTTAGTCTTATACTTATCCTGACTATTTGCATAAAGTACAGCAAGAATAACTATTTCTACATAGGCTTTTTAGATTGGTTTCGATGGAACTCTGTTCCACAAGGAATCTCAGATAAGACCTTTTAAAGCTGAGCCCAGCCATGGGTTTGTATCCTCAAATACCCTGTGAGTTGGGTAACCCTCTCTTAAGGTCCCAAGATAAACTTGGAGTTCGTAGGCCTGTTAGAAAGTGACATTCTTTACTGACCATGGGTTAGGAGCACTGTACAAGAACTGCGTAGGCAATGGTATGAGGCCAGTTTTTACCATGGGGCTTTTATTAGCTATGCAAGTTGAGCTTGACTCTTTAAAGGGAAGCATACCGTTCCAGTGAAATCTTGGTAAAACAACCAGTTTCTCCAATTGTGTCCTGCTGCAAAAGAAAAATGGATTCTTATTGCACTGATGCAAACATCTATATTGCCATAAGTTAAGAATACTCACAGATAGTTTCCAGGTTCATGAGGAATCAGGCAGAGAGAAACAAACATGCTCCAAATTTTGTTCACAGGAATATACCTTACTCAATTATTAAAGGCTATAAATAGTTTAAAATAAGTTTCCTTCACACTGAAAAACAAAACAAGGATCAGCAATATTTCAAGCAGAAGTCAAAAATAATTGCTTCAGCTTTCTGAGTTCAGTCCATTTAGTTCTTGATTTCTTGATATTCATGAACATTTCAGCTCTTCATGAGTCCTGTACATTTTTTCTTTATTCCAATATTACAATCTACAAAGTTATCAGAAACCTGTATTTGAGAGCACCTGTCAA
This sequence comes from Homo sapiens, assembly GCF_000001405.40. Classification (NCBI taxonomy): domain Eukaryota; kingdom Metazoa; phylum Chordata; class Mammalia; order Primates; family Hominidae; genus Homo; species Homo sapiens. The sequence goes on from NC_000016.10 coordinate 47,490,245, forward strand.
AGTTCTATCACTTACTATAAACCATCTTTTGAAAAGAATTAGAAGAAGACAACAATTATCTGTGAATAGAAATGTCCAGGGTAGTTACAGTTAGAAACATAATTGACAAAGAAGTTTGGTGATCTCTGTGGTTTATAATAGCTTAACCTTATGTTTGCTAACATATACTTAGACATTAAATTTTAGAAATTCCATACAGTTTTGGAGCAAATATTAGTATTCACCAAAATATAACCTAAAGAAGATTGAACATCATTCTGGCAATCCCATGTAACTAAACATGTCAGATGATCCTGTTTACCTCTTTTCTGGAGGCTCCAGGGGCCCTCTAAAGCCTTCCAAAAGCCAGGTATCAGGAAAGGCAATTATGAGGCTCAAGTTTGATTTTGGGAAGCCTGTTAAATATGTTAGAGGATTAACACACTTGATGTTATGAAATTGATTTCCAGATTACCATAAATTATTTGACTGAGAAATTTTAATGAAGCAAAAACCTTTTATAACCCTTTCCAAATTTTGCCAAAGGGCAGATCAGTGCCCCAAGAGTACCCTGTTGTGCTTTCATTCCAATGCTCAACCCACAGAGAAACCACATAATAACCCCCAGAACCTAGTCAACATGTTCACACAGAAAGCCTCTTCTGCAAGAATCATTTCCACGATCCTTCTGCCACTTGTTTGAACCTTCAGCTTTACCTTATCTAATTCAAAACAATTCTTTAACCCTAGCCAATACTTTACATTTTCCTATCTTCTAATAATCTTTCATTAAAAACACATTTTACTGTTCTTATACACCTAGCATGTAAATCTATTTCCAGTAGTTTCAATTATGTGTTTTAATGGTACCTCCTAGCAATTTGAACTTTAATGTAAATCCTGGCAAGTTGTTTTAATTGTGTGCCAGATACAGCCAGCATAATTGACTCCTTCCAGCATAAGTAAGGGTGTGGTTAATTCTATATGTCTATAAGGGGACAGACATATAGTTCTATATGTTTGTAAGGAAGTATATGTCCCTTACAGACATATAGAACTATGTCTATATGTCAATTGCCTTACCAGTTGTGAAGCAAGCAAGTCAAATAGTTCTTAAAACCCAAAAGGCAGTTTGTAACCTTAAAACATTTAGTGAGCCTAGTATCTAACCTGCATAATTTAGTCCTCCTATTTACATATTGGTGACATCTGCATTTTACTAATAATCTTTAAGGCTGTTGTTATTTCCCAAAGATTAAAGTCACGTGAACTAAAAGGTACCATAGCTTTTATCTTCCCTTTAAAAAATATTTCATCCAAGCACTTTTCTTCCTTTAGGCCAATTACTTAGAGGTCTTTTTATAGACATCACACTCAACACATATATAGCTACACTGACAGGCAGACTAGAAGAAGATTCAGTAGTTGCAAGACCTTTCATTTGCCAGTCTTTATGTATCTCTCATAATGTGAAGTAATTTCTGATACTCCCAAAAGTAAAAAATGCCAGATAACACAATGCAAAACAGAACAGAACCCTAAATTCTGAGAGGGATTTATCCACTTCCAGTTCCTGGGGTTTCATGAGGAAAACAGAGGTTTTTTGCAAAATGGGGTATCTGGCGCCCCGTGTTTTTCCCAAGGAGTCCCAGGCTGTTGGAGCTTGAATATCTGCTTTTAATTAAACTGACTTTTAGCCATAGCACTCTTTAATAAGGTCCTTTTAAAATTTCTTAATACCTGACTTTAGCCAGGCCAAACAGCTGATATTTCTGGCTTTCAAACTTTACTAAAGGCTCAGAGAAAGAAAATCCAAGTCAGTTTGTGGAGGGGCAGGGAATCAAAAAATGGCAAAGGTCCTGCAGATATCAAACTAGAAAGAACTCATTTCCTAAGGCAGGATTGAACTCCTGGCTGCCATTGTAAAATGGTGAGGCTAGAACAAAACATTGCCACGTGGTTGCAGGCCTTGCTCCCAAGGATGTAAAACAGAATGGAGGCCTGCCACAAAGTTTGCTATGGAAAGATGGACAAAGTACACTAGATTGGCTACAGATTAAGACCAGCCTCACAAATCCTTTTTCACAATTAAAACTCTACTGAGAATATAAACAGTGATCCTTATCATTCCTAGCCTAGTTAAAATGTCTTCTAAAAGGAAAAAAAAGCTAATTTAAAAGTCAACTGCTGATCTGGTGGAGAAAAGGAAAGAAAAAACCAGTTTAAAATGCCTAAAGAGGAACCTCTTATTTTTATGCAAATGGATGCCTCCATCAGTGAGAAAGACTTCATTACTGTTCAAGGGAGTGGGACCTTCTGGCTGGGGGAGCGGAAGGCTCTATGGATGCATGGCAGGGAGAGCTGCCTGCTGTTGGGCACCCTTGGTTCACGCACCCCAGCCTTGGCAGGGAGGGGAGGGTGGCGGGAGCTGCTGCTCGCCCTTCCGTCACAAAAAAGAAAGGAAAATGCCATGGAGACTGAGGCTGACCTTCTCAACACCTGGGAGTGACAGGGGTTGGGGCATGGTTTCCCCTGCCCTCAGAAGTCTGAGGATGAAAAGGCTTAAAAATGAGATAAAAATAGATTTGGTTTGCATCTCACTCACCCTTTCTTAAGCCCCACGTTGGGTGCTAAACTGTTGTAGGACTTTCTCCTTAGTTCACCTAAAAATGGGGTCCTTGTCACACAACCATGAGAGATTAGGCTTGCAGGCACTTTAAAGGGCAAGAAAAATTTATCGGGCAAAAAGGAAAACAAAGGTAAACAGAGAGTCTCAGCAAAGCCAAAGTCTTGCTAGCTGGCTTCCGCCTCATAGATTGAATCCTAGGTACCACCCTGGAACAGGGGAGATCAGGCTCCTCCCTCTGGCAAACAGTGCGCACTTCCTGAGGCTCCACCCCGTTGCACACTCCTCCCAGTGTGCAGGCCAGTTGGAAGTTCTCTGGGGACCTCTTTATGCTTGCTGTCTCATTCCTGAAATGAGGCCAGTACACCAGGAGCAGGAGGGGGGAAGGGAAGAGCAGTTAGAATAAACAGAAAGAGGAAGAGGAACAATTTCAGCAGCACTTTTCATTTTAAAAGTCACTTTATAAAATTTTACATTTTCCTTTTGCAAAGAAATAACTTTGTCAGAACCTCTTTTAGAAACTTCTAAGTATCATTGAAAATAGCTCTCCTAGTTATTTTATTTTAGAGCTAGCTTTTTAAAATTGAGAGTACAGATAAACTAGTTGAGGTATTTTAAAAGTACACTATTTCGACCGTTGTAATTTGGGGTCGTCTTTAGTTACGTGTGACCAGTTTTCTAAATGTTAGCATGAAGAGGCACCATAAGCATTAAATATAAATCCAGCTGGTGTTTCTAAAGGTGGGTCACCCTTTAAGGACAAAGTCTAGGTTTTAGAGATAGTTGTCCATAATTTTCGTTTTCCTTCCTGAATGACCAGAAACCTAGTGGGACTCATGAGAGCCTTTTATTATTTTGGTCACTCAAGAACATTTTAGATTTATCAATTGAACCAAGCTTCAGAATTTAACTGGTTTTTAAAATTACATGTTTTTCACTTAAGCCTCAAAGATTCACTTCCTCTTTTCAAAGACCAAAGTTTAAACTATAGAAAAGGTTGAAAAACTCCAACTAGTAGTTCAAAATAAAACCTTAACTTCAGAGAAAAATGAAAGTCACAAATCCGAGGTCAACAGATCTCTAGAGAATAACAAATGAAACTCTTGCCTTTTATAGAGCTTCACTTCCAACCTCAACTAGTTAAGAATATGTACAAATTGAATAAAGTCTTAATCCTTAATCAAGCCAGGAGGATTCAGATCCCAACAGGGGCCTTAGCAGAGATTCCTGCTGACTTTGGCAAGGTTGGGTGAAGGAGGACTTATCGTATTGGTACCAAGGTGCTGATTGCTGGTAAAGTGGTGGGGCTCTCTAGAGGTCCACTTCCGATCTCATCTAGGGTACCAAAATGTTAACCTTAAATAACTAGATTCCGAAAATGTGATTCATTATAGAGTATTCAAGCCTAAATCTATGTGGAAGCATAGATAGAAGCTGCCCTGAATATATCTTCTGATTAGCATCAGTTACAGGTGGATTTTAAAGGAAAGAGGCAGCTTCTAAGTTGTGTTTCCAGTAACTTATATTAATATAATAAAAGTTATTGATTAGCTCTATATTGTTCTTTGTATCACAAATTCCAGGAACTGGAAGATAATGGGTAAGGCAGCTAGTCAGGAACAAAAATGCCTGTAAACATGGCCCTTGGGTGTGGGTGCATAGGAAGGAAAGTGTGATTGAAGTCCCTTACTCTTGTCTTCCTGAGCCTGGTAAGTTTTGCATACCTCACCTAGCTCAGTCTGCTCTGAGCTATTTTTCTCCTATCATTGATAAGTTTTATTTTACTTTGTGATGTTTGCGTATAGACATAATGCGAATGGGAAAAGCATGGAAAAGAAAAATTAACATTTTACAATTTCATTTCAATTGGAACATTTAGTAGAATTTTCTGTTATTTTGTAGCTCTTTAATTTGCTTTGGGAATTCATGCTCTATTAATTGCTGTCTCCATTTTTACTGGCATTGATGCTTTCCAGATGTCCTATTTTTGTTTAAAATGTTAACATTGATTACTTTTCCTTTGACTTAGATTTGTGGTATTGTTTACCATAAATTGTGTAGAACATCCTTGTTAATTGTGTAGAACATCCTTGTTTAATTTTATGTAGTTACTTTAGAAACAATACAATGATGATCACTAAAATAATAACATTTATCTAACCAAGCTGTTCTTGACTTATCATGGGCGTTCTTTGAATGTATAATTTAGATGATTTTACTTTTACCCTTTTCTGCTATGCTTTGAACATCTTCTATTTTTCCTCTTACTGAATAGATACTTATTTTCTTGAGAGGTCTGATTTTCCTTTTGTTTATTTATTGTTGCCTCTAACAGAACTCCTTTTTTTTTTTTTTTAAGAAAAATTAGATGACAGAATCACTATAGTCCCTTAGTTCTTAAATATCCTAGCACTTTTAAAAATAAATATTTTTAAATCTAAAATCTTGGTATAAATATCATCAAAACAATCTCTCAAAATCAATTCACCTACCATTGTAATGCAGGTTGATTTAAGTTTGCATATTCTATATCCATATGCTCATGTATCATTTAATTTTAATGGAATTATATACTCAGCTCTTGGTGATTTATGTTTTGTATGTAAAGCAAAATACTACCTCTACTAATAGAGATCTAAATAAAAACAGAAATGTTACCCGCAATTCTTCCACCTCAGCAAAGGTGTCCCCTTTAATTTTTATATATACATATGCACAATTTATAAATTATGATTATTTGTACCTAATTTATTTTCTTTCATAGTGAATGAGCTTCACTGGGAGTGTATAGACTCCTAGAGCTTATTACCTTATGCTCTAGCAGTGGCATATTACTCCTTTCTGATTGCCAGGCTACCCATATGCTTATACCTGCCTGGAGCTAGTTGAATACAGGAAGGCAAGGGCATGACTGGAGGGGGCTGGGTCCTTTCCTTTGAAGCAGGAAAGGAGTACTGATGTTCTGTATGTTGATAGGTCTCTCCGTTCCTCACTATGGACCCATTCCTGTTGGTGCCATTGTGAATACTCTTGTAAGAAAATCTTCTTTTCGCTCAGAGCAAGTCTTATCTACAAATTACCTATCTTTTCAGCAGAAGATAATGAGACTGTTGCCTGAATGTATAGGCCCTTTCTTTACGTTCTTCTTATTGTTACTATCTGCGTAAACATAAAGGCTTCCCAAAACCTTGGCTTTAAACTAGGATGTTGGACACAGCAATTTTATGAGCATAAAGGCTTTAATTTTCTTTAAAAACAGAATCTTAATCTGTGCCAATGTGATTTCTGCCACTAGGTAAATTATAGGTTCATTTTTGTGCTATGTTCTTAGACTATATGGTATACATTACCTGAATCCAGAGATGGATTAATTGTGACCTTGAGTTGTTTTTAATTTCTGAGTGCTTTTAACAAGAATGAGAGACAGTACTTAGTCTATCTTTTCAACAAAAGATAATGAGACTGTTGCCTGAATGTATACACTCTTTCTTTACTTTCTTCTTAATGTTACTATCTGCCTAAACATAAAGGCTTCCCAAAACCTTGGCTTTAAACTAGCGTGTTGGACATAGCAATTTTATGAGTATAAAGGCTTTAATTTTCTTTAAAAACAGAATCTTAATCTGTGCCAATGTGATTTCCCCAACTAGGTAAATTATAGGTTCATTTTTGTGCTATGTTCTTAGGCTATATGGTATACATTACCTGAATCCAGAGGTGGATTAATTGTGACCTTGAGATGTTTATAATTTCTGATTGCTTTTAACAAGAACGAGAGACAGTACATAGTCTGATGGCTGAAGGTTCAGATGTCTGTCTTTCAGTTAGCAGTTGAGAAAGTGCACTAGTCAAGTGAACAATTTTCTATATCCATTTTGTGGCAAATTATCATGATTATTGTGTATTTTGTAGCTTTTGAGCAGCTGACTCTGCTAACACCTTTGAGTAGTTTTCAAGGCTGAGAAGTAGAAATGATCTGCTTATAGTACAGATAATAAGGCAAGAATATCATCTCCCTGGGAGAAAGTAGAGGATTAGGAATTTCAGCATGAAACCTAGCTGAATATTCGTGGAGTGGATGGCTTTGGAGTATGTGAACATTATCTTCTTTCCTTGAGGGTTTGGGGGTATGATTATTTGAGAAAAATTTGTGTAATGAAACATTAGCATAAGGAATGAAGTTTGGATTTATGGTCCCATAATTAGACATATTTCTTAATAACTAGAATCTATTGACAAATGACTACCACATGAGTATTAGTGACACTTAGTTGTTTGGACCATGTACACATCAGTTAGTTGGATTGAGTGCTGGAGGTAAGGGTGGGAATATCCCATGACATTTCAAGTTCTTCTGTATTTATTTTCAAAGGTACTTTATTCCCCCTCTTGTTCCCCCAGCAAGAAGGTTTACAAGTAGTAAAGTATGGTACTTCACATAAAATAATGGAAGTTAGATTAAGCACTGCTTCTTCATTTGTTTAGAGTTTTTCTTTGTTTATCTTTGTGAAAATGACTGAATTTGATGGGTTTTTATTTTTTCTTTTAGGCTCAGTTTATGAACCTCTTAAAAGCATTAATCTTCCAAGACCTGATAATGAAACTCTCTGGGATAAGTTGGACCATTATTACAGAATTGGTGAGTAAAACCTGAGGAAAACGTGTCCTTAGGTATCTGCGATTAGTATTCCCCTTGCCCTAGTTAAATTATGTACATTATGTGGATGATATTGTTCTGTCATTGGGATTTGGGGTACTTTCAGTGCTTAAGTAGCTGTGTATTCCAATTGTATGTCGATATCAGGACTATAAAAGGAATCTGGCAGATCATATCTGGCCCTTGAAGAATTTGAAAACTGTCACCAATATCTTCTGTGTTTTTTTAATCTTCCTAAACATTACCAGATTTGAGACCTTGAGGATGTTTCTTGATTAATACACAGATATTTCATATAAGTATTAATTTGCTCATTTACCTAAACATGGTTCCCAGATAGTCCTAAACTTTTTATATCCGTTTCTAATTCATTGAGATACAAGAGATAATCACAAGTTAGTATTATTAATATCAGGGCGCTTGTGTTTTGTTTGTTTTATTTTGTTTTTCCAGGACCAGCCTTGCAAATTTTGTTTTTCAATGTGAGTAAGCAACTTTCAGATATGTGTATAAGGGCCTCCTCTTTGTTTGTCAGACCATCTATTAGAATGCATATTAATCTTTTTGTCAGTTTACCTTTTATGCCATTTACTTGTACTAGGATGGCAGAAAACATAAAATTTGATTTCTCTCCCCCTAAGATGATGGATTTTTTGGTCTATTTCAACTTCATATGAAACTTCAATCTTACTTCTTTTGGTCAAGATTCTTGCTTGCATTAAGTTGCCCATTTTATTATCTTTTTGGCAATAACTAGCTAAAGAGAACTAACTATATTTTTTTATGTCAATTGTGTATTTTGGACTCTTAGGACTAATTTTTTACACTGGGAAAAATAATAAATACCCTGGTTTTCTGAAAGAAATGATTATGATAAGATCAATTTAGAGGCTGGGCATGGTGGCTCACGCCTGTAATCCCAGCACTTTGGGAGGCTGAGGCGGGTGGATCACAAGGTCAGGAGTTTGAGACCAGCCTGACCAACATGGAGAAACCCCGTCTCTACTAAAAATACAAAAATCAGCCATGAGTGGTGGTGCACTCCTGTGATCCCAGCTCCAGAACAGAATGTTTTCTGCCTTTGGAAAACTATCCTAAAAAGTAGATAACATGGCTAGGTGTGATCTCTCATGCCTGTAATCCTAGCCCTTTGGGAGACCAGCATGTGAGGACTGCTTGAACCCAAGAGTTCGAGACCAGCCTGGGCAACATAACAAGCCCTCCATCTCTACAAAAAGTTTAAAAATTAGCCTGGCATGGTGGCGATTGCCTGTAGACCCAGCTACTTGGGAGTCTAAGTTGGGAGGATCACTGAAGCCCAGGGGTTAGAGGCTGCAGTGAGCTTATGATCATGCAACTGCATTCCAGCCTGGGTTATAGAGTGAGACCCTGTCTCAAAACAAAAGGGTAGTTGCCAATCTAGATAAGGTTAATGTAATGCATTTTAGGAAAAGCATTACCCATCCATTTATAGTTAGATAGCAATAAAATAGTTTTTAGTAAATGTAATTTTAGTGTTTGTGTTTTCCTATTTTAGAGCTCATTTATAAAAGATAATAAAATATTAATTTCAGACTTAAGTAAAATGTTCATAAAAAATTATTTACTTGCTGCTGTGTTCATGTTATATATGGATGGAATTCAGTTTTAAAATGTTAAACATTTTCCTAACCTGTACAATAAAGTAAAATGAATACTGTAGACTCCCTCTGAAGACCAGGCACAATTTAGTCATCAGTGAAACACAGGATTCCAGCCTGTTCTGTGATCTTCCCCTCGCCCTTCCTACATTGTTGATCATTTACTGTAGCAGTTGAGGTGGCTTTGTGATTTACTAAATGTATGCTACTCTTTCTTGTGCATTTGCTTTAAGTTTACCTATTGAACTGATTTTTAAAAAATATTATACTTAGTCTTTTGCTTCATCTCTTTTTCCCTCTGTACCTGATGTTGTCCTAATAAGATTTCTAACACACATTGACATTACTGGAGATGTGCTAAAGGCTTTTTAAGTCCTAATTAGCTGAGTCCTTTCCTAAAACTGGAAAGATTTCTTTATGTAGGGTGGATTCCCACTAAGGCTGGAGTGACATGAAGTTGTTTCCACATCTTCAGAAGTATTGTACTATAGCAAGTTTAGAAACAAAATCGTCAGAAGTGGGATGAGGAAACCAAAGAAGATTAAAACATTTAGCCCAAGGAAAGTCGCTGACTGTACAGTTCATTCTTTGTCTTGTCCTCAATTGCAGTCAAGTCAACATTGCTGCTGTATCAAAGTCCAACTACCGGTCTCTTTCCCACTAAAACATGCGGTGGTGACCAGAAGGCCAAGATCCAGGACAGCCTATACTGCGCTGCTGGGGCCTGGGCTTTGGCTCTTGCATACAGGTGAGCTGGTGTGTGTTCTCCTCGTAACTTTGAGAGTGGATAATAGGGTTTTGTAGGACCAAGACTAATTGAGCCGCTATCTTTTGGCTCTGCTGCTGACTCACTGTGCGACCTATGACTGCTCACATCCCTTTTTAGGCCTCTAAACCTTTTCATTTTCTTTTTTTTTTTGAGATGAGGTTACCCAGGCTGCAATGCAGTGGCATGACCTTGGCTCACTGCAACCTCTGCCCCCTGGGTTCAAGCAATTCTGCTGCCTCAGCCTCCCTACTAGCTGGGATTACAGGCATGCACTACCACGCCTGGCTAATTTTTGTATTTTTGATAGAGATGGGGTTTCTGTTGGCCAGGCTGGTCTCGAAATCTTGACCTCAAGTGATCTGCCAGCCTTGGCCTCCCAAAGTGCTGGGATTACAGGTGTGAACCACCATGCCCAGCCTAAACCGTTTCATTTTTCTAAGAGCTTATATCAGACCAGTTCTAAGATTTTATGACTTTGTGACCAAAACTTCTTGTCTCTAGGTTTGTAAATCACCATTTTTAGTCATTGGTAGAATGAACTACCTGCCCACTCTCATTGTGTTGATTGGTTTCAATAATGGAGAGAACTGATGATGACTAAATGTTGCAGATAATAAAATTAGAACCCCAAGTACTTAACAAATTTGTTCAAAATGATGCAACTCATTAATGATAGAGCCAGGGTCAGAATTCTTTTCCCCTACCCAATTTCTGGTTTTATCACTGCACTTCAGCATAGTATCTCTTATTAAGTTTGGTCATAAGTGAAATAATTGTATAAAGTTAAAAAAAAAAAAGAAATAGTTAGACAATACAAAATTTCTCCTTTATTTATTTCATTATATGTAGAAAGCACTGAATGTGGATGCTAACACATAATTGTAATACATTTTAACCATAATTAAGATCAGTAAGATTAACTTTCTGAATATTAATTTCCTGAAAGCGATCCATAGTTATGTTTCTGATTTAAAAATTGTATCTTCCACATGAACACGATTTATCTGTTTGAAATTACTGATGTGTTGGATTTTAAAAAGAAAATCAAACACTGAGATAAGATGCAGTAGTCTTCTTTAGCACACTTGAATGCTGACATCACTAAAAGCATTTCCTTACATATTCTAGGTAAGGACAATATGGCTTTATTAAATGTAAAACTGGTACTGATCTTAGGAGTACAGGGAGCATCAGTAGCACCTTCACCAAATGGTGAAGCCAATAATGAGACAGACTGATGTTAATTGCCATTCCTGATTTGACACAATGGGAAATACACCTTGTGCTAACATCTTACCAAGTTATCTAACATGAGTCTACATATGAACAAAGCTGAATTGTGGCTGTTTATAAGACAACTTGCCTGGACTCTTTAAAAATGTCAGTATTACAGATGACTAGGAAATAAGTATGAGGATGGCTAGACTAAAAGAGACTAAAGAAATACAACAGCCAAATGCAATACATGATCCTTAATTGGGTCATGCATTTAAAAATACTGTAAAGTATGAAAGTATGTTTTTGGGACACTTCAGTATTTGAGCCAAGACTATGTATTAGATCATATAGTATCAGTATTAAATTTCTTAGGTATAATAATGGTATTATGGTTATGTAGGCAAATCTCCTTGTTTTCTAGAGATACTTCTGAAGTGTGTAGGAGTGAAGGGTCATGATGTTCGTAGCTTACTTTCAAACAATGAAGAAAATATTATAGAGAATGCAAGCTAATGTTAAAATGGTGAATCTAAGTGACGACCAAAAGACTTATTCATTATAGCATCCTTTTAACTTTTTTGTAGATTTGAAATTTTTCTAAATAAAATGTTTACAGGAAAATTGCTTTAACAAATACAAGAGGATAGGCAGCATATGGACAAAAGTCAGATATTAACCTTTTCCCAGAATGCTTCTAACATCAGATAGAGACTTTAAAGTCCTCATTTTGCAGGCACACTATCTATGTAGAATATGCCTCTATTAAAACACTTGTGTCTGACCTCAAGGGGAAAAGTACTGTATAGAGCAAATTCATGCTAATTTTTGTGCAATGCCAGCATGAAAAAGAAGGTATGATGTGCTAATGATGAATAACTTACTTTTTACTGACATTCACCATACTATGTCAAAATAATAATCATTCTTCCCAATAGTGAATGGTATATGCAATCTATGATTTAACTGGGAGGTAATTATAATATACTTTTTAAGGAGAGAAGTGATACTTTTTAATCATGTGAGAATGATTGCCAGATATTTTTAGTTAAGATTAAGTGAAACAATGAATAAATCACTTTTATTTTTTAGTAGTGGGTGATTCTCATCCACCTTTGGAAAGTTACTGATTTATAATAAAAAGCAACTTGTGGACAGAAGGAACATCTTAACCAAACTAGGTTTGGTTAAGGTATTTAGGTTAATCTAACTATTAAACTAAATAGTTAGATTTTAGGTGTTCTTTATTTTTAAAAGCAAGAGATGTAAAATATGCTCAATTGATTTTAAATTAAAACCAAAGAATATAAAGCTCTATGCCAAAATACATCATGTATCATCCTGGATGTGTGTTTAGTTGAAGGCATCCTTGACTATGACTAAATGCCTGCTCTGATGGTATTGAACACACTGCAGAGCAAAGAAAGGCAGCACCTACCTTAACTTGTGGCTGCTACTTAAATCCAAGCGGCCATTGCATAACCTACAGGGATAGCTAATAAAAATCAGCTTTAGTTCATAACAGTGAATTTAAAACAATCTGTTGGTGGATTTTTTTCCAATAGAAATATTCTTTAAAGTTTCAGCCAAATCGCTGTAGAAATATTGTATACTATTTTTAAAAGAAGTTGGCTTGCTTCCTTGAAAGAAGGAAAAATCTGCCTAAGTTTCATCATAGGATTTTTTTTTCATTGCAGCATTTCTACTTTTGCTGGGAAAATGGAGTTTCACTGTGACAGAATTGGTAGACATCACCAGAACACAGGATTAGCCAGATAGTTAAATACTTAATTATCAAAAGCTCTGCTTCCTTTTCAAATGCATTTCCAATTAGTTTCATGAGTTATCTCTCTCACCCAGGCGAATTGATGATGACAAGGGAAGGACCCATGAGCTGGAGCACTCAGCTATAAAATGCATGAGAGGAATTCTCTACTGCTATATGCGTCAGGCCGATAAGGTAAAACATTGTGGTGTGGACGGGAATTCTCCCATCATTCTGAAGGATTAATTTAACTAGTATCGCAATGGTTTCTTCTGAAGAAGAATGTACTTTTCAAAGGGAAAGCCACATCCTAGGGCGGCCTAGATAGGTTAACAGCCTTTGCCATTCTAGCCCAGGGTTTGAAATCCTGAGATTGAAGGAACACCTTAAGCAAGAGGTGATTGAGAATTGTTATTTAGACTTGGATTTGTTTGTGTTTTGCATCTGGTGTTGCTTGATAAAGACCCAGTTTCTCAGGAACCTCACAATATCGATAATTCTAACCAATATTTTATTAAAGAATATCCTTGTCAGAATTACTTTTGGACATGTGAATTGCTCTGGCTTAAGTGAACTTTAGTTTAAAAATGTAACACTTCATTCATTTACATACAAAAAGGCTAGGAATTATAGGCTTAGAAAACAGCTTTACAGGCCAGGCGCAGTGGCTCACGCCTGTAATCCCAGCACTTTGGGAGGCCGAAGTGGGTGGATCACGAGGTCAAGAGATCGAGACCATCCTGGCCAACATGGTGAAACCCTGTCTCTACTAAAAATACAAAAATTAGCCGGGCATGGTGGTGTGCACCTGTAGTCTCAGCTACTCGGGAGGCTGAGGCAGGAGAATCGCTTGAACCTGGGAGGCGGAGGTTGCAGTGAGCCAAGATCATGCCAATGCACTCCAGCCTGGCGACAGAGCAAGTCTCTGTCTCAAAAAACAAAAAGAAAAAAAAGAAAACAGCTTTACAGCGTTATGTGGAAATTAAAGAAAATAATGTACATAACAACATTTAAAAAACTATAAAGCTCTATACAAATATAATGGCTATTCCCTTACTTACCTACATCTCTGTGATCCCAGGTCCTAATATAGTAAGTGCCCATACGTGTACATCAATGCATATGGGTCCCTAAGACCATCCACAGGTTTGATGCTTCATTAGGAGGACTCACATGACTCATCAGATAGTCATAGTTGTGGCTATGGTTTATTACATGAGAGGAGACAAAGCATAATCAGCAAAGGGTCAAGGTGCATGGAACACAGTCTGGAGGAAGCCAGATGCTAGCACCTAGGAGTCCTCCCCAGTGGGGTCACACAGATGCACTTCATTCCCCCAGCAACTGATTGTGACTAATTGTAACATATGTAAAATGTCTGTCAGGGAAGTTCAATAGAAGCTTGAGATTTTTATTGCTCAGGGTTTTTGTTAGTGGTTGGTCATGTGGGTATCCTCTGTCTAGCACTCACCAAAGTTCCAGACATCCAGAAGGAAACCAGGTGTGTAGTATCAACCATATTGTTAATGTAAACACTTTAGGTTTACATTTAGGTTTAGCCCCTCTTGTGAGAGAATAGTGGAAACCCTTTCATGATCTGAGTGTCCACATATCAGCCAAGGGGCAACCTTACAAACAATTCTTTCTGTGGTTAGCAGTCTCAGGCCTACTATATTAACTCTTTTCAGGACAATCTGCATAAATGAATGTACTGGTTTCCAGTCTGCTTCCAACTGTGTGATGTTGGACAAATTATTTAATTTCCATGTGCCCCGTTTTTTTCCTCTGTTAAATATGGATACCAGTAATACTGCCCTTATTAGGTTTTGTAAGGATTAAGAAATAACTCATGTGAGTGAGTCAGTGTTTTGCAAGAAAGCCGCCTTGGCGCAGTGAAGGTGAAGGCCAGCGCACTCCCTGGCTGAGGTGGGATCCCGAGGCCTCTCCAGTCCCCTGAGGGTGCACCACTGGCCCATCTCACCCAGGGCGGTGCCCCAGAGGTGGAGCACCAGGGCACGTGTTAGGACCTGAAAGATGATGAACTGTGCCTGGTCAGGGCAAAGCTGGAGGAAACTAGTGGAAGTCCCTAGCAGTCCTGATGTGTAAATCGATTGGTCATCCAACCTGGGTATAGGGGTGAAAGACTGATGGAACCATCTAGTGTCTGGTTCCCTCCAAGGTTTCTCTCAGGATGGCTGGCACTCTTCCAAAACCCACCCCACATGGTTTCATCTGTAAAGTGAATGATTGGAGGTTTTACGACCCAAAGGATCTCCACCTACTCTCACACTTTAGTTGGGTAAGAAGCCCGGCTTGCTGGCGTGTGGAGCCGGGTATGGAATGTGAGTGCCTAGTGGGCCGCTTCTGGTAAGCAGACCTGGCTCTGCGGGATGAACCGAATGCCGGATTAAGGTGCCCAATGCCCACACACTCATCAGACCCCAGAAAAGGTGTTGGTTGATACAGGAGGAGGGCGGCCACGGAAGTCAGAGTGGGTGGGGGTGGGGAAGGGCAGAGAATGTATAGAGAACATGGTGTCTGCCCCCATACCACCCTGAACGCCCTATCTCGTCTGATCCCAGAAGCTAAGTAGGGTCAGGCCTGGTCAGTACTTGGATGAGAGAGAGCACATAGCACAAGGGCTGGTACCGGGTGAACATACAGTAAATATTTGTGTCGTTATCATTAGTAGTATTCCCTTTCCCTTCTAGACCCCGTGTTTCAGATGCGTTTCCAACTTCTGTATTTTAGCAGAGATGCACACAAGTAACTTTGCAGGCAGTTTTGATCACTTAATATTTTGTTTATTTTTTATCATACAAACATATTGTTTTAATTTGCACTTGAAAATAATAGGCCAGGCATGGTGGCTCACGCCTAAAATCACAGCACTTTGAGAGGCAGAGACGGGTGGATCGCTTGAGGCCAGGAGTTCGAGAGCAGCCTGGCCAACATGGTGAAACTCCGTCTCTACCAAAAATACAAAAATTAGCCAGATTTGGTGGTGCGCACCCATAGTCCCACCTGCTCAGGAAGCTGAGGCACAAAATCACTTGAACCTGGGAGGGAGAGGTTGCAGTGAGCTGAGATCTCATTGCTTCCCAGCATGGGCAACAGAGGGGAAACTGTCTCAAAAAAAAAAAAAAAAAAGAAAAAAGAAAAAAGAGAAAATAATAAGCTGGGCATGATGGCTCACGCCTGTAATCCCAGCACTTTGGGAGGCTGAGGCAGGCAGGTAATGAGGTCAGGAGTTCGAGACCAGCCTGGGCAACAGAGTGAGACTCCGCCTCAAAAAAAAAAGAAAAGAAAGAAAAAAAATAATAAAAAGAGTGATAACAAGTCTTCTTCTTCAGGCCTGTAATTCAAGTCAAAATAAAAAAAAATCATTAATATTCTGCTACTAGAATATGGCAACAAGAAAATGTTATAGAGAAAAAGTATATTTATTCATAAGCTGATAATAGAGACATATGAAAAACCTTTAATTTGTCTATTGAGATTTGTACAAATCAATATTGCAAAGGTTTTTCAGATGCTTGAAATAAAGTAGTATGTCACAGATTGACATACTGGAATTAAACTAGTATGTCATATGTTATGTTGAAATAATTGTGATTAAAGTTAATTTTTTCCTAAGTGTGAGATGTTATTGTTTGTTTCATTTGTATCATTTCATGAATGCATAATGTCTTTATGAATTCAACTTTTCTCTCTAGGACACATTGTGAAAATCAAAATCATGACTTTCATGGGTTTGCCAAACAAGCTGACAAAGTAGAATTATCAGAAGGAAGTCTAATAATGTATTAGTTTAAGGCAGGGGTTTCCAATCTTTTGGCTTCCCTGGGCCATATGGGAAGGAGAAGAATTGTTTTGGGCCACACATAAAATACACTAACACCAACCATAGCTGATGAGCTAAAAAAAGAACAAAATTGCAAAACAAATCTCATAATGTTTTAAGAAAGTTTACGAATCTGTGCTTGACTGCATTCAAAGCTGTCATGCTCTGCTGGTTGACAAGCTTGGATTAAGGTTTTTTCCTTGTGGCACGGTTAGCCAGTTGGTTTTTTTATTGTTGTTTGGCTGGTTTTTTGAGACAAGGTCTCTCTGGGTCACCCAGGCTTGAATGCAGTGGTGTAATCACAGCTCACTGCAGCCTTGACCTCCCAGGCTCAATCAACCCTCCCACCTCAGCCTCCCAAGTAGCTGGGGCTACAGGCATGCACCAACACACCCAGCTAATTTTTGTATTTTTTGTAGAGACAGGGTTTCTCCATGTTTCCCCAAGCTGGTCTTGAACTCCTGGGCTCAAGCAATCCTTCCACCTAAGCCTCCCAAAGTGCAAGGGTTACAGGCGTGAGCCACCATGCCTGGCCAACTTAAGCTACTTTAAATTCCTTAAATTATAAAGGATTATCATTTTTTTTTTCCTATGTAGCTATGATGTAGACCATTAGCACCTGGCCATTAGCCAATTGTTAGTGGCCTTTTCTACTGAGATTTGACTTTACAAAGGTGTTTTGACTTTATAATGGCATTTCTTACTCAACCTTATTAACCAGTCATCACAATTGTAATATGTTTTCTTTTGATACAGTTTGAGTGTGACCTAAGGTTGTTTTTGTTTTTTAATTTTAAAAATAGAGACAGGGTCTCACTATATTGCCCAAGCTGGTCTCAAACTCCTGGGCTCAAGCAATCCTTCCACCTCAGCCTCCCAAAGTGCTAGGATTACAGGCATGAGCCACCATGTCTGGCCCAGTTAAGCTATCTTACATTCTTTAAATTACAAGGGATTATTATTTCTTTCCTATGTAGCTATGATATAGACCATTAATGTAAATATGAAATGTAAGGAGTATATTATTCTAGTGCATATGAGTGTGAGGGACTGACTCAGGGAGATTGAAGCATGCACCCAGCTCAAAGCCTCTCACCATACCTTCACATCTTGTTGCTGCTTGCCGTTCTTTTCCTCCTGTCTTGGCCATTTCCTTTACAATACTGTTGCAAGAGGAAATATAAACATATCTTGAAATGTGAAATATTTCTGTGTTGGTCTTCCCTTGAAACTGAAGCAAAGCACATTAGTAGTGTTCATTCACTGTTTGACCTCTAGCCTCATGTTGTCTTTTGAAGTAAAATCATGACCTAGAAAGTCTCCCTTCTCCACTTCTATTGATTTCTCATCATAAAACATGCTTCCTGATGTATTTTCTAAAAATACTAGCTAAAAGAGATATTTTAAATTGATTATGAATTTGAGTGAATACAAAGACTTATTCTTGATTTATTTAAAGAATTTAGAGCAGTCTGTTTTCTGGGTTTTATTGTCTTGACACTTATCTTAATGCCTGCTTATTAATGTCAGCTATGTTTTACCTCTCAGTGTGCAGATACCTATTCTCTTATTTACTGTCTTTTATAATTCTGCCTACAGAGAGGCATTCAGAGTTTTTCAGAGTTGATTCAATCTGCAATTAGTTTGGAGGGCAGACATTTGCTTTATAATAGGCTATAAATGTTGCTGTATCTATCTACTGAAAATTTTTTTTAAATGCTAGTTTCTAATTAATGAGAAATCATTAACTTTTATAAAATTTATTTTTCCAGGATTCCCTTATGAGAAGATTTTTTTCTCTAAATGAATGTTTTAAGGCTATAAGTTAAAAATGGATGACAAAATACTCAATTACCTCTTCCCAAATGATAAACTGTTTATTCACAATAATAAAAGTTTTCAGGAAAAATCTAAGCAAAATACGAGTGGAAGAGGCATTATTCTAGATTTATTTTAGTCTAGAAACTTTTGCTTTAATTATTATCTTTATTTTTATTTGCCAGATGCCAGAATCATACAAAATACTAATTAGCATCCTCTTGTTTTTGACTGCTTTCAAGAGAACTTTTTGTTTGTAATTGACATACAGCATGCCCCATTAATCTTCAAAGCTTATACTTTGGACCTTATTTTTTTCTGAAATTTTAAATTACTTGTCTTTTAATGGCTTTAAAACTCAAAATGTACTTATGTAATCCCCCATTTGAGCAACTTTAATCATTTAGTAGTTGCTTTTCCCCTGACATAGTGATTGAATATAAATTGTCCTGCTGGGTTCTTGCATGTCTTGAAGACAAATGACAAACACCACCTTGTCAACTGCAGGAGTCACTTTATTAAACTGATAAAACCTTATCCTTTTAGATCTGTATCAAGTGGTTAAAATGTGTTTTGCTTCAATTTTACCTATTTTTTATATAGGAGCTCAGAATAATATTCAGGACTTCAAGATAATAGTGCAAAAAGAGTGACCACATTGATTTCTATTTGTGTAGGTTCAGATTACTGCCAGCAGTTTCAGATATTGAGAAGGGATAGTCATCTTCTCTGAATTAACACCAGATGGCTTTGTCACTTTATCAGTAGAGAACTTACATCCCTAACTGTACCCATTCTCTAGGTCCTGATTACATACTGATAGGTTCAGACTTTTATTTTGCTGATTAGGTTCTTTAATCATAAGGAGGGCTGTATTTGTTTGTGTAGGGCACTTGGAGATGGTAAAGATGTAACCTCCCTCTAGAACAATATTGCCCAATAGAACTTTTTATGAGCATACAAATGTTCCATATTACTCTTGAGCAATACAGTACCCACTAGTGACATGTGGCTATTGATTTCATGAAATGTGGCCATTGTGACTGAAGAGCTTAATTTTTTATTTAATTTAATATAATTAATTGTAATTTAATTTAGTCAGTCACATGTAGCTAGTGCCTACCATGTTGGACAGCATAGCTTCTAGAAGCTTACAAGATATTGGGACTCTACAGCTATACTGTTTCTCTACTAACAACACTTCTGACACCAAATGTGTGGATTTTCCATACCAAGCAGTTCTTGAATTTGAGACACCAACTGGGTATATACAGTTTGTTGCAATTCTTCCAGTAATGACCTGGAGTTAAAACAGATCCTATAGGTTCAGACTCAGTCCCACAAGACTACCCCCGGCTTCCGACACCAATTGTAAGTAGTAGATCCCCAGGCTACCCACAATTCTCTCTGACTTGGCTATAATAATTCCTTGGTGTCAATACTTTGTTATAACAGCTCACAGAACTTGGGAGACACTTTACTTACTATTACCAGTTTGTTTTAAAGGATATAAGCAAACACCAGATGAAGTGGTAGAAGGTGCAGAAGGTCCTGAGCACAGGATCATCTGTCCCCGTGGTATCTGGGGTGCATTACCCTCTTGGCATGCAGATGTGTTCACAGACCCAGAAGCCCTCCAGACATCATCATCTAGGGTTTTATAGCAACCGTGTTATGTAGGCATGATTGATTAAATCACTGGCTATTGGTGATTGACTCAATCACCAGCTTTTCCTTTCTGCACGTCCCCTGAAGTAAGGAGTGGAGGTGAGGAGCTGAAAGTTCCAACCCTCTGATCCCTTGGTTGGTTCCTCTGTCAATCAGTCCCCCATCTTGAAGCTATCTAGGGACCTATCAAGAGTCACATTATTAGCAAAAACTCAGGTATGGTTGAAAGGGACTTATATGAACAAACGACATTCTTTTTGCCCCTGTTGCTCAGGAAATTCGAAGGGTTCTTGGAGCCGTGTGCCCAGAACTAGGAAGGTAGACCAAATGTGTATTATATGATTTCACAGGGAGATACACACAGCTAGTAAAAGTATAAAACAGGAAAAATAATTGAGTGACAACTACATTGATGTGGGAGTCCAGAGGAAGGAATTTTGGTGAGGGTTCAAAAAGTATAAAAGAAGATTTTTTTAAGATAGTATTTTAAGGAGAAGAAGAATTTTTAAAGATGGAGAGGAAAAGATGGTTCTATATAGTTTCATAGTGAATTGAAACAAAGCAAGAATGCAACCACTTAGGTATTATCATCACTTATTTCTCTTATTTCTCTTTAAAAGAGAAGTAAATTATTGCATTTACCTAGAGGTATATATCTTTGAATTCATTTTTTTGTTCTTATTTATCTCAGACTTCCAGGAATTAGCACAGTACTTGTCACATCACTGGCATCAGTAAATGTTTGCCATGTTGAATTGAACAGGCCGTAAAGAAATGGGTGGATTTTTTGGTCCCCAGAGTTTTTCTGTTGGATTATTTAGGTATTTACTTATTCTAAAATGGTAAAATTTTATGTCTAGCTAATAAATAATGGCGTGGCCTATATTCTCTTAGAGTTGGTGCCTTAGTAATGAGAGTACAATATATATGGAAGGGGAAATGAAAGCATGTTAACAGTAGCATACATTAAAATTTGCGACCCTTAGAGAAAGAAATTGTATTTGAAATTTGAACACTTACTGAACTAGAATTGGCCTGTGGTCCTTTTTCATTATGAGTGTCATGTAGGCATTTCCAAATAACAGCTCAGTGGAATACAATCACTGAAATCCTGTCTCACAACATAAAGCAGAATTTTACTCTAAAACAAAATAAGATGCAAAACATTGCAAAAGCCATTGCTACTACATTAACCTGCTCCATACTATACCTGAGTTGCTGTGCATGTGAAATATCAATTGAGAATCATGTTAACTCTATCAAGTTAGTAGTTATGAACTTTTTGTATTTTTTCTTGAGAAAAGGTAACGTTTCTGCTTTGTTCGGTCCTCTGCCTTAGCTTTGTTCATTAAAAAGTTTCATGAAAAATAGCTTTTAATCTATAGTCTTGGATAAGTTTATGAATTACTAATGTTGTTTAATTTTATATTTCATTCTAGGTCCAGCAGTTTAAGCAGGATCCACGCCCAACAACATGTCTTCACTCTGTTTTCAATGTGCATACAGGAGATGAGTTGCTTTCCTATGAGGAATATGGTCATCTTCAGGTAAAAAGAGATTATACATTTTATTCTCCTTATATTATATAGCATAGAACAGTGATCCCCAACCTTTTTGGCACCAGGGACTAGTTTTGTGGAAAACAAGTTTTCCACGGATGGGGTAGGGGCTAGATGGTTTTGGGATGAAACCGTTCCATCTCATATCATCAGGCATTAGATTCTCATAAGGAGAGCACAACCTGGATCCCTCGCATGTGCAGCTCACAATAGGGTTTGCACTCCTCTGAGAATCTAATGCCACTGCTGATCTGAGAGGAGGCAGAGCTCAGGCGGTAATGCTTGCTCACTGCTGCTCACCTCCTGCTGTGCGGCCCCATTCCAAACAGGATGTGGACCCATAGCAGTCTGTGGCCCAGGGGTGGGGGAGCCCTGTCATAGAAGATTTGAGGCTGTTTAAAAATAATTTTCAAATTACATTCTATAAATTGTTCAAAATAGAAGTATAGAATCAACTCTGAAACAGAGAAGAAAGTGAAATGGCAGCCACCAGGGCTGAGTTAGTTGTGGCAATTGAACATGAAATCCGAGTGAATTCTTGGTCTTCAAGCAAAAAGGGTAAATGGATAGATTATAAAATTATTTATGTGCAAAAGAAGGAAGACTACAGTTCTTTCCGTGACAAAAGTTTTTACATGTTATCAAATTTAGAAGAATTTCAACATTTAGGAACTAGGGGAAAAAAGACAGTTCACAGTGGTGTCATAGCAAATCAGTTTTGTTACACAGCAGTTCATTTCTTAATGTGTCATCCTTCAGTGAAGCTAAAAACATGCCACTGAAATGTAATTCCAAAAGGTATTTCTGAAGTCCATAAATTTTGTCTTATATAATATATTAAATTTTATACCTATGCTTAGAACACACTGGAGGTTTTAGATATATTTTTTTCATTTTATTCCCCTCTCACATCAGTGTATTGTTTTTTAGCTGGACAGTCTGTTGTTTCTGGGATACAAATATATTCTATTTATGTTTAATTGATTTTCTGCTCATCATTTGGTTCTCTGTCTTTGGGACAGAGTACTTAACTATTCATCTATTCCTTACTAAATAAAGAGTATCTCCTTTTTATAGTCCCTCTCACTTTAGATACCTGAAATTTCTTACTTTAGTATGTCTTCTCTAAACACAGAAAGTGTGGTGCTCTCATTTATATGCAGGAAAGACTCTTGTACTTATTTGTAAACAGCTCCTTGGAGAGTTAGTGTTACATGAATATGTAGTTTCTCAACCTTAACCTTTAATCAGATTTTATGTGTCTTTTCCTTTGATAAATATGTTTGCTATCAGAAGTAGGGTTTTCAGAAGATAATAGCTTATTTATCTTTGTATCCCAGATTCAGCTCAGTGCTTGGCACATAGTTGGCCTTAAATAAATTTTGGTCAACCTGTTATGTGGCAGTCCCTTTACAACTTGCCATGTACTGACATTTTCTTACAGAAGCATCCCACAAGTCAGAGCAGAGAGCTCTTAGAGGTCCCTGTAAAAGGCTGCCCATAGGAGTGAAATTTCTTTGAAGTCATTTTTGACAGGCTTGTGTCAATGCTGTAAGAGAACATATAGGGGAGCCTGGCAGTGGGATGAAACCCTTCTCACCATGCAACCATGTTTTAAGAAGAGTCACTAAAATGTTAGTGTAAGTCTAAAAAACCTAAAAGATGCAGACTACTGCATCTTCCTGTGTGGCCCACTTGGACCTTGACAAGACCCTGATATCCAATGGACTCTTGACTGCCAGGAAGTCAGGAGACACCCAGAATCAGCCTGGTTCCTCAGAGGGCCACCAGCAGTGCCAAGCCCTGGGCTCCTCTGCCCAAAGCCTCCAGGGCACCAATAATTTTCTGCCCCAATTTCCCATCTATTACTCAGTTGGGCTGGAGGAGAGTCATGGGAGACATAGCCACTGGAGCTGTCAGAGGGAAATAATCTATGTTAGAATTCTATGGAAACAAAATTACATCTTGCTTTCTCTTTGTTTTTAACTCAGGCTTACAGTTTCCTGGCTGAAAGTTTTTCACTGCCTTTTTAAAAATTTACTTATTTAATAACAGTTTTATTGAGATACAATTCACGTAACATGTAATTCACCTATTTAAAGTATATAGTTTGATGGTTTTTAGTATATTCAGAGTTTCTCAACCATTATCACTATAAATTTTAGAACATTGTCATCACCCCAGAAAGAAACATTGTACCCATTAGGTTGCAAAAAGAAACTTTGTATTCCCTATATTCTCCAAAGCCCCCCAGCTCTAGGCAGCAACCAGTCTTTCTGTCCCTGTGGATTTGCCTACTCTTGGCATTTCATATACAATAAATGATCTTTTTGTGACTGGCTTTTTAAATTTAGCGTTGTGTTTTCAAGATGTATTGGTCAGGATTCTCCAAAGGGACAGAACTAATAGGTGGAGGAGAGGAGAGAGGGACAGAGGGAGGGAGGGAGGGAAGGAGAGGTTGGAGGAATTGACCCACACAATTATGGAGGCTGAGAAGTCCCATGAGAGGCCATCTGCAAGCTGCAAAAGCAAGGATGCCACTAATGTGGCTTAGTCCACATCTGAAAGCCTCAGAACCATACAAGCCAGTGGTGTAACTCTCTGTTGGAGGATGAAGGCCCAAAAGCCCAGCGAGCCACTGATGGAAGCCCTGGAACCAAAAGCTGGATAACCTGGAGTTCTGATGTCCAAAGGCAGGAGAAGAAGAGTGTATGAGAGCAAGAATTCACCCTTCCTCTGCCTTTTTGTTCCATCTGGGTGGCCCCCAGTCAATTGGGTGGCACCTGCCGACCTTGAGAATAGGTCTTCCCCACTCAGACAGCCAACTCACGTGCCAGCTTCCTCCAGAAACATCCTCACAGATGTACCCAGAAATAATGCTTTGCCAGCTGTCTAGGTATCCCTTTATCCAGTCAAATTGACACCTAAAATGAACCACACAGGGTTGTGCCTGTTGTGGCACGTACCTTTCCTGCTTCTTTACCTGAGACAATTCACACATCCCATTCAGGATTCTGTGAGTATCCTTTTTTGTTAAAGTGATATTAGTATTTTTTTGTTTAGATCATAAAATATCTATTTTTAATACACTAAAATAATACCTCCTTTGTTCATAAAACTAATTTGTTCATAAACATGTTTTAAATTATATTATACCATTAACATTAATATGTTCCTGCAGTTGTTTACAGAAATTCTGTATTTGTTGAATATGAGACTGTTTTCAAGATGCACTGCCTATTGTTTATGGGGTACTGGCATCATCATAGTGTCTTGCTTACCAAATATCTTTTTTCATTTCCATGTATTTGAGATGGATTGGCATTTCATACTGCCTGTGGGGCCAGACTATTCCAAAGTAGAGTAGAAGTACTTTAGACCCAAAGCTTGAAAATAAATCTTAAAAAACAAATGATATGTTCCTATTTTTTTCAAAGTTCTTTTTGCCATGTAAAGAAACCAAATGATGTAGAAACAGTTGTTAACAGTTTTATTTGAAGCCGTTTCCCTAATCCAGTGTTATCCATTACAATGAATTTGAGAATTTAGAATTTTACATACAAAGCTGGGATTTTTATTATGAACTAAATTCACAACACCTTTATTCACAGTAGGAAAGGAAATAGTTTTATGACACTATTAGAGCAAATGACTTGTAATTTTAGCCTTAATTGATTAATTTTATAACTTGTTTTGGTTGTTTCCTTTAACCTTTTAATGTTTCTGTTTGTTGCAGATAAATGCAGTGTCACTTTATCTCCTTTACCTTGTGGAAATGATTTCCTCAGGACTCCAGATTATCTACAACACTGATGAGGTATGCTTTCCCCAAATTTTCTATTACTAAATTTCACCTCTGAAAATATCTATTTTTTTTTTTAGTTTTCACAACTTATTTTTAGTTTATGTAAAATGTATTCCTGTTACATTTATATAATCAGATAGTAGATGTTGGTTGTTGAATGAAAAAGTCTTTATATCTTCAATGCATTGCACTTTTAAAATGAACACAATGTGTAACAGGTTGTAAAACTTTACTCCCGTGAAGACTCTATTTCAGGTGATCTAAAATAAAACATGTAACTTTTAAAAAATTTTAGTAACAATGAAAGCAAAATAACATTTGCAGATTTTCTCAATTATTGTCTTTTTTTTTTTTTTTGAGATGGAGTCTTGCTCTGTCACGGGGCTGGAGTGCAGTGGTATGATCTCAGCTCACTGCAACCTCTGCCTCCCAGGTTCAAGCGATTCCCCTGCCTCAGCCTCCAAAGTATCTGGGATTATAGGCATGTGCCACTACGCCTGGCTAATTTTTTGTATTTTAGTAGAGACGGGGTTTCACCATGTTGGCCAAGGCAGTCTTGATCTCCTGACCTTGTGATCCGCCCACCTCGGCCTCCCAAAGTGCTGGGATTACAGGAGTGAGCCACCGTGCCCGGCCTCTTTCTTTTGTTTTACATCGTTGCATTTCATAACTCACCCTTTGAAAAGTAAAGAGAAACTTTTATCCTGTTATATTATTTTTATTTGTAGGATCTCAGTAGGATTCTTCATGTTTTTCAAAAGACAAATACCATGTTCTTATTCTTATTAGGAAAATTGTAAAGAATTCATATCCCAAAGATGAGAAGCATTTCTTTCACAGGCATTAATGCTTGAACAAACACACAAGCACATGCGCTGATGTACTTTGAAATGTGCCATAGTGGGAGCAAAAAAGCTTTTATTGTTTGGTACATGCAGTGAGAACTCTGTGAAAGGGTAGATGTACTATATATGTTTGTTACTATTCCTCTCCTGTGATCCATGCAAGGGAGAACAATTACATCAGACACTCAACACCAAAATTGTCATTGGACCGTACTGAGGGTACTACAAAATAGGTGCATGTAGCCCTGCCCTCTAGTAGTTTATATTCTCATACACACTTATAGTGTATGAGTTTATAGTCTCATACAATAAATAAATTCTATTTAGAAGTGAAGATAAATAATGAAGAAGAAATTATGGTCGTAAGAAATTAATAATACCCAGTATGGTTTCTTCTATTTGATTTGTCAAAGAATTCTATGGTTTCATTTCATCCAAATAATTGTTAGTGTTTATAATATTGTGAAGTGGGATTATTCAAGCATTTGGGATCAGGGAGGAGCTGGGAAACTCCTGTTTTAGTCCAATTTTAAGGAGCATGCTAAAATATAAAACAAATAAGGGAAAGGAGCTGGGAAACTCCTGTTTTAGATCAATCTTAAAGAGCATGCCAATATATAAAACAAATAAAAGAAGCATGACTCTGACTGAGGAGAGGAGGCCTTCCAGAACCAGCCCACTTAGCTTCTCAATTTTTCCACCCATAATATCTCCAAAGCACTGGGAGAAATATCCTAGATCCCTGTGGAACATCTTATGATAACCGTTTACAATTAGTGGCAACTAATATTGCTTACAAGTGGCTTTGTTTTGTTCAGTAATTTTTTTTTTTTTTTTTGAGACAGTGTATCACTCTGTCTGCCCAGGCTGGAGTGCAGTAACACCGTTTCAGCTCATTGCAGCCTCAACTTCCTGGGCTCAGGTGATTCTCCCACCTCAGCCTCCTCAGTAGCTGGGACTGCAGATGCACACCACCATGCCCGGCTAATTTCTTTTGTATTTTTTGTAGAGATGGGTTTACCATGTTGCCCAGGCTGTTCTCGATCTCCTGGGCTCAAGCAATCAGCCCACCTCAGTCTCCTAAAGTACTGGGATTACATCTGGGAGCCACTGCACCTGGCCTTGTTTAGTAATTTATTTTTAATTGTAAAAATTTTACTTTTTGCTTTCTCAATATATGTCATAATTCATTTTGTATTTTTATTTGTCAACTGCCATTTTTCATGAATATTATATCACTTTAGCCATTCCATTTGGTTTTATATGGCTTATGTAAGCTTTAAAATTTTTGGATAGTTCCTTACCTTCTTAAACTGCTTTTTTTAAAAAAATTTCTTATTTGTGGTTTTTCTTGGCCTTATGGTTTTTATTTACTATATGTGAAGTTTTTATGCAGCTAATTATCAATAGCCTTCAATATGTACACTTAAAAATCCTAGAGTAATAAAACATGTCATTTCCGCTCACCATCTTTTTCCTTGAGATTCTGTATAATGTGTTGGATCATATGGAGAGGCAGTAAATGGACCTGCATAGAATCAGTTAATGAAATTCTTTTTATCTAAAGATCTCAGAGGATTCAATTCTTTGAAAAGTGGTATGACTTGGAAGCCTTTTCTTTTTTAACTGTATCTTAGGCTCTGGTTTGGCTAGTTCATAACCCTACCACATCTTCAGTTCCTAGTTATACTCACATTTTAAGACAATCTAAGGACCCAGGATGTCAGTGGGATTACCGTTTATTTCCTTCTCTATTTACTATAAAATTTAAAATTTGCCCTAATGCTTCTTTTTCTTAGGATTGAAGAATTCAGAGTTTGGAGATATACATATGTGCACACACACACACATACACATACATATGTAATGAAATATAGGTACTGCATTGTCTGGACTTTGGGGTTTTTGATAAGCCTTTGTTTTGCAGCTCATCATACCTTTACTGGTTCTGTTGTTTTTATAAAATTTGTATCTATACTGTAGTTCCTTTGGGAGAGGGCCATGGTCTTAAGGGTCATGTGCACCTTTACAAAGGGGCAGTGAACCTACTGAGTGGCCATGTTTGTGGTGATGAACTTTGCTGCAGAATGTATTTTCTAAGGGCAGGCACAGTAATGTATGCTAATTTTCTAACATCTTTCGTTGCCTACACAGGCGTACCATGTTTCCTTGGTATCAGTATTTCCTAGTGTCTGTAATAGTCTTGCTGTGTATATTGGTCATACTCATTTTTTATTAAAAATAAAAACTTTGAAAAAGACAAAGTTCTGTAGTTCTGCCCTTGTACTGCTGTTTGCTTTCTTCATCTAGAGAGAAACTCATCATATATGTTAAACTTAGACCTAAATATAAATTTACCTAAGTCAATCCTTTTGATAGAGATAACTTATTTACATCTGTTGGAGGGGGGCAAAGTAATGAACTGCTACGTGGCGTTCCATGTCTCGTTTCATGACATTCTCCATTAATAAATATACTCTAAAAGTAGATTCATAGAAATAAGAAAGAAATCATTTAGAAGTGGGTCCAGAGAAACTTACTTCATTTAAAGTCAAAGTACCCCCTCAAATTTGTATAACAATGAAATTTTGTTTTGTGTTTGAGATACTTTTTTATGTCTCTTATGGAAGTTGTTAAGAGCACATTTAGGTTGCAAGCCTTATAATAAAAATTGTGCACAAAACTGTAGGTGCTTGTTCAACATAAGACCTGTGAAAGTCCCCTTTATGAACTCAAGTGTCATTTACTTTTTTTTGCAAAGATGTTTTCTACCATATGACCTAGCAGCTCTTTTCAAGTATGTCATGTTTCAGATTGGATGACACATGGAATTTCTCTCTTATTGTATTAGTCATCTTTGCTATGTAACAAACTACCTCAGAACTTAGTTTAAAAGATTAAACATTTATTATTTCACAGCCCATGGGTCAGGAAATATGGGAGCAGCTAAGTTGGGTGGTGCTGGCTTGGGGTCTCTCATGAAGCTGCACTTAAGATGTCAGCTGGCTCTGCACTCATCTGAAGGGTTTACTGAGACTGGAAGACCCACTTCTGAGATGGCTCAGTCATATGGCTGTTGGCAGGAAGCCTCAGTTTCTCCCCAGCTGTTATTAGCAAGAGACCTTTCCAACTGAGCTGCTTTGAGTGTCCTCATGACATAGCAGATGGTTTCCTCCAGAGCAAGTGATCCAAGAAAACGAGATAAAAAAATACAGTGCTTTTTATGACCTAGCCTCAGAAGTCACATTTATATACAGTATCCTATTTATTACACAAGTCATCCCTATTCAGTGTAGGCAGGATTTACACAAGGGCTTAGATACTAGGAGTTACGTATGATCAGGAGCCAGCCTGCTATTTTTAGCAGTAGTTTTTAGTTGAACTTCGTTAGAGAGATTTTTTAAGGTGGGATTTTTTTTCCTTGTACACTAAGACTTTTATTTTAAAGATAGGTATTTTATTCTATTATTTTCTATTACTATTTACTAAGTTGTTGTGTACATGTTTTTGTGTACATGTTTTGTGTACATGTTTTCTCTTTAAAATATTAAATTTTTTTTCTGGCTTTTATTTGTTGTATGGAAGCTTTGTGTCCTAGATTCTACCTTTTGCTATGAGATGGTTATCAGGCTGAACTTGAGGGGTTTCTATCTCAAAAGTTGGAACAAATCTTTTCTATAAGTAATCTTAGAGGCATTATAAGGTATTCTTAGCTCCTGCTTGTCATCAGTTTACACAGAGAAATAAGTAAGTTGTTCAAAACTATTTATGGATGGTTTTTCCTCTAAAAATAGAAAGATAACACTGTCCTTGTTTCTAAAATTATATGTAGCAATAGTAATAATGACTAACATTATATAGAACTTATGTGCTGTCACTGTTCAAAGTGCTTTGCATATAGAAAAACTTATTTAATCCTTACAGCAACTCTGTCAGGTAGGTACAGTTACTATCTTCATTTTACAAATGACCAAAATAATGCAGAGAGCCACTAAGTGGCTTATCAAGGTCGCACATGTAGTACGTGGCAGGGCTTGGATTTAAACCAAGTAGTCTGACTCAAGAGTTCATTTTCTATGCTGACAGTGAGTGTTAGATCTCTGTTTAACCTGTACAGATATGAGTGACATATATGTCATGTGGCAACATCATATTCAAGCTTCAAAGGCAGCCAAAGAGACCTAAGGCTTACAGGTTTATTCATGTATAGTTGTTTCTATTTGGTCATGCATCCTTGCATGGATTATACAACTATCTGATAAACATTTATTGAGTTTCCATAATGGGCCAAACAGTGAGAATATAAAAATGAAAAAAGAATTTAGTCTGTAACATCATGCAGTCCATATTATTGTGGGGAAAACAGAGAATGTGTTGTGTTTTCATTTTCTTGATAATATCATTTGAAGCTCAAAGCTTTTTATTAATTTTGATTAAGTCTCATTTATCTAATTTTTTGTTGTTGCTTGTGCTTTAGGTGTCATAGGTCTTTTAAAATTTCTTCTAATGTGGTTTTGTAGTTTTTAATACATTATTCTTTCATTCTTTTAAGTTCTTCCTGCATATTTTATTCTGTATACTAGGTTAAATGGAGCTTT
Organism: Homo sapiens; assembly: GCF_000001405.40. Classification (NCBI taxonomy): domain Eukaryota; kingdom Metazoa; phylum Chordata; class Mammalia; order Primates; family Hominidae; genus Homo; species Homo sapiens. Next base: position 47,521,033 of record NC_000016.10, read on the forward strand.
TTAATTTTATTATCAGAATGTTCATTGCTATCATATAGAAATTCATTTGATTTTTATAAATTGATCTTGTGTTCTGCAATCTTGAACTCGTGTTTAAGCTTTAATCGTTTTTATGAGTTCTTTAGGTTTTCTATGTAGAATATTATGTCATTTGCATATAGTAATAGTTTACTTCTTCATATCCAATATGGATAGCTTTTAAATCTTTTTCTTACCTAATTTCCCTGGATAGATGCTCCAATACAATCTTGAAAATAAGGGCTGCGAGTGGACATCCTTGTCTTGTTCCTGATTTTAGGGCAAAACCTTTTAATCTTTCACCATTAAATGTTACCTGTGGGCTGGGTGCGGTGGCTCACCCCTGTAATCCCAGCACTTAGGGAAGCCGAGGCAGGTGGATCACATGAGGTCAGGAGTTCAAGACCAGCCTGACCAATGTGATGAAACCCTGTCTCTACTGAAAAATACAAAAATTAGCTTGGCTTGGTGGCGTACACCTGTAATCCCAGCTACTGGAGAGGCTGAAACAGGAGAATTGCTTGAACCCGGGAGGCGGAGGTTGTGGTAAGCTGAGATTGTGCCATTGCCCTCCAGCCTGGGAAACAAGAGCGAAACTACGTCTCAAAAAAAAAAAAGGAAAGAAAAGAAAAATGTTATCTGTGGGTTTTTTTGGAGATGCCCTTCATCAGATTGAGAAAGTTTCCTTCTATTCCTCGTTTCTTGAGTGCTTTCATCATGGAAAGTTGTTAGATTTTTAATATTTTTTCTATATCTGTTGAGATGATTATGTGATCTTTGTTTTTTATTTAATTAATATATACTACTTCATTGATTGATTTTCTTATTTTGAACCCATCTAAAATATCTGGGATAAATCTTACTTGGTCATGATGTATAATCCTTTTTAAATGTCACTGCATTCATTTGCTGATACTTTGTTGAGTATTTTTACATTAATAGTCATAATGGATATTGGTATATATCCATTCTGTGTTTTGTTGGTTTATATATGTGGATGAGATACCTTTGTCTGGTGTTGGTACCAGGGCCAATAATGGACTCCTAGGATGGGTTAGGAAATGTTTCCTCTTCTATTTTTTGAAGGATTGGTATTAATTCTTTAAATGTTTGATAGATTTTATCAGTAAAGCTTGCTGGGTCTGGGATTTTCTTTATGGAAATGTTTTTGATTACCATTTCTCTTCAGATTTTCTATTTCTTCTTCAGTCAGTTTTAGTAGTTTGTGTTTCTCCAGGAATTTGTCTATTTAATCTAGATTATCTAATTTGTTGGCACATATTAGTTCATAGTATCCTATTTAAGTCCTCTTTATTTCTCTAAGATTGATGTTAATGTCCCTTATTTCATCCTTCCTTTAATAGTTTGAGTCTTATCCCTTTTTTTCTTGGTCAGCCTAGCTAAAGGTTTATTGATTTTTGTTAGCCTTTTCAAAAAATCAATTTTTGGTTTTATTTTTAAAATTATTTTTCTCTTCTCCATTTTATTTATTTTTTTTTTAGTCTTTATTATTTTTTTCCTTCTGGTTGGTTTAGGTTCATTTTTCTCTTATTTTTTCTAGTTTCTTGTGCTAAAAGATTAAATTATTGACTTGAGATCATTCTTCTTTTTAAAATACAGGCATTTTCAATTATAAATTTCCCTCTACTTATCTGCATGCCATTAGTTTTGATATTCTGTGGTTTTTTTATTCATTCATCTCAATGTGTTTTTTGATTTCTCTCGTGAGTTTTTCTTTGACCCATTGTTTATTTAGTAGTACAGTTTTTAATTTTCACATATTTGTGAATTTTTAAATTTCTTTCTGTTACTGATTTATAATTTCATTCCATGATGGTGGGAAAACATCCTTGGTATGATCTCTGTACATTATTGAACATGGTTATTCACATTATTGCCTTTTCAAGTCAATTTTTTTTTTTTTTTTTTTTAGTAATTTCTGTCTCTATTGATTTTGTCTATTTGGTGTGACATCTTTCTCAGGAGTTCCTTTTGTTCTTTGTACATGATTTCCTTCAGCCCTTTGAGCATATTTAGAATATTTGATTTAAAGTCTTTGTCTAGTAAGTCCAGTGTTTGGACTTTATCAGGGACAGTGTCTATTAATTTCATTTTTCAGATATACAGACCACAATTTCTTGTTTCTTTGCATGTCTCATCTTTCTTTGTTAAAACTGGACATTTAGAATAATATATTAACTCCAGAAATCAGGTCTCCCTACTTCAAAGTGTGGTGGTGTTGATGTTTATATTTGTGGAGTTGCCTGTTTGTTTAGCATCTTTCCTGAAAATTTTCTGTGAATTATGTATTCTTTGTCATAGGTGGCCATTGAGGTCTTTGCTGAGTTAGCTTACTGGTCAGTTAATGATTGAACAGGAATTTACTTAAATGCTTTGAACGAATCAGTCTCCTAGCCTTTGCAGAGTTTCTCACTGTATGTGTTAGGCATAACTTGAAAGCTCTCATAGGAAGTGCCCAATTCTACTTGAGCTTTCACTTCCTGCTTTTGTAGAGCATCCAGTTCAGCCAGAGGTGTGGGAGTATTAGCTCAGGTCTTTACTTACTATAGGCCCACACCTATGTGTGTGCATAGCTTTCTGACTTTCCAGGAATATGTTGGAGATTTTCAGTGGCCCCCGTGGACACTTCATCCCCCAGGTTTAAGAAGATTTGTTTTAGGCAGCTGCAGTGTTAAATGGTTGCAACTGATTATTTCCTTTATATGCCTAGAAAAAAGGCCATTTGCATCTATGTGAGCTCTGAGGTCATTTAAAGAAAAGCTCTTAATGCCTGTGTTCAAGGAGCTGTCAGACATTCAAATAGTAACAGTTTACTAAGATGGTGATTTGGGGGAGTTCTAAAGCTGTTCTGTTCCTCCTTCATGTTGTTGCTAGTCTGCTGGTTTTTCATGTGTACTATGATTTTGTGGCTGTTGATATATAAACCTACTACAGAGTTGGGGAGAAGGGTTGAGAATAGGGCAATTTCACATACCCCAAAGCTCACTCTACTTAGTGAGGTTTCAGCCATTTTTCTTGATTTAATGCTCGGATCGTTGTATGCTCTTGTTGAATTTCCGGAGTTCTGAAAAAGTTTGATGAGTTTTGTCAATATTCTTACTGCTTGTGTGAACAATTGGATTTCCTGAGGCCTTTCCTCTGCTGTTCCGTGATTTGGATTCCGTTTGTTTTTCAGTAATTATTGTTTATGTAACTTTATATTTGTACCTTCCCCTACTGCCAAAGAAAACCTTTTTATCCTGCAGTTCAGTCATTTTATAAGATCCATTAACCCTGGAGTCCCAGTGTGTTTTTTAACTGCCTTAAAAAAAATACTTTAATATGCTGCATACATTTTGCTACATTTAAACATCTATATACAACACTTTTAATGGCTGTCTGACATTCTGTAACATGTGTCAGAAATATACAACCAGGCTGGGTGGGGTGGCTCACGCCTGTAATCCCAGCACTTTGAGAGGCTGAGGCTGGTGGATCACCTGAGGTCAGGAGTTCGAGACCAGCCTGGCCAACATAGTGAAACCCTGTATCTACTAAAAATACAAAAATTACCTGGGAGTGGTGGTGCGTGCCTTTTTCTTTGCAGTATCTGTGTATTTTGAATCAGTTACTATTGACCACATATTCTCAGCCACCATGGGAATGAAGCTACTAATGATAAGATTAGGGGCTAACGTTAGTATTCATTTGTGTTTGATCTGCTAATAACATTCTTTGAGGATATTTTTTCCAGTTCTGAAATTCCTTCATTCAGTATCCCCGTGTTGCCTGACTGGGAAGTCTTAAAAGGGAACACTTTAATATTTTTCTTTTTACTATATCATGAAAATTCTACTTGACTCACTTACGATTTTTAAAAATCTTTTAAAATTTTTTTAAAAATTCTTTTATGGGAATTTTTAAATCAAGTTATATTATTTGTTATCCAGTGGTATTGAAAAGTGGCTATTACTTTTTAGTTGGCTTTAGTATTCTGAGTCAGGCAAAGTTTGTGAATTTTCAGTAGAATTTTTATTATAATTACATAAATTATCCATTTTTTCCCTAAAATCTTGAAATCCTGGGATGAAAGTTCTTTAGTATTGCATACGGTTCACTTGTCACCTGCAGGAGAGGGAGAATTCCCCAAGGACAAACTATTTTAATATTTTGAGCAGGAGGCAGATACAGTTTAGTTGAGAAAAGATTTATTCTTTGATTTTAATATGTCTGGAGTTTTTACCCACAAATGATCACTATTTTAGGAAAGGGGTGGCTTTTTCTTCAATAAGGCAGAGCATTAAAAAGATAACTACTTTCTATCAGTGTTAAGAGATGTATAAATAGGAAAAAATATATGAAATAAGGTAAATCTATTTCAAAATGGAGAGAATTGGGGAAAAGCACTGTTTGAAGAGATGATGACTGTCAATCTGAATTGAACAAAACACATCTTGTACAAAATACATAAAAATAACTCTTTTCTCCCCTGCCTAAGAAAACTCCTAGGGAACAAGAGATGGAAGGAACTTGGGTCCCTAAATGACCTTATGGTGTTAATCCATTAATCTGCCCCACCGTGTGTTTTATGAGCTTTAAGGATTTTTTTTGCTAGCCGAAAACAACGCAATGATGAAAAGCACAAATCTTTGTTCATCTTAAGTGAAATGCCCAACTCTTCATTATTCATCTTTAGATGAAGTGCACTCTGTTTGTCATTTATAGCTGTGAATGAAAGCCCCCATGTAGGGCTACACAGGGAGTTGTACCAGAGGACAGGTGAACAGCAAGCTTCAACAGTAGGGAACAGTTTATAAAAGCATAATGAGGAAGGGAGGGTTAGCTAGGTTTCTTGGGCTCCCTATGGATTAGCTAATTTGAGTACTTTCTGTGGCTCCTGTATACGGGTTTTCTCACTTTGTAGGATAGCTGGCCCTGGGGCAGTTAGGGTAGATACATAATGGTCCAGTGTGAGAGCTAATCCGGGAAGTGGTTGGGGTATAGATCTGCTACTCAAGAAGAACTAACCAGCCTCTAACCAGGGCCTCAAAATTGGGTTAAAAAAAATGACTAGGCCATCTGGGTGCGGTGGCTCATGCCCGTAATCCCAGCACTTTGGGAGGCCAAGGCGGATGGATATCTGAGGTCAGGAGTTCGAGACCAGCCTGGCCAACATGGTGAAACCCTGTCTCTACTAAAAATGCAAAAATTATCTGGGCATGGTGGCGGGCACCTGTAATCCCAGCTGCTCGCGAGGCTGAGGCAGGGAGAATTGCTTGAATCCGAGAGGCAGAGTTTGCAGTGAGCCGAGATCGTGCCATTGCACTCCAGCCCGGGCGACAGAGTGAGATTCTTCTAAAAAAAAAAAAAAATTATTCACCGTTGCTGATAAGCTCAACCTTCAGTTCCTGGAGGTTGAGAGTTGGGACTGAAAGTTTCAATCCTGTAATCATATAGCTGGTTTCCTTCCCAACCAGGCCCCATCGTCAAGAGTTCAAGGCTGTAGTGAACGGTCAGGGCACCACTGAACTCTAGCCCGAGTGACAGAGCAAGATTCCATCTCTTAAACAAAAAAGCAAAAAGAAAAAAAAATAGCTTTTATTTTATGGTTTTTCAAGAAAAAATGAAAATGGAAATTGAGAAATACCATGGAACAAAAATGAAAACACATCATATCAATACTTGTAGCATATAGCGGAAGTGTTATTGGTGAGCAGTTTTTAGCCTTGAATGTTGTATTAGGCCGTTCTTGCATTGCTATAAAGAAATACCTGAGACTGGGTAATTTGTAAAGAAAAAAGGTTTAATTGGCTCACAGGTCTGCAGGCTCTATAAGCATAGCACTGGCATCAGCTCAGCTTCTGGAGAGGCCTCAGGGAACTTTTCCTCAAGGCAGAAGACAAAACAGGAGAAGGCAAGTCACATGGCCAGAGCAGGAGCAAGAGGGAGTGGGGAGGGAGGTGCCACAGTCTTAAACCACCAGATCTCATGAGAACTCACCCACTATCTCTAGGAAAGCACTAAGGGGATGGTGCTAAACCATTTATAAGAAATCTGCCTCCGTGAGTTACTCGCCTCTAACCAGGTCCCACCTCCAACACTGGGAATTACAATTCAACATGAGATTAGAGGGGACACACATCCAAACTATATCACATGCAGATAGTAGAAAAGAGTTATGATGGAAAATTGATAAGTTAAATATTAGATTTTAAATGTTAGGAAAAGTATGCCTTAGTAAACACAAAGCAAGTAGAAGGAAGAAAGTAATAAAGATAAATATAGGAATAATGGTATCAAATATAAAGGTAGGATAGAGACTCTCAAAACCAACAGCTTTATTTTTTAAAAAAGATTAACAATATAAACTGACCTCTTAAAAAATTTACCAAGCAGATAAGGAAGAGTTAAACAGAGAAACAATATTCACAATGAAAAGGAGAACATAACTGTAAATAAGTAGAGATTAAAAGAGAAAAAAGGAATCTTCTATAAGAAAGTGCACGGCAATAAATTTTAAAACTTTCCAAATGGAATGTGTTCTAGAAACACCATAATTTACTGTTTTGGGTTGAATTATGTCCCGTCAAAATTCATACATTGGAGCTGTAGCCCCTGCTACCTCAGAATGTGACTATTTGGAGATATAAACATAGTGTTTTAAAGGTAGGGTCTTTAAAGAGGTAAATTAAAATGAGGCCCTTGGGTGAAACCTAATCCAGTCTGACTGGTGTCCTCATAAGGGAAGTAAATTTTGATGTAGAAAGGAATACCAGGGGTGTGTGTGCACAAAGGAAAGGCCACATGAGGACAAAGCAGCAGGAGGATGGCCTTCTGCTAGCCAAAGAGCAAGGTCTCAGGAGAAACCAGACCTGCCAACACCTTGGTCTTAGACTTCCCACTGTCAGAACTGTGGAAAGAGAAATTTCTGTTACTTAAGCCACACGGACTATGGTATTTTATATGGCAGCCTTAGCAAAGAAGTAGTTACTGTAAGTGACTTAGAAAGAAATAGAATAATGAAATAGACTTATAACAGTTCTTAAGCTTTTTATTGTTGTTGTTATTTTTGTTGCCTCCAAGGAAGGGAAAACTATTTAATTTAAATTCTCCCTAATGTGAGAAATTAAATACTAAAGAGTAACATTTTGTTGGGTAGAATTGAGCTTTGAAGGGTCAGACCTTATTGTAATAGCTAAGATTTTTTTTGCCCCTTGCTCTCTTGAGAACCAATTTCACCTCCCTAGGAATGCATAATCAGTAGCCTTTGAAGAAAGTAAATCATTTTTCAGAAATCTTACTTTTTCTCTTCATCTTCTCCAAAAAGAGAATAGCTCTCTAGCTAGTTAGTTAATAGGCACATTTTATCAAAGCTTAAAGGAAGATATAACTCCTGCCTTATAAAATAGGAAAAGCTCCTCAATAAATTTTATGAGATTGGTATAATTTTATAAAAGTTGATGATGTTAGTATGAATAAATCAAATTTTAAACCAGGCTCAATTTTTTTTTTTCGTGTATTCTTTTGGAAACATGGAGAATGAGAATGTAAATGAGTCATGGATAAGGTATCATGTAAAGTTTCACTTGGCTACAAATAAAAGAAAACCCATCGAACAGTGGTTTCAATAAATAAAGGACTTTTTCTTTTTTTTTTTTTTTTTATTTTGACGGAGTCTCACTGTCTCCCAGGCTGGAGTGCAGTGGCATGATCTCAGTTCACTGCAACCTCTGCCACCCAGATTCAAGCGATTCTTCTGCCTCAGCCTCCCAAGTAACTGGGATTACAGGCACCTGCCACTGCACCGGGTAATTTTTGTGTTTTTAGTAGAGATGGGGTTTCACCATCTTGGCCAGGGTGATCTTGAACTCCTGACCTCATGATCCACCCACCTCAACCTCCCAAAGTGCTGGGATTACAGGCGTGAGGAACCATGCCTGGCCAGGATTTATTTTATACACAAAAAATGCTGGGGATTGGAAGTGTTTTCCTAGGCTTTAACAGTCATCAAGGATATGGATTCCTTTTCTATCCCTCTGCTGTATTTGGCATGAGACATTTATCCAAATAATCATAATATAGGTGGTATTCCTCTAGGTATCATGTCTACACTTGTATGTAAGAATCAAAAAAGAAGAGGCTTTAAAGAAGTTTCTTGGCCAGGTGCAGTGGCTCACATCTCTAATCCCAAGTCTTTGGGAGGCTGAGGTGGGAGGATCACTTGAAGCCAAAAATTTGAGACCAGCCTTGGCAATAAAGCAAGAACTCATCGCTACAAAAATCTTTAAAAAATAATTTTTTTTTTTTTTTTTTTTGGAGACAGAGTCTTGCTCTGTTGCCAGGCTAGGGTACAATGGTGTGATATTGGCTCACTGCAATATCCGCCTTCTGGGTTCAAGCAATTCCCCTGCCTCGGCCTCCCAAGTAGCTGGGACTACAGGCACGCACTACCACATCTGGCTAACTTTTTGTATTTTAGTGGAGACAGGGTTTCACCTTGTTGGCCAGGATGGTCTCGATCTCCTGACCTCGTGATCCGCCCACCTTGCCTCCCAAAGTGCTGGGATTACAGGCATGAGCCACCGCACCCAGCCTAAAAAACATACATATTTTTTAAGTTTCTAGAAGCTTGGTCCCATGACATCTGTATAATCTCATTGGCCAGAACTTGGTCACACAACCATTCCTGCTGCTGTGGAGCCTTATGAAGTTAAAAATCAGGGTTTTATTATCAAGAAAGGAAGAGAGACCAGATATTGGTGGTCAGTTAGCATCATGTGCCAGGACCAGGTAGTGTTTAATCTTAGAAATGCAAGGATGATTTAAAATGGGAACATCCGTTAGTGTAACTCATTACATTAGCAAATTAAGGAAGAAAGAAAAACCATATAACCATTTCAATAGGTGCATAAAACATATTTGGCAAAGAATTCATCACCTATTCATGAAAAGCATTCTAATAAAATGGAATTTTCTTAATCTAATAAAATATATCTACCAAAAATCTGCAGCAGATATCACATTAGAATCAGACCCTTTAGTTTGAGGGACAAGAAAAGGAGATACTGATTATATAAACTCCTTTTTTTTTTTTTTTTTTTTCCAGACAGAGTCTTGCTCTGTCACCCAAGCTAGATGGCAGTGGCATGATCTCGGCTTACTGCAACCTCTGCCTCCTGAGTTCAAGTAATTTTCATGTCTCAGCCACCTAAGTAGCTGGGATCACAGGCGTGTGCCACCATGCGCAACTAATGTTTGTATTTTTAGTAGAGATGTGGTTTCGCCCACCCAGTAGAGATGGGTTTTGCCCAGACTGTTTTTGAACTCCTGGCCTCAAGTGATCCGCCTGCCTCAGCCTCCCAAAGTGCTGGGATTACAGGGGAAAGCCACTGCGCCTGGCCACTAAACTCCTATTTAACATTGTACAGGTGACCTAGCCAAAGCAATAAGGCAAGAAGTAATAGGTGTGGATGGCAATGGCAGAAATGAAAAAGTTTGCATTTCTAGTGAATTAAAATGAATTTCTAGTAAATTGAAATGAATTCTTAGATAAACTACTAAAAGTCATTAAAAATATAGTTGTAAAGCTGGATACATGATCAACATATGGAGAGCAATAATTTTATCTATAGAGCAGCAATAACTAGTCAGAAAATTGGTCTAATGTAAAGTAAATATTATACTCTAAAGTACCTGGGAAAGAACCTAATAGCAGATGGACAAAATTATAAAACTTGGATCATAAAATGAAGATCTAAATAAATATTAGCATAAATAATGTCAATACACAAGAATGCTTAATAATGTAAAGATACTGATTCTTGCTATATTATTAATCTCTAAACTCAACAAAATTTCCGTAGACGTCTCAACAGATTTTTAATGGAATTTGAGAAACTCATCCTAAAATTTATTTAGAAGAATAAACTGTAAAATACACAAGGTGATTTTGGAGAAGGAAAAATATGAAGGGAGACTTCCTTTACCTGATATAAACCCCATACATCCATGGAAATTCAACAATGTGATATTAGTATGGTGCTAGACATATTGTCAGTGGAACAGAATTGAGGGCCCAGAAATGACTTATATACACCCCCTCCCGACACACACATACGTATATGGAGTTAGATTTATGAAAGTGTAGGCTTTCCAGAGCCATAGGGTGACCTCTTCAATAAATGGATTTTCATTATTTTTATAAAAGATATTGGAAGCCACTTTTTATGTGATAATCAGTTCCCAGGTGTGAATTGTGAAAGGCACAAAGGTTATACTTTTAGAGCAAGGGTGTTCAAACTTTTTGATCTCAAGGTCCTTTATATTCTTAAAATTTTGAGAACCCGGTAGAGTTTTTGTTTGACCTTATATGCTTACATTTGTTTTGTGTGTGTTTACATCCCTTGATAGTTACTATATTAGAAAGTAAAAGATACATTGAGTGTATTTATTTTATTAATTTTAAAATAATCCATTACAGGCTAACATAAATACTGTATTTTTAATAAAAATAACTTTTCCAAAATAAAAATAATTGAGTGAAAATAATAGCATTGCTTTACATTTTTGGAAATCTCTAAATTTTGGCTTAATAGAAGACACTTGGATTCTCTACCCACTTTTGCCATCAATGTATTGCAATATTACGTATATAATGTAGCCACTAGAAAACTCATGTTACGTTTGTGAGACAATGAGAGGCAAAATAGTTTTAACTTCATGGTCTCTTAATTTTCCTATATCACAATCTGAGAACTACTATTGGAGAGGAAATTTTAGGAGAGCATATGTTTCTGATTTCAGGGAAGGGAGGCTTTCTTCAGTAAGACATAAAAGTATAAAATGCATACACACATAAAATCAATTTGATCCATTAAAGTAACAATCTGCTCATCAAAAAACAACAATAAACAAGGTGAAAAGAAAAGCCAAGACTTGAGAGAAGACATTTGTAACACAGGTATCTGACACAAGATATGTATCTAGAATAAAGAACTATTACTTATCAATTTAAAAAACCCTCAATTTAAAAAACAGGAAATTAGGACCCCTAATTAGGGAAATTCAAATTTAAACCCCGATCATATGCCACTTCACATGCATCAGACTTGTGTAACAAGAGTTAGATAACCCTACTTATCAGTGAAGGATACAAAGCATTGATAATTCTCTGCCCTCTTGAGGTGGGCATAAGTTCTTGTAACTAATTTGGAGAGCAATTTGACAATATCTAGTAAAATTGAAGGTGCACTTGGTGTACAATTCACCAGTTCAGCGTTTAGATGATACCCTAGTGTTATGGTGTTATGGGATCCTTGGGGTGTTGCTTTTCTGGCCAGAAACCTCTGTGGCCAGTGGCACCTTTGCCCAAGTTTTGCTCCAGTCCACTGGGCTCATTCCACTTGGCTCATGCTACCAGGCTGGATCCCATGCCTGCCAAGGATGAGCCAGATGTGGAGTGGTGAGGGGTGTATGAGCAAGTGTAGGGTCTGGACACTGCACAGTCAAATATGCTAGCTGCTGCAACGGAGTGGGCAGCTCTAGGTGTTGGCATGGGTGCCAGCTCTCTGTGAGGCTGCAGCTGGACCAGGTGCACTGTAAGCAGCTTCCACAGCTGGCACTGGGGAATGCAGTGGCACCCAGAAGCTTGGAGATGTCAGGAACCACAGGACCCCAAAGAGGGAGTCAGCCCTGGCTCAGGGAGCTCCCACGTCTGGGCTCCCCAAAGGGCCACAATGTGGCAGGCAAGGGGCACGTTTCAGCCCTATTTGTGTTACAGCTCTTTTAGCCCCACCATTTTATGGGTCCCATGTTCTTGTCCTGTGATTGGGAAGAGTGAGGTATGCAGTCAAGTGGAGGGTGAGCAAAATGAAGAAGAGCTTTATTGAGCAGTGGAACAACTTAGAGGAGACCTGCAGTGGGTAGCTTCTTTCTGCAGCCAGGTTATCCTGATAAGTGTTCAACTCCTAGCAGGGAGGAGACCATGGAGTGGGAAGCTCCCCTCTGCAAGCAGGTCATCCCATCATCTCTGCAGCTCTCAGCAGAGAGGAGTTTCTGGAGTGGGTTGCTCCTCTCTGCACCTGGTTGTCCTGACATCTGCAGTTTTTAGCAGAGAGGAAGCCTTGGAGTAGGTAGCTCCTCTCTGCAGCTAGTCATCCCGATGCCTGCTCAGCTCTGGCTGAGCCTGGGGCTTTTATGGGCCTCAGGGGTGAGGAAGTGCATGCCCATTGGTCCATAGGCAGGCTCAAAAAAGGCACCACACGTTCTCACCCCAGTCCACAGGACTGGCAGTCCAGCCGCCAGCCTTCAGGCCCTCCCTGGCCTGAAAGTGGGGCCTCACCAGGAACCTGCCCCCTTCTGCCCAGGAACCTGTCTGCCTCCTGCCTGTTCATGGCACCTAGGCTGTAGGTGCCAAGAGGGCCTGCAGGCCAGTGCCAGGCCGCCCTCAACCCTGCCTTGGCTTCCCTTAGGTGTTCATCAATGCCCAGAGTCTGGAGGGGGCCGAGGCTGCAGGGGGCTGGCATGTTTGCACCGCCCTGAGCATGTGCACACTTGGCTGGGCTGTTATAGCATCTGGGCTCAACCCTGACTTTGCTCCAAGATCATAGTGGGTACTGACAGCAGGGAGAAGCCAAGCATCAGTAGCAGGTACTTCCAAGCCTGCGAGGGCAGGGAGGGGGTTTCTTGGGCCCCCAAGAGTATAGAGATGCCTGGGTCTGCAGCCACAGTTTGGGCAGCCACAGCTGTGCCAGAGGTTCAGGGCTCCTGCCTGCTCTTGGCACCCCCAAGAGCACAGAGAGACCTGGGTCCACAGCCACAACTTGGGCAGCTGCAGCTGCACCAGGGAGGGCGGGGCTCCTGCCTGCTCTGTGGAGCAGGAGGCCTGGGCCCACAGCCACAACTTGGGCGGCTGCAGCTGCACCCAGGATGGTGGGGCTCCCCCCTCCTCCCAGGCCCCAAGAGTACAGAGATACCCTGGTCTTCAGCTGTGGCTTGGGCGGCTGCAGTGGCATCTGGGGAGCTCCCACCCAAGCTCGGAAGGGGTGGGACTCCCTCCTGTTCCTGGCTCCCGCCAACCCCACAGAGCATGCAGCCCGGGTGTACCTACCTGCTGCAGCTGGCGTGATAACAGCAGCCACTCCAGATGGCCCACCGCTGCCATCACTAGCTTAGAGCTTTCTTACTAGGGTACCACAGACAGGTTACAGATTTGCCATGGTAATGAGTCTTCATCCTAAAGGTGTTGGTGGGGCCTGGACTTAGCCATACCTCACTGGCCGATAACCTCTGGCTGCCAGGAGTCTTGTCCAGTTACTTCAATGTATGTATAGAAATAATATTTCTATATGTACCATGATGTCAAAATGATTGGGAAGCTCTTTCCTAGAGACATACTAAAATTTCATTGCAGCACTGTTGCATTAAAAAACTGTTATGGTAGGATTTTAATTCATAAATGTAGAAATAAAGAGGGAAATAGAAAATAACCTTTAGGCAAGAACTGGTGATAATTAGTGTAAACAAGATCCACTGATAAATGCTGAAATTAGTACATAAAATTATGAGGAGAAACAGGATTTATACATAGTTCCAAAGCATTTCCCTCAAGATATTTATTAACTACCAAGGGAAAGGTGATAACATTACAAAGTAGGAGCTACTATAACTAAGTGATCATGGTTGTTACCACCAGCAAGAAGATACATTGACATCATGAATCCTGTGCTATGGTGCTTTAAGAAAGTCACAACATTATTTCTATGATATTCTTGCCAAAAATGCATTACTTTTGTCCATTCATGGGAAAGTATTAGACAAATCAAAATTGAGGGACATGTGGCAGAATAACATAAAATTTATTGAGGTCATAAGAAATGAGGAATGAGTGAGGAAGAAATAAGCTAAGGAGAAATGACAGTGAAATACAAGGAGGACTAAAATTACTTCACTTTGGGTATCAGGGAGAGAGTTTTTGAAGTAAATCAAGGTTACGCAAAGCTTTGTTGTTCCTGAGCAGTTACTCACTGCAGGTAGGGCTCGGTTACACTAAAGAGTGTGTGAAATCATAAAAACCTTAAGCATTTAGCTGTACAAGACACAGGGGAGAAGACCTTTTAATCAGCACTTACCTTCATTAAGACAAATTAACTGACAAATATCTTTTTGAAACTTGGGGAAGAGAAATCCTGAAATGTTTCTAGTGGTAAAGGAACAGTAAATGGAAATCATTTGTATAGTACCCAGTATTACTAATTTAACATGTATAACAAAAACTTCCTTTAAACTTAGCATTTGTGCTTGGTCTGAATTGTTTTACTTTAGTGAACATTCAGTGGTCATTTATAAACTCAGTATCTCCTTATCTAATTTCTCCATAATAAATTTCTTGTTAACAAATTATATTACCATAGATGTTTTTAGGAGCCTATCCCTCAGAATTGAGGAGTTACTATACAGTTTGGTTATACTGATTTATTATACTGATTGTTTTTAGTAACATATGGAGAGAGAGTTAAATAATTGTTTGCTTTTGGAGTTGCAGTGAACTAAAACTGTATTTTATACAATATAAGTCCCGCTCTATCTCTAACTTGTTTCTTAGCACACACACCTTAAATTTTATAAAGTCCATTAAGATTTTGATTTTTAGTGCAATACTTACTCTAATTCAATCTCAAACGTTATTGTTGTATTTCATTTAACTCTGTTTTGAAAGTATTTCAGATATTTGCATTATTGTCTTAATGATACTCTTAAAACATACTGAAAACACCACAGATGACATTTGGATCTGACTGTTCTAGCTCTTTCCAATTAGAAATATTTCTCTACATACTTTTTGCAGAAGTGGATATCAAAGGTACATGCTTTCAAAGCAAGGTAACAGAAATTAGAAATTGGTATGAAGATGCAACAATGGGCTAACAACATTGAGTACATAAACTAGAGTCAGGATTGAAAATAATACACAGAATACCCTGACCATGGAAATGGTTATGATATTTATTTATTTATTTGGAGATGGAGTTTCACTCTTGTTGCCCAGGCTGGAGTGCAGTGGCGCGATCTCGGCTCATAGCAACCTCCGGCTCCCGTGTTCAAGCGATTCTCCTGTCTCAGCCTCCCAAGTAGCTGGGATTACAGTCATGTGCCATCACACCCAGCTAATTTTGTATTTTTAGTAGAGACAGAGTTTCTCCATGTTGGTCAGGCTGGTCTCGAACTTCTGACCTCAGGTGATCCGCCCACCTCAGCCTCCCAAAGTGCTGGGATTACAGGCGTGAGCCACCGCACCCGGCCGATCTTTATTTTTATATTCTAGCTAGCAATGTTATACTTCCTCAAGAGGCCAGTTCTTACTAAATCATAGTATTATTTGTGTGAGAACTACAAGAAGTTTACATTTCTGAGCTCAGAGAAGTTATACAGGACCACAGTTTCTTATGTGAAAAAACATTTAGAACCAAATATGTTTTCGATTTCAAAACTTGCTGGATTTAAATAAAAGTAATACTGTTTTGATACCTTTTATTATATAGTAACCCCAGCATGGCTTAGGGCAGAATCTGCACATTAATATTTTTGCAGTAAGATGTATACATATTCACACAAAGTGAGGAACATAAGGCAGCTAATCTCATCTCAGTTCTGGGTTTTGCTGACAAATGAGTTAAGAAAAAACAATTGGATTTCAGAACTTGTGGCATTTTAGAATTGCAAATAAGAGATGGTAGACCTGTGTACTAGTTAGAGGTGAGAAAAAAAACACACTTGGAACAAAAATTAAGAGCCGTGGTCTTGGCTCTAAGTATAGTGAGAGTTAGGAGAAATTAGAGACTTCACTAAGAAAAGTTTTGAACGGGGGCTGAAGGAAGATTCATAGAAAAGTGTTTTCATTTGGAAATGAGCAAGACTAATGGCCATCCAGCCCAATTAGAACCCAGGTTCCTGTCGGAGGATTGTGGAATAAATAGAGTTCTGTGGGGACAGGGTGGGAAGATTATATAGAGGATTTGAATGTCAAATATGAGAATTGTAATACTCTGTCAGAATTCACGAAACTTTTTTGATTAAAGAAGCAATGTGAAAAATAGCAGCCTTCCTGTGGAATGAATATGGGGTTAAAAGGAAACATAGTAGTGTCAAAAGACAAAATTGCAACAATTCAAAAGATCTAATTGACTTATTAGTGACTCATGAATCAGTGGCGTTTCTTCCAAAGATCTAGCAAAGGCTCTCCAATGAATTATGCTTAAGAGGTTGGCTTCATAGGCAGAAAAGGGCTGAAGAAAGCAGAAACAGGGAACAAAAAGCTGATTGGTTGTTTCAAAGTTACTTTCCTTATAGGATTAAAGTAGAAAGGACTTCTTTATCATGCCAGCTCAGGGAAACTGGGCCCCTTCTGATTGGCTGCTGTGAATCTCCTGCTTTTGTTTGTTCGTTTTTCTTCAGAAAACTGGCCCTTTTCAATGTTCAGTTTGACTGTGTGTCACCTAGCATAAGTGACTCCATTCTGGTTTGGTCTGGTTTCTTGGGCCTACTGCAGGAGCTCAGTCCAAATCAATGTCCTCATATAAATTTTATTGAACAGTAGTCAAAGTTGATCTCAAGATTTCTAGACTGAGAGCCTGGAAAAGAGTGGTCTGATGGGGAAAAAAGCAGAATTGAAAAGTGCTTCTTGGTGGAAGGGTTTAGAACATACTGTTTAATGGGAAATTCAAGTGGAAATATTTCAAAGCAAAGGTACAGGTTATATGTATTCAGGATTAGAATGGAAAAATCACTGAATTGTAAGCAGGTATTGTAAACATACGTGGAAAATTCTCTCTCTCTCTCTCTCTCTCTCTCTCTCTTTTTAAGTTGAGGCAAGGTCTCTCTCTGTCATCCAGGCTGGAGTGCAGTGGCGTGATCACAGCTCACTGTCCTCAGCCTCCCAGGCTCAAGCAATCTTCCCACCTCAGCCTCCCGAGCAGCTGGGACCACAAGCATATGTTACCATGCCCAGCTAATTTTTTAATTTTTTTTGTACAGACAGTGTCTTGCTATGTTGCCTAGGCTGGTCTTGAACTTCTGGGCTCAAGTTAACTGGCTGCCTCAGCCTCCCGAAGTGCTAGGATTGTAGGCATGAGACACTGCACCTAGCCACAAAGCTTTAAACTTAGAGACCTGAAAAACTATCAAGTATTTTCTGTTGTGTTATAAAATCTAAATAACTTTGAAGACCATGAAATAGCTAACATCATGAAAGTGAGCAGGTTGTTTACACAGGAAGGTTTCCCTTAAGGTATATAGGCAAGGTAGCCCGAGTTGGGTAAGCTGAGGGGACCCTGATCAATATTCAAAATTTAAAAAAGTTTACTGTGGGATGTACTGTTCTACCCTTGGGTGAAGAGATTCTGGAATAGGTGCATGTTTTGGAGAAATCTAGAAATAACTCACACTCTCTTCTATTTCTGTGAGGCCTTAACACCCTGGTTGCTCTTTCCTTCACTGAAATGAGGGAGGTATGCTTGCCCCTGAGGGCAAATGTCTCTGTTGGGGAGGAGAATGTAAACATCATGGATTCAGGTGCCCCAGCCATTCGTCCTTCATGAGATAACCTGGGTAGACTTATCCCTGATCAACTCTTTATCTCTGTGTTTGTTGACTCTGAGCATAGAGATTTCCTGGAGGCCCTAGAAAACAAGGAAGCACCATTTTGAGAGGCTGTGGTTTCCTCTGCTTTGATTTCTCCACCAGTTCCCTCCCATGTGCTTTCTCCCTTCCTGTAGTTTCTGAAAGTTTCTGGTCTACTGATGGAATCTCACCTTGGCTTTCTGTGTTATTGTTTCCTTCTTAAAAGTATATACATTATATTAATTATGTGTGTGTAGGATGAAGGTGAGACATGTGTATTACCATTTCAGAAGGGTTTTGTGTTGAAGGGTAGGCAGATGCATGTATTCAGTTTGCCATATTGAACCTAACACGATGACTAAATTTCAAACCCTGTAATCAGAACCTGTAGCCCACATAAGAAATTGTCCTTATTAAAATAAAGGAACGTTATTAACTAAGAATTCACCATAATCTTGGTTTTCCATAGTTTCTTTTGAGAGTATAAATTTTGTCACATGTCTGAAATCTTTACATGGAAGCTCTGACTCCTGGCCCTTTGGTTGGAGCCCACTTCCACCTGTGAGCTTTGAGTTTATAACAATGTACCTGTAGCTATACAAAAGGCAGGAGGAAGATTGGATTTCAGGATAATGAATAAACTCAGAACTTAAGGTTGACCCAACATGGAACTGGCACTTTACAGAACAGATAAGTACTTTTTTTTTAATATCTAAAGTTTTAGACTTATTTAACATTTCATAGGGACATTTCAGATTACACATATTATATCTAGTATAAAAACAATGTTTTATACTTGTCTTAGTGCTTAAGATGTATAGTCCTTATAAACAATAATAGATACATTGTTGAAGAATGTATCTATTGGATACATTCCATTGGAGCATTGAGAAGATTTAAATTTTATTTCTATACTGTATATTAGACTCTAAGCTTAAGTGAGCTTAATATTAGAAAAAATATATAATAGTATTCATAGCAATATAATAATTGTTGCAGGAAGTCAGGGACCCCGAACGGAGGGACTGGCTGGAGCCACGGCAGAGGAACATAAATTGTGAAGATTTCATGGGCATTTATCACTTCCCAAATAATACTTCCATAATTTCTTACATCAGTCTTTATTTTAATCTCTTAATCCTGTTGTCTTTGTAAGCTGAGGACGTATGTCACGTCAGGACCACTGTGATGATTGTGTTAGCTGTACAAATTGATTGTAAAATGTGTGTTTGAACAATGTGAAATCAGTGCACCTTGAAAAAGAACAGAATAACAGCGATTTTTAGGGAACAAGGGAAGACACCCATAAGGTCTGACTGTCTGCAGGGTCGGGCAAAAAAAGCCATATTTTACTTCTTGCAGAGAGCCTATAAACGGACGTGCAAGTAGGAGAGATATCACTAAATTCTTTTCCTAGCAAATAATATTAATATTAAGACCCTAGGAAAAGAATTGCATTCCTTGGGGAAGGTCTATAAACGGCCACTGTGGGAGTGTCTGTCTTATGTGGTTGAGATAAGGACTGAAATATGCCCTGGTCTCCTGCAGTACCCTCAGGTTTATTAGGGTGTGGAAAAACCTCCCTCCCCCCTCCCCGGTAAATTTGAGGTCAGACCAGTTCTCTGCTCTCGAACTCTGTTTTCTGTTGTTTAAAATGTTTATCAAGACAATACGTGCACAGCTGAACATAGACCCTTATCAGTAGTTCTGTTTTGCCTTTTGTCCTGTTTCCTCAGAAGCATGTGATCTTTGTTCTCCTTTTTGCCCTTTGAAGCATGTGATCTTGTGACCTACTCCCTGTTCTTGCACCACCTCCCCTTTTGAAATCCTAAATAAAACTTGCTGGTTTTGCAGCTCAAGTGGGCATCATGGTCCTACCGATATGTGATGTCACCCCTGGCGGCCCAGCTGTAAAATTCCTCTCTTTGTACTCTTTCTCTTTATTTCTCAGACTGGCCAACACTTAGGGAAAATAAAAGAACCTACATTGAAATATTGGGGACGGGTTCCCCCAATAAAATACTGGGGACAGGTTCCCCCGAGAAATAATCACACGTATTTCAGTATATTAAAAATGTGTTGGGAGACAAGTATGTATTTGGATTTCAAATGTTATCTAATTATTCTCTTTAGTATCTAATCTAAATGTCCTGTTTTTTTTTTTTTTTTTTTTTTTGGAGATAGAGTTTCACTCCTGTTGCCCAGGCTGGAGTGGCAATGGGGCGATCTTGGCTCACCACAACCTCTGCCTCCTGTGTTCAAGCGATTCTCCTGCCTCAGCCTCCCAAGTAGCTGGGATTACAGGCATACATCACCACGCCTGGCTAATTTTTATTTTTTTTTATTATACTTTAAGTTCTAGGGTACATGTGCACAACATGCAAGTTTGTCACATGTGTATACATGTACCGTGTTGGTTTGCTATACCCATTAACTCGTCATTTACATTAGGTATTTCTCCTAATGCTACCCCTTCCCCATCACACCACCACATGACAGGCCCCGGTGTGTGATGTTCCCCACCCTGTGTCCAAGTGTTCTCATTGTTCAATTCGCACCTATGAGTGAGAACATGTGGTGTTTGGTTTTCTGTCCTTGCAATAGTTTGCTGAGAATGATGGTTTCCAGCTTCATCCATGTCCCCGCAAAGGACATGAGCTCATCCTTTTTTATGGCTGCATAGTATTCCATGGTGTATATGTGCCACATTTTCTTAATCCAGTCTATCATTGATGGACATTTGGGTTGGTTCCAAGTCTTTGCTATTGTGAATAGTGCTGCAATAAACATGTATCTGCATGTGTCTTTATAGTAGCATGATTTATAATCCTTTGGGAATATACCCAGTAATGGGATGGCTGGGTCAAATGGTATTTCTAGTTCTAGATCCTTGAGGAATCACCACACTGTCTTCCACAATGGTTGAACTAGTTTATACTCCCATCAACAGTGTAAAAGTGTTCCTATTTCTGCACATCTTCTCCTGCATCTATTGTTTCCTGACTTTTTAATGATTGCCATTCTAACTGGTGTGAGGTGATATCTCATTGTGGTTTTGATTTGCATTTCTCTGACGACCAGTGATGATGAGCATTTTTTTTCATGTGTCTGTTGGCTGCATAAATGTCTTCTTTTGAAAAGTGTCTGTTCATATCCTTTGCCCACTTTTTGATGGGGTTGTTTAATTTTTTTCTTGTAAATTTAAGTTCTTTGTAGATTCTGGATATTAGCCCTTTGTCAGATGGGTAGATTGCAAAATTTTTCTCCCATTCTGTAGGTTGCCTGCTTACTCTGATGGTAGTTTCTTTTGCTGTGCAGAAGCTCTTTAGTTTAATTAGATACCATTTGTCTATTTTGGCTTTTGTTACCATTGCTTTTGGTGTTTTAGTCATTAAGTCCTTGCCCATGCCTATGTCCTGAATGGTATTGCCTAGGTTTTCCTCTAGGGTTTTTATGGTTTTGGGTCTTATATTTAAGTCTTTAATTCATCTTGAATTAATTTTCCTATAAGGTATAAGGTATAAGGAAGGGATCTAGTTTCAGCTTTCTGCGTATGGCTAGCCAGTTTTCCTAGTACCATTAAATAGGGAATCCTTTCCCCATTTCTTCTTTTTGTAAGGTTTGTCAAAGATCAGATGGTTGTAGATGTGTGGTATTATTTCTGAGGCCTCTGTTCTGTTCCAGTGGTGTCTATCTCTGTTTTGGTACCAGTACCATGCTGTTTTGGTTATTGTAGCCTTGTAGTATAGTTTGAAGTCAGGTAGCGTGATGCCTCCAGCTTCATTTTTTTTGCTTAGGATTCTCTTGGCAATGCGGGATCTTTTTTGGTTCCATATGAACTTTAAAGTACTTTTTTCCAATTCTGTGAAGAAAGTCCTTGGCAGCTTGTTAGGGATGGCATTGAATCTATGAATTACCTTGGGCAGTATGGCCGTTTTCACAATATTGATTCTTCCTATCCATGAGCATGGAATGTTCCTCCATTTATTTGTGTCCTCTTTTATTTCATTTAGCAGTGGTTTGTAGTTTTCCTTAAAGAGGTCCTTCAGATCCCTTGTAAGTTGGATTCCTGGGTATTTTATTCTCTTTGTAGAAATTGTGAATGGGAGTTTGCTCATGATTTGGCTCTCTGTTTGTCTGTTATTGGTGTATAAGAATGCTTGTGATTTTTGCACATTGATTTTGTATCCTGAGACTTTGCTGAAGTTGCTTATCAGCTTAAGGAGATTTTGGGCTGAGACAGTGGGGTTTTCTAAATATACAATCATGTCATCTGCAAACAGAGAGAATTTGACTTCCTCTTTTCCTAATTGTATATCCTTTATTTCCTTCTCTTGCCTATTTGCCCTGGCCCGAACTTCCAACATTATGTTGAATAGGAGTGGTGAGAGAGGGCATCCCTGTCTTGTGCCAGTTTTCAAAGGGAATGCTTCCAGTTTTTGCCCATTCAGTGTGATATTGGCTGTGGGTTTGTCATAAATAGCTCTTATTATTTTGAGATACATTCCATCAATACCTAGTTTATTGAGAGTTTTTAGCATGAAGGGCTGTTGGAATATTGTCAAAGGCCTTTTCTGCATCTATTGAGATAATGGTGTGGTTTTTGTCTTTGGTTCTGTTTATGTGATGGATACGTTTAATGATTCACATGTATTGAACCAGCCTTGCATCCCAGGGATGATGCCAACTTGATCGTGTTGGATAAGCTTTTTGATGTGCTGCTGGATTCAATTTGGCAGTATTTTATTGAGGATTTTTGCATCGATGTTCTTCAGGGATATTGGTCTAAAATTCTCTTTTTTTTCTTGTGTCTGCCAGGCTTTAGTATCAGGATGATGCTGGCCTCATAAAATGAGTTAGAGAGGATTCCCTCTTTCTCTATTGATTGGAATAGTTTCAGAAGGCATGGTACCAGCTGCTCCTTGTACCTCTGGTACAATTCGGCTGTGAATCCATCTGGTCCTGGACTTTTTTTGGTTGGTAGGCTATTAATTATTGCCTCAATTTCAGAGCCTATTATTGATCTATTCAGCTATTCAGCTTCTTCCTGGTTTAGTCATGGGAGGCTGTAGGTCTCCAGGAATTTATCAATTTCTTCTAGATTTTCTACTTTATTTGAATAGAGGTGTTTGTAGTATTCTCTGATGGTAGTTTGTATTTCTGTGGGATCAGTGGTGATATCCCCTTTATCATTTTTATTACATCTATTCTTACATCTATTTTTTACATCTATGTAATTATTACATCCATGTAATACATTTATTACATCTATTTTTATTACAATCTATTCTATACATTGATTCTTCTCTCTTTTCTTCTTTATTAGTCTTGCTAGTCGTCTATCAATTTTGTTGATCTTTTCAAAAAACCAGCTCCTGGATTCATTGATTTTTTGAAGGATTTTTTGTTTCTCTATCTCCTTCATTTCTGCTCTGATCTTAGTTATTTATTGCCTTCTCCTAGCTTTTGAATGTGTTTGCTCTTGCTTTTCTAGTTCTTTTAATTGTGATGTTAGGGTGTCGATTTTGGATCTTTCCCAGTTTCTCCGATAGGCATTTAGTGCTATAAATTTCCCTCTACATACTGCTTTAAGTGTGTCCCAGAGATTCTGTTACGTTGTGTCTTTGTTTTCGTTGGTTTCAAAGAACATCTTTATTTCTGCCTTCATTTCGTTATGTACCCAGTAGTCATTCAGGAGCAGGTTCTTCAGTTTCCATGTAGTTGTGCGGTTTTGAGTGAGTTTGTTGATCCTGAGTCATAAGTTGATCACACTGTGGTCTCAGAGACAGTTTGTTGTGATTGTTGTTCTTTTACATTTGCTGAGGAGTGCTTTACTTCCACGTATGTGGTCAATTTTGTAATAAGTGCGATGTGTTGCTGAGAAGAATATATATTCTGTTGATTTGGGGTGTAGAGTTCTGTAGATGTCTATTACATGCAATTGTTCCAGAGCTGAGTTCACATCCTGGATATCCTTGTTACCCTTCTGTCTTGTTGATCTGTCTAATATTGACCGTGGGGTGTTAAAGTCTCCCATTATTATTGTGTGGGAGTCTAAGTCTCTTTGTAAGTCTCTAAGGACTTGCTTTATGAATCTAGGTGCTCCTGTATTGGGTGCACATATCATATATTTAGGATAGTTAGGTGTTCTTGTTGAACTGATCCCTTTACCATTATGTAATGGCCTTCTTTGTCTCTTTTGATCTTTGTTGGTTTAAAGTCTGTTTTATCAGAGACTAGGATTGCAACCCCTGCTTTTTTTTGTTTTCCATTTGCTTGGTAGATCTTCCTCCATCCTTTTATTTTGAGCCTATGTGCGTCTCTGCATGTGAGATGGGTCTCCTGAGTACAGCATACTGATGAGTCTTGACTCTTTATCCAGTTTGCCAGTCTGTGTATTTTAATTGGGGCATTTAGCCCATTTACATTTAAGGTTAATATTGTTATGTGTGAATTTGATCCTGTCATTATGATGCTTGCTGGTTATTTTGCCTGTTAATTGATGCAGTTTCTTCCTAGCATCGATGGTCTTTCCATCTGGCATGTTTTTGGAGTGGCTTGTACTGGTTGTTCCTTTCCATGTTTAGTGCTTCCTTCAGGAGCTCTTGTAAGGCAGGCCTGGTGGTGATAAAATCTCTCAGCATTTGCTTGTCAGTAAAGGATTTTATTTCTCCTTCACTTATGAAGCTTAGTTTGGCTGGATATGTAATTCTGGGTTGAAAATTCTTTTCTTTACGAATGGCGAATATTGGCCCCCACTCTCTTCTGGCTTGTATGGTTTCTGCCGTGAGGTCTGCTGTTAGTCTGATGGGCTTCCCTTTGTGGGTAACCCGACCTTTCTCTCTGGCTGCTGTTAATATTTTTTCCTTCATTTCAACCTTGGTGAATTTGACAATTATGTGTCTTGAGGTTGCTCTTTTCGAGGAGTATCTTTGTGGTGTTCTCTGTATTTCCTGAATTTGAATGTTGGCCTCCCTTGCTAGGTTGGGGAAGTTCTCCTGGATAATATCTTGAAGCGTGTTTTCCACTTGGTTCCATTCTCTATCCCTTTCAGGTACACGAATCAAACGTAGATTTGGTCTTTTCACATAGTCCCATATTTCTTGGAGGCCTTGTTCGTTTCTTTTTACTCTTTTTTCTCTAAATATCTCTTCTCACTTCATTTCATTCATTTGATCTTCAATCACTGATACCCTTTCTTCCACTTGATCGAATTGGCTACTGAAGCTTGTGCATGTGTCACGTAGTTCTTGTGCCATGGTTTTCAGCTCCATCAGATCAGTTGAGGTCTTCTCTACACTGTTTATTCTAGTTAGCCATTCATATAATCTTTTTTCAAAGTTTTTAGCTTCCTTGCAATGGGTTCTAACATCCTCCGTTAGCTCGGATAATTTTGTTATTACCAACTTTCTGAAGCCTACTTCTTTGAACTCGTCAAAGTCATTCTCCATCCAGCTTTTTTCCGTTGCTGGTGAGGAGCTACGGTTCTTTGGAGAAGGGTCACTCCTGTTTTTAGAACTTTCAGCTTTTCTGCTCTGGTTTCTCCCCGTCTTTGTGGCTTTACCTACCTTTGGTCTTTATGATGGTGACCTACAGATGGGGTTTTGGTGTGGATGTCCTTTTCGTTGATGTCGATGCTATTCCTTTCTGTTTGTTAGTTTTCCTTCTAACAGGCCCCTCAGCTGCAGCTCTGTTGGGGTTTGCTGGAGGTCCACTCCAGACCCTGTTTCCCTGGGTATCACCAGTGGAGGCTGCAGAACAGCAAATATTGCAGAACAACAAATACTGCTGCCTGAACCTTCCTCTGGAAGCTTTGACTCAGAGGGGCACCCAGCTGTATGAGGTGTTAGTCAGCCCCTACTCGGACGTGTCTCCAAGTTAGGCTACATGGGGGTCAGGGACCCACTTGAGGAGGCAGTTTGTCTGTTCTTAGAGGGCAAACACTGTGCTGGGAGAACCACTGCCCTCTTCAGAGCTGTTGGACTGGGACGTTTAACTCTGCAGAAGTTTCAGCTGCCTTTTTTTCACCTATGCCATGCCCCCACAAGTGGAGTCTACAGAAGCAGGGGTCCTCCTTGAGCTGTGGTGGGCTCCACCTATAGCTTCCTGGCTGCTTTGTTTACCTACTCAAGCCTCCACAATGGTGGACCCCCCTCCCCCAGCCAGGCTTGCTGCCGTGCAGTTCGATCTCGGACTGCCGTTCTAACAGTGAGCAAGGCTCCATGGCCATGGGACCCGCTGAGCAAGGTGCAGGATATAATCTCCTGGTGTGCCGTTTGCCAAGACCAGTGGAAAAGCACAGTATTTAGGTGACAGTGTCCCAATTTTTCTGGTACAGTCTGTCAAGGCTTCCCTTGGCTAGGAAAGGGAAATTCCCTGACCCCTTGCACTTCCTGGGTGAAGCGATGCCCCACCCTGCTTCAGCTCGCCTTCCGTGGGCTGCATCCACTGTCCGACTATTCCCAATGAGGTGAACCGGTTATCTCAGTTGGAAATGCAGAAATCACCCGTCTTCTGTGTTGATCATGCTGGGAGCTGAAGACCGGAGCTGTTCGTATTCGGCTGTCTTGGAATGGACCCCTAATTTTTGTATTTTTTAGTAGAGATGAGTTTCTGCATGTTGGTCATGCTGGTCTCAAACTCCCAACCTCATGTAATCCCTCCCCTCAGCCTCCCAAATTGCTGGGATTACAGGCATGAGCCACCACACCCGGCCTATGTCCTGTTATTGAGTATGTCCTTATGTTTCATTTCTTTTTCTTTTAGGTCTCTTTTATTCAAAACCTTGTATTTTGTGTGGAAAGAGTTTACCGTGTGCCTGACTTTGGTGTCTGGGAAAGAGGAAGCAAATATAATAATGGCAGCACAGAGCTACATTCGAGGTAATTTGCTGATTTCTGAGGTTTTTTTTTTAAATTAAATGTATGGAATTTGAATATGAAGAAATACTGAAGCATTAGATTGGAACTGTGATTCATATGTTAATTTGTAGCAATTTTTTTCTACCTATGATGCAGATGGAAGTCACTTAAAATTAACACAAAAGAGCCCATCCTCAGTACCCATAAACAGATGCAAGAAAGAAGTAGGTGTCTTTCCCAACCTCCCAAGGTGTCAGTACATGCATGTCAGCCCTCATCATTAATCCACAGCTTGGCCTTTCTGCTCAACCAAGTCATTTTCTTTTTCCTCTTTGAAATTACCTCATTTGAAATGTCAAGTACATTAAAATTTTCAAACACCAGTTGTATATGCACTGAATATAAAATTTCCTTCCATGTTATAGAGCTGATTTTTATCCTGACCACGGATGCTTACACTGTTCACATAAAACTTAACATTCATTGTTACCAGTAAGGTGTGTGATCAACATCTTGAGCTGTGGTTTACTGCGTTTGAATAAGCAACAATAGCTGATAACTGATGTTAGTAGTTTATGAATTTCTTTTAATCCTTAGGGTTAAGGAAGTAGCTTTAGTGACTGATTGTACCTTTCCTAAATCCTAGTTTTATGCCTAGGAGATCATATTTTAATAACAAAATAATATAGTTCAATAAGTCCTATCCATGTTGCACTAAAAGATGTAAGAATTTAAGCTAAAAGTTATCACTGTCAGTTTGGATTATTGGGACTTAAATTAAGTAAAGAAACAGTCTAGAGGCTGGGCACGGTGGCTCACGCCTGTAATCCGGGCACTTTGGGAGGCCGAGGTGGGCAGATCATGAGGCCAGGAGTTTAAGACCAGCGTGGCCAACATGGTGAAACCCTGTCTTTACCAAAAATACAAAAAGTAGCTGGGCATGGTGGTGCGTGCCTGTAATCCCAGCAACTGGGGAGGCTGAGGCAGGAGAATGGCTTGAATCCAGGAGGTGGAGGTTGCAGTGAACCAAGATTGTGCCACTGCACTCCAGCCTGGGTGACAGAGCAAGACTCCGTCTCAAAAAAAAAAAAAAAAGAAACACTGTAGAAAACACTGGTTGAGAGGAACCCAAAGTGTTCTCTATTTTATGATAGACTAATCACACACACAAAAATAAGATGACATAAGATATTTAGTAAATCAAAAACCAGCTCCAGATCACTAGCTGTGTAACCCTCAACAAGTTATGTGACCTTTTTATGATTCAGTTTTCTCATCTGTAAAATAAAGATAATAATTTCTACTTTATGTCATTGTTATAATAATTGTTGTCATTGTTGTAATAGTATATATAAAGCATTTGAATGTGTAGCATAAGAACTAGAATGCTAGTGTACTTACACATTTAGGAACATTTTAATAAAAAATAAAAAATATTTAAATTAAAAGGACTTTCAGATTAATCCTTAACTGACGTGGAAACCTTTTTCTTTAGGTTTTGTGATTCATGTGAGGAATTTTTACAGTATAGACCAGAATAGTATCAATCAATGAAAAAGTCAGTGAAGTAGAGGAATAATTTGTGGTAAAGCTCATTTCAGACATTAAACAGATTCTGGCAAATACTAAAATTAAATAGATGATGTTATAATTCAGCCCTCATCCAAATTAAGTTCTCAACATTCCAGATTATCACTCAAATTATAAGAAATTTGATCTGATAAGATGATTTTTAAAATTTACCTTTTCAGTACATATGATTATCAGATATCTTCCTTGTTTCTTAATAAGCATTTAATATATGTCAGTCTGACCCCATTGCCATATTTTCAGCGTGAAATATTTGGAATAGAAGTTTTTCTGTTTATAAAAACTGCAGTAGGCCAGATGCAGTGGCTCACACCTGTAATCCAACACTTTGGGAGGCCGAGGCGGGCAGATCACCTGACACCGGGGGTTTGAGATTGGTCTGACCAACATGGTGACAACCTGTCTCTACTTAAAAAAAAATACAAAAATTAGCCTGGCATGGTGGCATGCGCCTGTAATCCCAGCTACTTGGGAGGCTGGGGCAGGAGACTCTCTTGAACCTGGGAGGTGGAGGTTGCAGTGAGCCGAGATCGTGCCACTGCACTCCAGCCTGGGTGACAGAATGAGACTCCATCACAAAAAGAAAGAAAAAAAAATGCTAACCTGTAGTAAACTCAGAAAGAACCTTAAATAAAAGTTACTACTGACCCTAGAAAGTGAGGATGTCAGAAGGTCCCTGGTGACAAAACAGGCTCCAACTTGTATTCCTATAACTGAGGTGGCAGTCTTTAAATTGATTCATTAAGGTTTTTATTTGAAGGCTTGAAAAATCATTATGTGATTTTTTTTTGCCATCGTTTGCATGCAAAATTAATCTTTTTGTAGTAGGCCGATTTTGTTCAAATGGATGAGAGATGAAGTTTGTCGTTTAAGTTTGGATGATGGGTTTTATACTTTATTTGACATTGATGTTCTACTTGTCCATGGTATAACACTTTAAAATTCCCCAAAAGAACTTTAACCTTAATTTTTTATTTGAAAGTTTCCAAGGTCAGGTCTTCACAAGCCTGTTTTGAATCTATCACCTCTGATGTCCAAAGGATACATTTTGAAACTGCGAGAGAGTTGAACTCCATGTGCTCACGGAGGTAGTGATGGCTGTGGTAGTGGGCGGCCAGTATCCTTCTGTGCTTAGGCCTGTGTAGTGGAATGTAGAGCTGCTACTAGCCTGGGATCAAGTCACACCTCTTAGTCTGTCTCTGCTGTAGGATACCCCAGATCTATTTGGGATTAATTGGATCTATTCTTTACTGTTTAGTGCAGTATCCTTGTTATATCCTGAAACTGTTCTCATAATTTCAGACAGCTTGAATTAATACATAGTAATACTTGCCATAAGTACTTACACTTCCCTTTGTAGTCTGACACTTTCTCTGCCGCTCTCCTTTCTCTGTGCTATACAGTCATCTGTACCAGGAGTCAGAGAGAAAACAGAGCATAATCTGAGTGTTGCCTTGGTGCTCACTAGGGCCTCAGCTGAAGTGACTGGCTCTTCCTTTCCTTGCCACACTGAGTACATCCCTTCTAAGCTGTGAATCCATTTTGTCCTGGGCTTTTGTTGGTTGGTAGGCTTTTATTGGTTATTGGCTGTTACGAGGATGATCCTGGCCTCATAAAGTGAGTTAGGGAGGAGTCCCTCTTTTCTGTTGTTTGGAATACTTTCAGAAGGAGTGGTACCAGCTCCACTTTGTACCTCTGGTAGAATTCAGGTGTGAGTCCGTCTGGTCCTGGGGTTTTTTTGGTTGGTAGGCTATTAATTACTGCCTCAATTTCAGAACTTGTTATCAGTCTATTCAGGGATTCGACTTCTTCCTGGTTTAGTCTTGGGAGGGTGTATGTGTCCAGCAATTTATCCATTTCTTCTAGATTTTCTAGTTTATTTGCGTAGAGGTGTTTATAGTATTCTCTGATGGTAATTTCTATTTCTGTGGGATCAGTGATGATATCTCCTTTATCATTTTTTATTGTGTCTATTTGATTCTTCTCTCTTTTCTTCTTTATTAGTCTTGGTAGTGGTCTATTTCGTTAATCTTTTCAAAAAACCAGCTCTTGGATTCCTTGATTTTTTTGAAGGGTTTTTTGTGTCTCTATCTCCTTCAGTTCTGCTCTGATCTTAGTTATTTCTTGTCTTCTGCTAGCTTTTGAATTTGTTTGCTCTTGCTTCTCTAGTTCTTTTAATTGTGAAGTTAGGGCGTCGATTTTAGATCTTTCCCACTTTCTCCTGTGGGCATTTGGTGCTATAAATTTTCCTCTAAACACGGCTTTAGCTGTGTCCCAGAGATTCTGGTACATTGTGTCTTTGTTCTCATTGGTTTCAAAGAACTTATTTATTTCTGCCTTCATTTTGTAA
This sequence comes from Homo sapiens, assembly GCF_000001405.40. Classification (NCBI taxonomy): domain Eukaryota; kingdom Metazoa; phylum Chordata; class Mammalia; order Primates; family Hominidae; genus Homo; species Homo sapiens. The sequence goes on from NC_000016.10 coordinate 47,551,468, forward strand.
TTTACCCAGTAGTCATTCAGGAGCAAGTTCTTCAGTTTCCATGTAGTTTTGTGGTTTTGAGTGAGTTTCTTAATCCTGAGTTCTAATTTGATTGCACTGTGGTTTGAGAGACAGTTTGTTATGATTGCCATTCTTTTGCATTTGCTGAGGAGTATTTTACTTCCAATTATGTGGTCAATTTTAGAATAAGTGCGATGTGGTGCTGAGAAGAATGTATATTCTGTTGATTTGGTGGGGAGAGTTTTGTAGATGTCTGTTAGGTCCACTTGGTCCAGAGCTAAGTTCAAGTCCTGAATATCCTTGTTAATTTTCTGTCTCGTTATTTGTCTAATATTGACAGTCGGGTGTTAAAGTCTTCCACTATTATTGTGTGGGAGTGTAAGTCTCTTTGTAGGTCTCTAAGGGCTTGCTTTATGAATCTGGGTGCTCCTGTATTGGGTGCACATATATATAGGATAGTTAGCTCTTCTTGTTGCATTGATCACTTTACCATTATGTAATGGCCTTCTTTGTCTTTCTTGATCTTTGTTGATTTAAAGTCTGTTTTATCAGAGACTAGGATTGCCACCCTGCTTTCTTTTTTTTCTTTCCATTTGCTTGGTAAATACTCCTCCATCCGTTTATTTTGAGCCTATGTGTCTTTGCACATGAGATGGATCTCCTGAATACAGCACACTGATGGGTCTTTACTCTTTATCCAGTTTTCCAGTCTCTGTTTTTTAACTGGGGCATTTAGCCCATTTACATTTAAGGTTAATATTGGTATTTCAGAATTGGATCCTGTCATTATGATGTTAGCTGGTTGTTTTGCCCGTTACTTCATGCAGTTTCTTCATAGTGTCGATGGTCTTTACCATTTGGCATGTTTTTGCAGTGGCTGGTATTGGTTTTTCCTTTCCATATGTAGTGCTTCCTTCAGGAGCTCTTGTAAGGCAGGCCTGGTGGTGACAAAATCTCTCAGAATTTGCTCGTCTGTAAAGGATTTTATTTCTCCTTTGCTTATGAAGCTTAGTTTGGCTGGATATGAAATTCTGGGTTTAAAATTCTTTTCTTTAAGAATGTTGAGGCCGTGGTGGCTCACACCTGTAATCCCAGCACTTTGGGAAGTCAAGTCAGGTGGATCACAAGGTCAGGAGTTCGAGACCAGCCTGGCCAAGATGGTGATACCTTGTCTCTACTAAAAATACAAAAATTAGCCGAGTGTGGTGGCGGGTGCCTGTAATCCCAGCAATTCGGGAGGCTGAGGCAGAGAATTGCTTGAACCCATTGAAATCAAGAGGCAGAGTTTGTGGTGAGCCAAGATTGTGTCACTGTGACAAAGACCCCATCTCAAACACACACACACACACACACACACACACACACCAAAAAACAAAGAATGTTGAATATTGATCCCCACTCTCTCCTGGCATGTAGGGTTTCTGCAGAGAGATCTGCTGTTAGTCTGATGGGCTTCCCTTTGTGGGTAACCCAACCTTTCTCTCTGGCTGCCCTTAACATTTTTTCCTTCATTTCAACCTTGGTGAGTCTGACAATTATGTGTCTTGGGGTTGTTCTTCTCAAGGAGTATCTTTGTGGTGTTCTCTGTATTTCCTGAATTTGAATTTGTTCAGTCTTGCTAGGTTGGGGAAGTTCTCCTGGATAATATCTCGAAGAGTGTTTTCCAGCCTGGTTCCATTCTCCCCATTACTTTCAGGTACACCAACCAAACATAGGTTTGGTCTTTCCACATAGTCCCATATTTTTTGGAAGCTTTGTTCATTCCTTTTCATTATTTTTTCTCTAATCTTGTCTTCTCGCTTTATTTCATTAAGTTGATCTTCAATCTCTGATATCCTTTCTTCCGCTTGATCGATTCGGCTCTTGATAACGTGTGTATGTGTCATGAAGTTCTCGTACTGTGTTTTTCAGTTTCGTCAGGTCATTTATGTTCTTCTCTAAGCTGGTTATTCTAGTTAGCAATTCATCTAACCTGTTTTCAAAGTTGTTAGCTTCCTTGCATTTGGTTAGAACATAGTCCTTTAGCTCAGAGGAGCTTGTTATTACCCACCTTCTGAAGCCTACTTCTGTCAGTTCATCAAACATTCTCCATCCAGTTTTGTTCCCTTGCTGGCAAGGACTTGTGATCCTTTGGAGGAGAAGAGGCTAATGGTTTTTGGAAGTTTCAGCGTTTTTGCACTGGTTTCTCCCCCTGTTCGTCGATTTATCTACCTTTAGTCTTTTATGTTGGTGACCTTCAGATGGGGTCTCTGAGTGGACATCCTTTTTGTTAAGATATTGATGCTATTCCTTTCTGTTTATTAGTTTTGCTTCTAACAGTCAGGGCCCTCTGCCACAGGTCTGCTGGACTTTGCTGGAGGTCCACTCCAGACCCTGTTTGCCTGGGTATCACCAGCGGAGGCAGCAGAACGTCAAAGATTGCCACCTGTTTCTTCCTCTGGAAGGTTTGTCCCAGAGGGGCACCCGCCAGATGCCAGCTGGATCTCTCCTGTATGAGATATCTGTCGGCCCCTGCTGGGAAATGTCTCCCAGTCAGGAGACACAGGTGTCAGGAACCCACCTGAGGAGGCAGTCTGACCCTTAGCAGACTTGAGGTCCACTGCTCTCTTCACAGCTTGCAAGAAGGGACGTTTAAGTCTGCTGAAGCTGCGCCCACAGCTGCCCCTTCCCTCTGTCCCAGGGAGATGGAAGTTTTATGTATAAGCCCCTGACTGTGGCTGCTGCCTTTTTTTCAGAGATGCCCTACCCAGAGAGGAGGAATCTAGAGAGGCAGTCTGGCTACAGCAGCTTTGCTGAGCTGTGGTGGACTCTGCCCAGTTGGAACTTCCCCATGACTTTGTTTACACTGTGAGGGGAAAACTACCTACTCAAGCCTCAGTAATGGTGTACGCCCCTTTCCCCACCAAGCTGGAGTGTCCCAGGTCAACTTCAGACTGCTGTGCTGGCAACGAGAATTTCAAGCCAGTGGATCTTAGCTTGCTGGGCTCTATGGGGGTGGGATCTGCTGAGCTAGACCACTTGGTGCCCTGGCTTCAGCCCCCTTTCCAGGGGAGTGAACGGTTCTGTCTCCGCGGAGTTCCAGGTGCCACTGGTGTATGAAAAAAATCTCCTGCAGCTAGCTCGGTGTCTTCCCAAATGGCCACCCAGTTTTGTGCTTGAAACCCAGGGCCCTGGTGGTGTAGGCACCTAAGGGAATCTCCTGGTCTGTGTGTTGCAAAGACTATGGGAAAAGTGTAGTATCTGGGCCAGATTGTATCGTTCCTCGCAGCATAGTCCCTCACCGCTTCCTTTGGCTAGGGGAGGGAGTTCCCTGAAGCCTTGCATTTCCTGGGAGAGGCGACGCCCCACCCTGCTTCAGCTCGCTCTCTGTGGGCTGCACCCACTATCTAACCAGTCCCAGTGAGATGAGCTGGATACCTCAGTTGGAAATGCAGAAATCACCCGCCTTCTGCATTGGTCTTGCTGGGAGCTGCAGACCAGAGCTGTTCCTATTTGGCCATCTTGCCAGACTCCTGACTTTTAGCTTTTTAAAGTGGTTTTATGTTCTATTCTCTTCGCTTTTCTAATAAAGAAAGCCATCACTAAAATATCAGATAAATAACAATCATAGCACCACTTTACTCAGTTTAAGAGGCTTTCAGTGACCCTTTTATTCCATATGGTGCTTATTACTTAAGGTAACTACTTAGTCTTCTTAAGTCATTTTTGATATTTTCTTCATCGAACTATGATAGAAGCTACTGTCCAACCATTCTGCTTCATTTTATGTATCTTTGCCATACTGAACAATTCACTTGTATTTTTTGAAACCATAGTACTGTGAAGTCCTTGTTCTTCTAGGAAATGTGATTGGTAGCTCAGGGATTTAAAACAGTGTTAATGAACAGAAGATTGTGAATTTAGTTCTCATGCCTGCCAGTTACTTTTGTGAATTCCATGGTAGGTGTGAAATTAAATAGATAGACCTATCTTTTCCATAAAAGCTTTGATTTATGCAACAAATCACTATCTCCCAAACAAATGTTGCTTTATTTTAGCTCTCTTCAGTGAATATTAGAATAAAGATGTTAAGGTACCATCTTGCAATAATCAAATCAGTCAATGTTCTATTGATATTAGTCATCTGCTATTAATATGTTCAATAGCTTATAATAGAATAATTTAGTTTCTTGAGAGTGTCTTGTACCATTAAAATATTTTGAATTTCTTACAACAATATATATTGCCAACAATAGAAATTGCCATTAAAATGTAAGATCATGTTGGCTTAGGATTGACTTGGCGATGTGGGCTCGTTTTTGGTTCCATATGAACTTTAAAGTAGTTTTTTCCAATTCTGTGAAGAAAGTCGTTGGTAGCTTGATGGGGATGGCATTGAATCTATAAATTACCATGGGCAGTATGGCCATTTTCACGATATTGATTCTTCCTACCCATGAGCATGGAATGTTCTTCCATTTCTTTGTATCCTCTTTTATTTCATTGAGCAGTGGTTTGTAATTCTCCTTGAAGAGGTCCTTCATGTCCCTTGTAAGTTGGATTCCTAGGTATTTTATTCTCTTTGAAGCCATTGTGAATGGGAGTTCACTCATGATTTGGCTGTTTGTCTGTTATTGGTGTCTAAGAATGCTTGTGATTTTTGTACATTGATTTTGTATCCTGAGACTTTGCTGAAGTTGCTTATCAGCTTGAGATTTTGGGCTGAGACAATGGAGTTTTCTAGATATACAATCATGTCATCTGCAAACAGGGACAGTTTGATTTCCTCTTTTCCTAATTGAATGCCCTTTATTTCCTTCTCCTGCCTAATTGCCCTGGCCAGAACTTTTAACACTATGTTGAATAGGAGTGGTGAGAGAGGGCATCCCTGTCTTGTGCCCATATTCAAAGGGAATGCTTCCAGTTTTTGCCCATTCAGTATGATATTGGCTGTGGGTTTGTCATAGATAGCTCTTATTATTTTGAGATATGTCTCATCAATACCTAATTTATTGAGAGTTTTTAGCATGAAGCGTTGTTGAATTTTGTCCAAGGCCTTTTCTGCATCTATTGAGATAATCATGTGGTTTTTGTCGTTGGTTCTGTTTATATGCTGGATTACATTTATTGATTTTCATATATTGAACCAGCCTTGCATCCCAGGGATGAAGCCCACTTGATCATGGTGGATAAGCTTTTTGATGTGCTGCTGGATTCGGTTTGCCAGTATTTCATTGAGGATTTTTGCATCAATGTTCATCAAGGATATTGGTCTAAAATTCTCTTTTTTGGTTGTGTCTCTGCCAGGCTTTGGTATCAGGATGATGCTGGCCTCATAAAGTGAGTTAGGGAGGATTCCCTCTTTTTCTATTGATTGGAATAGCTTCAGAAGGAATGGTACCAGCTCCTCCTTGTACCTCAGGTAGAATTCGGCTGTGAATCCATCTGGTCCTGGACTCTTTTTGGTTGGCAAGCTATTGATTATTGCCACAATTTCAGATCCTGTTATTGGTCTATTCAGAGATGCAACTTCTTCGTGGTTTAGTCTTGGGAGGGTGTATGTGTCAAGGAATTTATCCATTTCAGAAATATAGATCAATGGAACAGAACAGAGCCCTCAGAAATAATGCCGCGTATCTACAACTACTTGATCTTTGACAAACCTGAGAAAAACAAGCAATGGGGAAAGGATTCCCTATTTAATAAATGGTGCTGGGAAAACTGGCTAGCCATATGTAGAAATCTGAAACTGGATCCCTTCCTTACACCTTATACAAAAATTAATTCAAGATGGATTAAAGACTTACACGTTAGACCTAAAGCCATAAAAACCCTAGAAGAAAACCTAGGCATTACCATTCAGGACATAGGCATGGGCAAGGACTTCATGTCTAAAACACCAAAAGCAATGGCAACAAAAGCCAAAATTGACAAATGGGACCTAATTAAACTAAAGAGCTTCTGCACAGCAAAAGAAACTACCACCAGAGTGAACAGGCAGCCTACAAAATGGGAGAAAATTTTCGCAACCTACTCATCTGACAAAGGGCTAATATCCAGAATCTACAATGAACTCAAACAAATTGACAAGAAAAAAACAAACAACCCCATCAAAAAGTGGGCAAAGGACATGAACAGACACTTCTCAAAAGAAGACATTTATGCAGCCAAAAAGCACATGAAAAAATGCTCACCATCACTGGCCATCAGAGAAATGCAAATCAAAACCACAGTGAGATACCATCTCACACCAGTTAGAATGGCGATCATTAAAAAGTCAGGAAACAACAGGTGCTGGAGAGGATGTGGAGAAATAGGAACACTTTTACACTGTTGGTGAGACTGTAAACTAGTTCAACCATTGTGGAAGTCAGTGTGGCGATTCCTCAGGGATCTAGAACTAGAAATACCATTTGACCCAGCCATCCCATTACTGGGTATATTCCCAAGGAATTATAAATCATGCTGCTATAAAGACACATGCACACATATGTTTATTGCGGTACTATTCACAATAGCAAAGACTTGGAACCAACCCAAATGTCCAACAATGATAGACTGGATTAAGAAAATGTGGCACATATACACCATGGAATACTATGCAGCCATAAAAAATGATGAGTTCATGTCCTTTGTAGGGACATGGATGAAATTGGAAATCATCATTCTCAGTAAACTATCGCAAGGACAAAAAACCAAACACTGCATGTTCTCACTCATAGGTGGGACTTGAACAATGAGAACACATGGACACAGGAAGGGGAACATCACTCTGGGGACTGTTGTGGGGTCGGGGGAGGGGGGAGGGATAGCATTAGGAGATATATCTAATGCTAAATGACGAGTTAATGGGTGCAGCACACCAGCATGGCACAGGTATACATATGTAACTAACCTGCACGTTGTGCACATGTACCCTAAAACTTAAAGTATAATAATAATAAAATAAAAATAAATTTAAAAAAATGTGAGGTCATGTTATGATTGTGTTTGGGTTTCTAAATAGCTTGCTGTTGCCAGAGATTTGAATAACTAGTGGATAATAAATTAACATATTTGTGAATTTTACTCTAGTTCAGATACAGTATTTGTTTCTGTCTTTTGTTTGTTTTTGTTGTTTTGAGACAGAGTCTCACTCTGTTGCTCTGGCTGGAGTGCAGTGGTGCGATCTTGGCTCACTGCAACCTCTGCTCTTGGGTTCAAGCAAGTCTCCTGCCTCAGCCTCTCTAGTAGCTGGGATTACAGGCATGTGCTACCAAGCCTGGAGAATATTTGTATTTGTAGTAGAGACAGGGTTTCGCCATGTTGGCCAGGCTGGTCTTGAGCCCCTGACCTCAAGTGGTCTTGCCCACCTTGGCCTCCCAAAGTGCTGGGATTACAGGCATGAGCCACTGTGCCCAGCCTTGTTTCTTTTAAAATGCCACATTTAGATGACAATTTCCAAATTCATCCCATAGCTGTTTTTTTATACCATTAAAGACAGAACCTTGGACTGGCTACATTGTGTTTCTAAGTACTGAATTTCATATGTGTTCGCCTTTTGAATAAGTTATTTTCTCTTTACATTTCAAAATACTGTAAATATTTAATAAAATATGTACCTCACACTGTAGGAGGAAGTTTTATGGTATTACTGGGTTAACTGAATGTAAGTTTTTATGCATTGGGGCCTAAGGGAGCTCCTGGGTCATCGGGAACACATTCTTAAGGAAGAAAGCAAGTTAACAATGAATGTTTTTACACAAACAGTCCAAATATACAACCCCAAGGGGCTTTTCTAACCCTTAGGGTCTAAGGCTCTAAAATTCTTGTTCCAGTACTACCGTAATTTGGTTACTATTTTACAGTATTCAAAATTGTAATTGGCCTAATTGTTCTGGGTACATGGTAGAGTTAGCAAACTGACTTAAGCTTTTTTCCAGTTACCTATTGTTGCAAATAAACCCAAACTTAGAGGCATAAAAACAACAACAATCTTTTATTATTATTGTCTTACATTATTATTTATTATTAAGATGGTAGACTGGGTTAAGCTAGGCAGTTTTTGCTCAGGGTCTCTAATGTGTTTGTCATCATTGTGACTGGGGCTGGGCTTATCTTGAAGGCTTTGTCACTCAGGTATCTGAGTGTTGACTAAGACCTTGGCAGGACCTGTCCACTGGAAGGCCTATGTGAAGTTTTTCCATATAGGCTTCCTAACAGCATGGTGGCTGGGCTCCAAGGCCCAGAATCCCAGGCAGAGAGTTAGGTGGGAGCTGTTTTCCTGTCTATGACCTAGACTCAGAAGTCATGCAGTGTAAACTCCACCACATCCTATTTGTTAGAGTCACTAAGGCCAGCCCATAGTCTAGCAGGGGATATTAGACTCCATCTCTTGATGGGGAGGAGTGTCAAAGAATTTCAGATGTGCTTTAAACCACCACGGGTCCTTCACTTGGATTTTACTCCTTTAGGTTCCAGCCCTTGTTATTTCTCTCCAAAAAAAACTTTGGACCTGCAAAGAGCCTGCTGCCATTAGTGTGCTAACAGTACCATATGAATTGTCATGAAATTTGTTTAACCTGTGGAAGCAAGTACTTCCTTCACTGGCAGGGAACCTTCACTAGCAGTGATATGCTAGGCTGCAGATTAGATTCATTAGGATAGTATCTTAAATCCAGATTATTGGCTCAATTATTCTTGAAAAATCAGGGTAAATTGGTCAGCATAGATTCTAGTAGGGTACAAAGTTTTCACCAAAGAGCAGAAGTAAGAGTGGATTTTAAAGCCGCTCTGGGCTTGTTCCCTCATCTTAAAAGTAGAGGAGATTAACAAAAGAAGTGTAAGACTTGTATAGGTTCTTGTACTTGTATATTGAAAACTGCAAAGAAATGTTGAGAGATATTAAAGGAGACCTAAATAAATGGAAAGACATCCTATGTTTATGTAATCTATGTAAAAAATCCAACTATCTTTGTTGCAGAAATTGACGAGCTGATTATAAAATGCACAGGAAAGGTTAGGGAACCAGGCTAGCCAAAACAACCTCGAAAAAGAACAGAACTGGACTCACACTTTTCAATTTCAAAACTTACTGCAAAGCTACAATAATTAAAATAGTGTGGTTCTGGCATAAGGACAAGGAGATCGGTGAAACAGAATTAAGAGTACAGAAATAAACCCACACATCTGTAATCAATCGATTTTCATGAATGTGCAAAGACAATTCAGGGGGAAAGGATAGTTTTCAACAAATAGTGCTGGGACAGCTGGATGTCCACATACAGAGGAATGAATCTGGACCCCTATTTCACACCATATACAAAAATTAATATGAAAGAGATCAAAGACCTATACCTATATGTAAGAGTTAAAAGTATAGAATTCTTTTTTACTCCAAAAATTTATATATTTATTTTATATCAATTGAAAAGTAATAATATGTTATGATAGGGATGGAAAGATAGAAGATATATTTTGTGGGAAGATTTTTGCAAATATGTATATATGGTATAAGGAAAAGGAAAATGGGATGACCTGGGATGTTGGAAGGTGCTCATTCGGTGTTCAACTAAAAACAAGTGATTTAAAAACATGATCCATGGTGGTTGTCTTAGTTTAAGGTGCCACATGTTCATTCTTTTGCCAAGAAATTTACTTATTTTTGGAAAGAACCTGAGGATTTAATCCAAATTCAGCAAAATTCTGCAAACATTTTGGGAAAATTGTTCTCAGTGGAATACTTTAGGAAATGAAAGAAAAGGAAGAGTCAAATGTGACTATGGAGATTTGAATCTTCAGTAACTTAAAAAACAGTGGGCAGGTAGCTGGGTGGACCCATTCCAGATGGGCCTGGGCATCATTGTACAGTTGTGATTTTCTTGTAAACCACCATGACTCTCACTGGCTTGGATTAAAGAGGTTGCTCTGTTTTCACTAAAGCCTTCTGGCTATTATCACAACTCTGAGTTCTTCCCAAAGAGGAAAGTGATGTCTTTTCCAAATATCATGAGGCGGTTTTCAATGAGAAATTGTACAAGAGAAACCTTTTTTGTGAATTCTCTTTTTTAAAGTCAGAGTCATCACACTGGACTTTTTGTGAATGCATTTTCTAGTTTTGAGCTGCAGGAAGTGGACAGCTGAAGAATGCTTGGGGCTATACATGTTGATAAATTATAAGCTTTTATCTGATTGGATGAGGAATATTCAGTGTGTACACTCCAAAAAGGTATCTCAAGAGAACAACATTGGCAGCTGGTCTAAAAGCCTCTGGATAGCAATTATTTTCTCCTCTTCATTCCCTTGATGAATACACCAAGCCATTCATCATAGAGACTGGATGAAAATATACTTCCTTGGATATTCTTTCATTTAAGAATGATGTTTCCAGAAGAATGGACTCAAATTGTCCAAGTTCACTTTATCTGCAGAATTTAGTTTCTCCTTTAGGGCTCGATATGATTTTATATTTGCCAATTTTCTGAAGATACCTTCTGTTGAGTGGCCCTTTTTGGTTGCTTTTTAAAAAGGCATATCCAGAGAGGGGTGGGTATGTTGTCATTCTCACAAACATCTGTGAGAGAAGCTCCAAAGAGCTGGCCTAGCTTTAAGGCTGGTAGAGTCATGCATAGGTTGTCCTGGCAAGTGTTAGACCCCTGCCAAAAGAAGGGCTCCTGAAAGATGGAAGGAGAGATGGAGTTCACTGTCCCTGTGGCAGGAGCATAATGGCTTGAGGATGGCTCATTTTAATTCTGTAAGAATGCTTGTGCCCAATGAGTGGACATGGGGCCTTTTTCATGCCAGAAGTGACCCACAGCTGGTAATCTTCAGAGCCCAAAATGTGGCCACGAAGTTCGCCATGGGCCAGCCCAAGAGAAGGGACCTCCCAGTAGAGATGTGGCCATTCCCCACTTTGTCCACATAGCTAGCTGTCCACAGGTTGTTCAGCACTATTTTATTTTTTATCTTAAAGGATTTCCTGCACTTGGTAGACAAAAGCAACAAATTGCTGAACAAAAAGAGATGCAGCTTCTGCCTCCTCCAGCCTCTGTTGAGTTGAGAATCAGCAGGGTAAGATCAGCACCCTCCAGTGATGTGGTTTTGTCATTGTGGGTGTCCATCTTGGAAAAAGGACTTTCCCTTAGTTAAAAATACATTATTGCTTAAACATGCTAACAGTCATCTGAACCTTCAGTGAGTTGTAAACTTCTTGCTGATGGAAGGTCTTGCCTCAGTCTTGATGGCTGCTGACTGATCAGGCTGATGGTTGCTGAAGATTGGAATGGCTGTGACACTTTCTCAAAATAAGACAACAATGAAGTTTGCCACATTGAAGGACTCTTCCTTTCACAATAGATTTCTCTGTAACACATGATGCTGTTTGATAGCATTATACCCACATTAGAACTTTTCTCAAAATCAGAGTCAGTCCTCCCAAACCCTGCCACTGCTTTATCAGCTAAGTATGTGAAGCATTCTAAATCCTTTGTTGTCAACTCAATAATATTCACAGCTGTTTACCAGGGGTAAATTTCATCTCAAGAACCACTTTCTTTGCTCATCCATAAGAATCAATTCCTCATCCATTCAAGTTTTATCTTGAGTTTACAGGAATTTAGTCTCATTTTATGGTCCACTTCTAATTCTAGTTCTTTTGCTATTTCCACCACATCTGCTCACTCTTCTTCCATTGAAGTCTTGAACTCCTCACGCTTATCCATGACATTTGGAATCAGCTTCTTCCAAACTCCTGTTAGTATTGACATTTTGACTTCCTCTCATGAATCTTGAATGTTCTTAGTGGCATCTAGAATGGCGAGTCCTTCCCTGATTTTCAGTTTACTTTGCTCAAATCCATCAGAGGAATCACTATCTATGGCAGCTGTTGCCTTGCAAGACATTTCTTAAATAATAAAACTTGAAAGTAAAATTAATCCTTGATCCATGGAACTGCAGAATGAATGTTGTGTTAGTAGAAATGAAAACATTAATCTCCTTGTGCATCTCCATTAGAGCTCTTGGATAACCAGGTATATTGTCAATAAGTAGTAATATTTTCAAGGGAATCATTTTTTTCTGAGCATCAGGTCTTACCAGTGGGCTTAAAATATTCAGGAAACCATGCTGTAAAAAGATGTGCTGTCATTCAGACTTTGTTGTTCCATTTCTAGAGCATAGAGTAGGTTTAACATTCTTTCTTAATATTTGAACCCTACTTTCTTTTTTTCTTTTTCCTTTTAAAATTGTATTTCTATTTAGGGATACAAATGGTTTTTGGTTACATGGATGAATTTTATACTGAGGAAGTCTGGGCGTTAAGGGTACCCATCACCCAAATAATGTACATTGTACTCAGTATGTAATTATTTATCCCTCAGCCCCCTCTCACCCTCCAGTCTTCTGAGCCTCCAGTGTCCCCTATACCATTCTGTATGCCTTTGTGTACCCTTCATTTAGCTCCCACTTGCAAGGGAGAAGATGTGGCATTTGGTTTTTCATTCCTGAGATACTTCACCTAGGATAAGGCCCCCAATTGCATCCAGATTGCTGCAAAAGACATTATTTCATTCTTTTTTTTTTTTTTTTTTTTGGCTGAGTAGCAATCCATGGTGTGTGTGTGTTTGTCACATTTTTTTTTAATCCACTTATGGGTTGATAGGCACTTAAGTTGATTCTATGTCTTTATAATTTTGAATTATGCTGTGATAAATATACACATGCAGGTATCTTTTTTATATAATGACTTTTTTTCCTTTGGTAGATACCCAGTAGTGGGATTGCTGGATTGAATGGTAGATCTACTTTTAGTTCTTGGAGAAATTTCCATACTGTCTTTCATAAATATCGTACTAACTTTCATTCCCATCAATAGTGTATAAGTGTTCCCGTTTCACTGCATCCACACCAACATCTGTTGTTTTTTGACTTTTTAATAATGGTAATTCTGGCTGGAGTAAGGAGGTATCTCACTGTGGTTTTAATATGCATTTCCCTGATGATTACTGACATTAGTGGCATTTTTTTCATGTTGGTTGGCCATTTGTGTATCTTTTGAGAAATGTCTGCTCTTGTCGTTTGCCCACTTTTTAATGGGATTTTTTCCTTTCTTGCTGATTTGCTTGAGTTCCTTATGGACTCTGTAGATACCCTGTAGTGGGATTGCTGGATCCATTGGTGGTTTAGTTACATGTCATTTACAGGTTTTTGTTACATTTGCTTTTGGGGTCTTAGTCATAAGTTCTTTGCCTAGGCCAATGTCCAGAAGAGTTTTTCCAGGTTTTCTTCTAGAATTTTTATGATTTCAGGTTTTAGACTTATGTCTTTAATCCATCTTGAGTTAATTTTTGTATATAGTGAAAGATAGGAATCCATTTTCATTCTTTGCATGTTGTTGTTCAATTTTCCCAGCACCATTTATTGAATGGAGTATTCTTTCCCCAGTGTGTGTTTTTATGTGCTTTGCTAAAGATGAGTTGGTTTTAGGTATTTGGCTTATTTCTGGGCTGTTTATTCTGTTCCATTGGTCTGTGTGTCTTTTTTTTTTTTTCCCCCAGGAGATGGTGAGTTTTATTTTGTCTTGTCTGGATAGAGGTTTGATTTGCTCTCTAATGTTCCAGGGTGCAGAGAAAGTAGGAGAAAGCACAGGATGTTGAGGTCTATTTGGTGTAATCTTCTCCCTCGTTTTCATTTTCACCATCAACGGAGACAGCAGCATACTTGCTTGCAGAACTGAACTTGGAAGCTAGATTTTCCTTGGGTTTATATGGCTCAGGTGCAGATCTGGACTCTTGATCCTTTTTGCCATCTTTCCTATCTGACTCCGTTCAGTGGTCTTTGTTCCCTCTGTCTCCTGGACCATGGCTAGAGTTCCCAGTTTGGTCTTTGGGGACATTCATCCCATCTACTTTATTTTCATCTTTTCTTGCTGTTCCTTCCTCAGATGGTTGAGCTGGAGCTACTTTTCCCCCACCACTTGTAGGGATTGCTGCTCTGTATCTGAGCTCTGTGATAGAGCAGGAGGGTTAGAACTTCACTTCACCCAAGCATTCTCCTTTGGTGGAGGGGCTGGCATTACCTTTAGGGGCTGATCAGGTTTGGGAGTTTTAGAAGTTGGAGAGTGACAGTCTTCCTCCTTATTGAGTGTTTCATTTTCTAAAGACTTCTCACTCTCCCTCGTGCATTTCTGCCGGATGTGGCAGAGGTCCCGGTCTGTGATGACTCACTTCCTGTCCTCGACCATCCCTGTTCCTGAGTTTCTTCACTTTGCCAGTTTGGGTGTCTCTCCCGAGGCCATCGTTCTAGTTTTGGCTCATCCAGCTGATGCTGCAACTTCTCTTGTTCCTTCTGTAGCTGTTCTACTTCTCTTTCTCTAGCAGCTGTGTCAATGGGCTTTGTCCCTCCAAAGACAGAAGCAGCTTGACTGGACTGGGAGGTACTAGCAGAGGAATTATCTTCCTTAGGAGTACTCTGAGGCTTTAGATTCAGTTTGGGTCTTTGTGGGGGACCTCTATCATCACGCCTATAATCATCCCAAGAGTAATCATCTCTGGAGCTCTATGACCGATCATCCCGTCTGTTGGATCAGTCTTCATCACAGTCCTCACCTCCTCTGTAGTCATCATCCCTGTGGTACCCACTGCCAAATGCTTTTTTGCCATTGCCTATCTGGGAATCATAGCCTCTATCATAATCTCTGCTGCCTTGGTCATCATAGCGATCCCAGTCGCCGTATCAATCCATATCCCTGCATGGGCCATCCCAATACTCATCACAATACCAATCTGAATCATAACGATCTCGATACTTGTCTCCAAAGCTATCATCACCTCTTCTAGGTGAGTAGTCATCAAAGCTGTCTGTGGCAGGACGAGCCCTTCAGTCTGTATCTGTTTTGTCATAATCCCCATTTCTATCACAGCCAGAAGAATGATCATTCCTGTCTTTATCCTGTGCTTGATCAGCAACGTCCACTCAAATTCTCCTGTTACCTAGAGACTCTTCATTGAGACTCAGGGCACTGAGCAGGGAATCCAGGTCCTCAAATTCAGCATAACCAAAACCTTTCAACTTCTCTGGATTGCTGGGTTCACGTGGTAAAAGCACTGCACTGATATTTAGTCCTCTAAAGAATTCTTTAATGTACTCTTCTGTCACATCATAGGGTAGGTTCCCTAGAAAAGCAATGTAGGGTGACAATTTGGGAAGATGGCTCCAGTCGATATTGGGTTCCCAAGCAGCCCCTGGAGCAGTGGGAAGGATGGAACGGTCAATTGGAGGTGCCCTATACACATCTTCATCATTACTGTTCCAAGTTGTTGAAATATCTCCTTCCAGGTCATCTGTTTCATGAGCCCAGCTGACTGGTTTGGAAACATAAGTGCTTCCTCCACCAGTCCCTCCATCCTCAGCCAGAGAGTCTGTTAGGGAGAGAGTCTTCCCCTTCTTATTCTTCTTTTTTGCTTAGTTCTTGAAGGTCAATAATGGGTCACACTGGAAACTGGTATTGTTGAGGCTGCCATGTTGGGAGAGGCTTTGTGTGTCTATTTTTGTACTGTTTTAGTTACTATAGCCTTGTAGTATAATTTTAAGTCAGGTAATGTGATATCTCCAGATTTCTTCTTTTTGCTTTGGATTACTTTGACTATTCAGGATGGTTTTTGGTTGCATATGAACCTTAGGATTGTTTTTTTCTAAATCTGTGAAAAAATGACCTTAGTATTTTGATAGGAGTTGCATTGAATCTATAGATTGCTTTGGGCAGTATTGTCAGTTTCACAATATTGATTCTTCCAATCCCTGAGCATGGCATGTTTTTCCATTTGTGTCATCTTTGATTTCTTTCGTCACTGTTTTGTAGTTCTTTTTTTTTTCTTCGCAACTATTGTAAATGGGATTGAGTTATTGATTTGATTCTCAGCTTGTTCGTTATTGATACATAGCAGTGCTATGGATTTGTGTACTTTGATTTTGTAACCTGAGACATTACTGAATTTATAAAATCTGGGAGTCTTTTAGAGGAGTCTTTAGAGTTTTCTAGGTGTAAAATCAGAGATATAAAAAGAGATAGTTTGACTTCCTCTTTTTCAATTTACATGCCCTTTATTTCTGTCTTTTGCCTGATTGCTCTGGCTAGGACTTCCAGTGCTATGTTGAATAGAAGTGATGAAAGCAGGCATTCTTGTCTTGTTCTAGTTCTTAGGCGGAAAGGCTTTCACCTTCTCCCTATTCAATATGATGTTGGCTGTGGATTTGTCTTATTTTGGCTTTTGTAATTTTAAGGTATATTTCTTCTATGCCTAGTTTGTTCAAGGTTTTTATCATGAAGGGATGCTGGATTTTATCGAATGCTTTTTCCGCATCTTTTAAAATAATCGTATGGTTTCTGTTTTTTATTCTGTTTATGTGATGAATCAATTTATTGACTTGCATTTGTTGAACCATCCTTGTATCCCTGGGATGAAGCCCAGTTGATCAGGTTGAATTATCTTTTCAACGCGCTGTTGGATTCAGTTTGCTAGTATTTTATTGAGGCTTTTTGCATCTGTATTTATTAGGAATTTTGGTCTGTATTTCTTTATTGTTGTTGTTATGTCCTTTCCTTGCTTTGGTATCAGGGTGATACCGACTTTGTAGAATGAGTGAGGGAATCCTGCTCTGTCTTTTGGAATAGTTTTACTAGGATTGGTACCAGTTATTTGAAATGTCTGGTAGAATTCAGCTGTGAATATGTCTGATCCTAGTCTTTATCTTGTTGGGAGATGTTTTGTTACTGATTGAATCTCACTCCTTGTTACTGATCAGCTCAAGATTTCTTTATCTTTTTGATTCAAGCTTAGGAGGTTGTGTGTTTCTAGGAATCTATCCATTTCCTGTAGATTTTCTAGCTTGTGCACATAGAAGTGTTCATAGTAGTCTTGCATGATCTTTTGTATTTCTGCAGTATCAGTTATAATGTCTGCATTTTCATTTCTGATTCAGTTTGTTTGAATCTTCTCTCTTCTTTTCTTGATTAGCTAGTGGTCTGTCATTTTTGTTTATGTTTTCAAAGAACCAACCTGTTGTTTCATTGATCTTTTGTATTGTCTTTTGGTTTCAATTTCATTTAGTTCTACTCTGATCTCTCTTGTTTTTCTTCTGCTAGCTTTGGGTTTGGTTTGTTGTTTCTCTGGTTTCTTGAGGTGTGACATTATGTTGCCAGTCTTTGATCTTTCTGTCTTTTTGATGTAGGCATTTAGCATTATAAACTTTTCTCATAGCGCTGCTTTTGCTGTATCCCAGGAATTTGGGTAACTTGTGTCACTGTTATTATTCATTTCAAAATTTTTTAAAATTTCATCTTGATTATATTGTTGACTCAAAAATCATTCAGGAGCATATGGTTTAATTTTCATGTATTTGTGTAGTTTTGAGAGTTCCCCTTAGAATTAATTTCTAGTTTTGTTCTGCTGTAGTCTAAGAAGATACTTGGTATGATTTTGATTTTTTAAATTTATTGCGATTTGTGTTGTGTCCTGTTATATGGTCTATCTTGGAAAATGTTCCATGTGCTGATGAGAATGTATACCCTGCAGTTTTCAGGTAGAATGTTCTGTGAATGTCTGTTAGGTCCATTTGTTTTAGAGTCCAGTTTATGTCCAGTGTTTCTTTGTTGACATTCTACCTCAGTGATCTATGTAGTGCTGTCAATGAAGTGTTGAAGTCTCCTACTATTATTGTCTTGCTGTCTACCTCTCTTCTTAGGTCTAGCAGAATTTGTTTGATGACTATGGGTGCTCCAGTGTTAGCTGCATATGTATTTAGAATTATTATATCTTCTTGTTGAATTGTTCTGTTATAATATAATGACTTTCTTTGTCTTTTTATTTAAAGTCTGTTTTTTCTCATATAAAATAGCTACTCCTGCTCTCTTTTGGTGTCCATTCATGTGTAATATATTTTTTTCCATATCTTTCCTTGACTCTACAAGAATCTTTCTATGGGTTAGGTGGGTCTCTTGAAGGCAGCAGATGTTTGGTCTGTGTTTTTTAAAATCCATTCTGCCAATCTGTATCTTTTAAGTGGGGCATTACACCATTTACATTCGAAAATAGTATTGATATGGAGCTACTCTTGCAGTCATCATATTGATTGTTACCTAGTTGCTTTGTTTTCTTTACTGTGTTATTGTTATAAGCCCTTTCATTTATGTATGTGTCTATATATGTATTTATTTGTTGGGATGGAGTCACTCTGTCACCCAGGCTGGAGTGCAGTGGCATGATCTTGGCTCACTACAAACTCTGCCCTCCCAGGCTTAAGCGATCCTCCTACCTCAGCCTCCCCAGTAGCTGGGACTTACAGGTGCACGCCACCACGCCTGGCTAATTTTTGTATTTTTAGTAAAGACGATGTTTCACCCATGTTGACCAGGCTGGTCTTGAACTTCTGACCTCAAGTGATCCACCTGCCTCGGCCTCCCAAAGTGCTGGTATTACAGGCATGAGCCACCATGCCTGGCCTAGCCCTTTCATTTAGATGTTTAGAACTCCATTGAGCATTTCTTATAGAGCTGGCCTACTGGTGACGGATTCCCTCAGCATTTGCTTTTCTTTGAAAGTCTTTATTTTGCCTTCATTTCTTAAACTTAGTTTTGCTCTGTGCAGAATTCTTGTCTGACAGCTCTTCTGTTTGAGGAGACTAAAGATAGGACCTGAATCCCTTCTGCCTTACAAGATTTCAGCTGAGAAGTTAGTCTGATAGTTTTTCCTTTATCATTTATTTGATGCTTTTATCTCACTGCCCTTAGAATTCTTGCCTTTGCATTGGCTTTAGATAGCCTGATGACCATATGCCTTGGTGATCTCCTTTTTTCAATGAATCTCCCAGGAGTTTTTTGAGCTTCTGGTATTTGGATGTCTAAATCTCTAGCAAGATTAGGAAAGTTTTTGTCAGTTATTCCTTGAAGTAGGTTTTCTAAACTTTTTGCTTTTTCTTCTCCCTGAGGAACAACTTTGATTCTTAGATTTGGATGTTTTACATGGTCCCGTATTTCTTGGAGATTTTATTTGTTTCTTTGTATTCTTTTTCCTTAATTTTTGTCTGACTGGTTTAATTTGAAAGCCTTGCCTTCAGACTCTGAAATTCTTTCTTCTACTTGATCCAGTCTGTTGTTAAAAATTTCCACTGCATTTTGTAACTCCCTAAATGAGTCCTTCATTTCCAGAAGTTCTGTTTTTTTTTTAATATCGACCTCTCTAGAAAATTTCATTCATATCCTGTATTTTTTTTTTATTTCTTTATATTGGTTTTCAACTTTCTCTTGGATCTCATTGAGTAACTTTATAATGAATATTTTGACTTCTTTATCTGGTATTTCAAAGATTTAATTTTGTTTTGGATCCATTGCTGGAGAGTTAGTATGTATTGGGGAGGGGGTAGTATTGTAAATAAAACTGTTTTTTCATATTGCCAGAATTATTTTTCTGGTTTCTTCCCATCTGGATAAACTATTTTTTATTATTATTATTGAATTTACTTTTGATTTGACTGGGTTCTTTTTTTTTCCCCCGTTAAGGATGTGACTTTAATGTGTATCATTTGTAATCACCTAGCTTCAGCTCTGGGTGCTTTCAGTGGCAAAGTCTCTGTTGAGTTTCTTGGTTATAGAGAATCTGTGTGTGATGGCTTTCTCAGGTGCTGGTTTTAGTAGTAGTGTACTTAGTGTGTGGGAAGGTTCACTGTCTCCTGTGGGGCCAGAGTGGCAGAGATCTCAGGAAGCTTATCTTGTTCCCCAGTAGTGTGTACTACTCTCCTCCCCAAGTCTTTTTTTCACTAGGGTAGAATACTTCAGCCTTTAGGCCAGTAGGAGGCACCCATGGGTGAAAACCAGCTGCAGCTGAAGCAGGTGGTGGGTATATGCAGTACCCCAGTGGTGGACAAAAGTCTCAACCTTGACAGAGGCAGCTGGGGGCAGGGAGCTCCCAGTGAAATGCACTGAGGTCTTCACTGTGGGAGGGGAGGGAGCCACCTCAGCTTCACTACCAGGCCAGCAGGAAAGCAACCTCCCTGTCGTTCCCCCTCATCCCTATATTCTGGACATTTAGATCAGACAAGCACCTCTGTCCATCTGCAGGAACACTGACATTCCATATCCAGAGACAGTGGGACTCTATCTCTCATGAAAGCCTGAGCCCAGAGGGCACTCCTCCCAAGGCGATGCAGTCACCCCAAAGTGCTTGAGAAAGGTCCTCCATAGGTCTACTCTCACTGAGCTCCTGTGGGAGAAGGCCCAGCTGTATCTGCGTTGTTGAACAAGAGGGAGAGAAGCCCCTTCACAAGTACCGGGGCTCCTCCACTGCTAGAGTAGAACCTTAGTCTTTCCCCACGGAGCCCAGTACTGCACCTGTTCCTCTGCTGAAAGAAACTTCCCATAGGCAGGAAGTTGTGGTACTCAAGGTTCATACTTTGGTTTCTTTTGTCCCAAGGGGTGTTCCCTTTGTGTGGTGCACTCCCCATTCCCATGGGAATGGTGATCTATGCGGGCCAGACTACTGTGAATCCAGCTGCTTATCTGGGTTTAGCCACCTCAGGGACTGCCACAATCCAGGCCTGTGCTGGAGAATCTTGGCAAGGGATATAGTCATGGGGAAGACACAAGGGCTGAAGGTCCTCAAGCAAAACAAATGATCCACAATGGGTGCACACCCAGTATGTTGCCTGCTACTACAGCTCAGGACCAGAGGGAAAGGGAGGGGACTTTGTGTGAGCAAGGACCCAAGAAGTCCCCAGATTGCAGCCCACTCCAGCATTTGGACTCATGAGGGCAGCGAAGCTCTCCTTGAGTTTGGATACCAGCAGTCAAAGGCTAGAGAATACCCTTTCCACAGAATACTTGAGTCTCTCAGGGTTTGATACTCTTCCAGCTTCTTGTTACTTTCTCTTATGTGCATGTTGTGGATTCTTCCAGTGAATTCTCCGATGGACTCCAGCCCTCTCCCTGTAACACTCTATTTGGGATGTGACTATTTATTTATGATTTTGTTTCTTTCTTCTGAGGTGAATTGGTTACTAGCATCTATAGTCAACCATCTGGAGAAGCTCTGGAGAAGCTCTTTAGTGCTTCAGGCTATGGACAGGTCTGCGGAATGTGTAATGGTTTGGTCCCTACTCTTAGCTCCAGAGATGGGTGATGTTGGGTGGAGCTGGGCAAGGCTGACCTGTCCTCTCATCTCATAAGGGCAGGTTCAAGCACCAACTCTGATGGTGGCAGTAGGGGAGTGGCATAGACTCTGTAAGATTTCCTTGGTTATAAGTAGCCTTAGTGCAGTGGCTTTCTCAATTGTCAGATGTAGTAGTAATGTACTGGGTACATGAACAGGCCCAAGGCCTCCTGAGCAGCCTGATTGGTGTGAGTAATAGTGTTAGCTGAGGTCATGCAAAAGTTTTCTCCTTCCTGAGCACCGTGTTATGATGTTAGCAGACATTGTAGAGGGCTGTGTCAGTTGACCTCCAACTACAATTTAGGGACTTGTTGAGGCCATTATCTTGCTCATACAAGGTCCTTTCCCTTTCTGCCTGGTCCTAAGCTGTAGGAGTGGGCACCATACTGGATGCGTACCCATTGCAGAAGTTTGTTCTGCTCAAGTACCTTCAACCCTTGTGTCTTCTCATCACTAGATCCCTTGTAAACAGCCCCCAATACCAGACTGGCTTGAGACAGCTGCACAGGATAGACAAATTCAGAGGAGCAGTAGGATTCACAGTGAAGTGGCACTAGCAGGAGAGAGCCAGCTACAGTGGTGGCCTTGGGGATTTATACTTGGCTTATGTTACCCTGGGGAAACACTCATATCCCAGGCAATGGGCAGGGTCATGGAACTCCCTAAAGTCCCTGTCTGTGGTGTTAGGCTAGGGGCATAGCCTGTGGGGCCTGGATCAGGCAAGTCCTCACTCTGGCTCACCAGGTGTGGACTCAGGCTGTGACCCCAGTGGCGATCCGAGGGCAGTTCCCTGGCCACTGGGGTAATGTTCCACGGAGGAGCGGAACTGCCTCTGTTGCATAAAAGAATCCTCAGGGAGGGGAGAGGGGTAACAGGCAGCAGTGAGACCCACCCAGCTCTCACTTTCTTAACACATTGGGTCTCACACTCACAGACTTCTGGCAACAGCTGGGTCCCAGGCAGTCTGCCCTCAGCATGCAAAACTGCCCCTGGTTGTAAGTCCTTCTGCCCAAGACAAAGACCAAGGCTTCCAGGCCACACCCCTCCCAGTTTGCCTGCAAAGCAGGGGCTCCCAGCACCTGCCTCTGTGGCAAAAGCCTGCTTCCTGCTCACCTCTCATTTCTGATCAATGGGGTTTATACCCACAGTAGATTAGATTGCTTATTTTAGTTGGCAGCTTCTTCCAACCTGTGACCACTGTCTGAGTTAGCTGGCAGAATTCTGTGAGGTCCCTTATGAAGTAGGATCAGCAATGGCTTCCCTCCATCCCTGCTAGGGTGTGGGAGTGCACGCAAAACAATTTTTTTTTCTTTTATATGTGAAGTCTTGCTCTGTTGCCCAAGCTGGATTGCAGTGGTGCGATCTTGGCTCACTGCAACCTCCACCTCCCGGGTCCAAGCGATTCTCCTGTCTCAGCCTCCTGAGTAGCTGAGATTACAGGCATGCACCGCCACACCCAGCTAATTTTTGTATTTTTAGTAGAGACAGGGTTTCGCCATGTTGACCAGGCTGGTCTTGAACTCTTGACCTCAGGTGACCCACCCGTTTCAGCCTCCCAAAGTTCTGGGATTACAGGCATGAGCCATCACTTCTCATATGCTCCTTGTGGCTCACCAAATCAGCACCAGTGCTTGGTAGGGTTGAGACATTCCCCTGTGGCCTGGATTGCCCAGTTCCCCAGTGTCAATGTGTAATCATGGAGGCAGTCTCCCCGCTTTCACACCCTGGAGACATATTTTCACCTGACTCACCATGTAGGTTGCCACCCACAGCTTTCAAAGTGTCTGAAGTTTCTTTCATTTTTTCTGTTGAGTTACTGTGTTTCTTCTTGGATAAAAGTTTACAGCATAAATCTCTGCACGTTATTTTGCTCTTTGCAAGTGGGTGAGGCATGCTAACAATGCCTCCAATCTGGAGCCTGGGTAGTTTATAAAGAAAAGAGGTTTATTTGGCTCACAGTTTTGCAGGCTGTATATACAAGAAGCTCAGGACAGAAGACTAAGTGGAACTGGAGTATAGAAATCACATGACAAGAGAGGGAATAATAGGTGCCAGGTTCTTTTCAACAACCAGTTCTCACGGGAACTCAGACTAAGAACTCACTCAATCCCATGGGAATGACACCAAGCCATTCATGAGGATCCTGACACCTCCCACCTTGCCACACCTCCAACATTGGGGATCAGATTTCAACATGAGACTTGGCAGGATCAAACAAACCACATTCAAATCATAGCATATGTCATCTGCAAAGAAACAGTTTCATTTCTACCTTTCTCAGCTATATTCTTTTTATTTCCTTTTCTTGCCCTATTTTACCACATAGAACTTCCAGTACTATGTTAGTCATGGTGAGAGCAGACATTTTTGTTTTGAGAGGGAGCATTCAGTTTTTCTTTCACCATCAAGTAGAGTTAGCTGTAGAAGTTTTGTAAATCAAATTGCAGAATTTATACAAATGGCCAACAAGCATGTGAAAAAATGCTCAACATCACTAATCATCAGAGAAATGCAAATTAAAACCACAGTGATATATTGTTACACCAGTCAGAATAGCTGTTATTAAAAAGTCAAAAACTAACATATTGGAAGGGTTTGGAGAAAAGGGAACACTGATACATTGTTGGTGGGAATGTAAATTAACACAACCTCTATGGAAAACAGTATGGAGGTTTCTCGAATAACTTAAAATAGCACTACCTTTCAATCCAGTAATCCCACTACTGGATATCTACCCAAAAGAAAGGAAATTATTATATCAAAAAGATAACCTGTACTCATATGTTTATCGCAGCATAATTCACAATTGCAAAGATATGAATCAACCTACGTATTCATCAACAGATGATTGGATAAAGAAAATGTGTATATGTACACAAAAAAATACTGTTCAGCCATAAAATGAATGAAATCACATCTTTTATAGCAACATGGATGACACTGGAGGCTATTATCTTTAGTAAAACTAAACTAACTCAGAAAGAGAAAGTCAAATACTATATATTCTCACTTAAAAGTGGGAGCTAAATAATGTGTACACATGGACATAGAGTGTGGAATGATAGACATTGGAGCCTGGAGAGGGTGGAAGGGTGGGAAGAGTTTGAAGGATAAGAAATTACTTAATAGATACAATGAACATTATTCAGGCAATGGTTACACTAAAAGCCCAGGCCTGATGTGGTGGCTAATGCCTGTAATCCCAGCACTTTGGGAGGCCGAGACAGGCGGATCACCTGAGGTTGGGAGTTCAAGACCAGCCTGATCAACATGAAGAAACCCTGTCTCTACTAAAAATACAAAATCAGCCGGGTGTGGTGGTGCATGCCTGTACTCCCAGCTACTCAGGAGGCTGAGGCAGGAGAATCACTTGAACCCGGGAGGCGGAGGTTGTGGTGAGCCGAGATCGCGCCATTGCACTCCAGCTTGGGCAACAAGAGCGAAACTCTGTCTCAAAAAACAAAACAAAACAAAACAACAACAGCAAAAAAAACCCAGACTTCATCACTATGCACTATTTCCATGTAACAAAACTGCACTTGTGCCCCTTAAATTTTTATAGATTAAAAGAAAGACACATCATTAAAGAAATTGTGGAATTTCCCTCTATTCCTAGTTTTCTGAGAGTTTTGTCATAAATAGATGTTGAATTTTGTTTGATGCATTTTCTGCATCAATTGATATGACCATGTTATTTTGTTTTGCTTTAGCCAGTTAACATGGTAATTATATTAATTGGGTTTTTATTATTGAACCGGCCTTGTTTCCCTGGAGTAAACCCTACTTAGTCATGGTGATAATTCAGCTTACATATTGCTGAATATTGTTTGCAAATGTGTTTTTAAGGATTTTGAATGTCAATGCTCATTTAGTTCCTCTGTATCCTTGCTGGTTTTCTGTCTAGTTGTTCTACCAATTGTTGAGAGAAAAGGAGAAAAGTGTGCAAGTATCCAACTATAACTGTGGTTTTGTCTATTCTTTCAGTTCTGTCAGTTTTATTTCACACATTTTGCAACTCTGGCGCATACACATTTAGGATTGCTATGTCTTCTTCGTGGATTGATCTTTTTCATTATGTATTATAATATCCTTCTCTGTCTCTGATAATTTTCTTTGCTCTAAAGTCTCCTTTATCTATTATTAATATAGTCACTCCTGCATTATTTTGATTGTGTGATATATCTTTTTCCATCCTTTAACTTTAAGCATGTCTATATTGTTATATTTGAGGGGACTTTTTTATAGACAATACATAGGTGAGCCATATTTTAACTCTGCAAATCTCTTTCTTTCAATTGGTGTATTTCATGCTTTTAAATTTAATTAATTTCTCATATGTTTGGGCTTCAGTCTGCCATTTTCTTTTTTATTTGTCTTTTTTAATGTTATTTTTAACTGTTTTCCACCTTTTCTTAACTTAGCTGATGCCATTTTATTGATTTTTTTGTTTGTTTATTCTATTTTTCATCTTTCTGTTTTATTTTTCCTACCTTCCTGTGGGTACTTAAAGATTTTTTTAAAATCTCTTTTTGATTTATCAATAGTGGTTTTGATTGTATCATTTTGTATAACTTTTTAGTGATTGCTGTAGGTAACACTTCAGTGTAGTGATGTCATCATTTTATTAGTTCAAATGAAGTATAGAAAACTTACTTTCATTTATGTCTTATTACCATTCTGAATTTATAATAGTTATCTTAAATATTTCCTCCATACACATTTAGAATCATATCAGACAGTGTTATAATTTTTGCTTCAACTGTCAAAATTCAAGAGGAGAAGAAACATGTATTGTATTTACCCATATTTATGCTTACCATGTTTTTTGTTTCTTTTTGGTGTTCTGATATATGTTTTTTCCTCTTTTTAAAAAATTACCTTTCTGTTTAGAGAATGGAGTTTATCCATTCTTTCAGGGTAGGTCTGCTGGTGATAGAATCTCTTATTTTCCTTCATCTGAGATTGTCTTGGTTTCTTCCTGATTGCTAAGTGATGTATTTACTGGTATAACTTTCTGAGTGGGTAGTTTTTTTCTTTCAATCACTGGAAACTCTTGTGCCACATCCTAGCCTTCATGGTTTCTAATAAACAATCCGTTGTCATTCTAATTATTTTTCCCCTATAGGTAATGTGTTATCTCTGGCTACTGTCAAGATTTTTTTCTTTGTCTTTAATTTTCAGAAGTTACGATGTGTCTTAGCATGGACATTTTAAAATTTATTCTGTTTGTGTTTCACTCAGCTTCTTGAATCTGTAGGTTTATGGCTCTTGCTAAGTGGGAATTTTCTGCTTTGCCCTCTGTCTCTCTCCTTTAGGAACTCAGGTGACATGAATGTTAGATACTTTGTTATGATCCCACAAATCCCTGAGGCGCTGATCATTTTTTTCCATTCTATTTTCTTTGTTTTGATCAAATTGGATAATTTCTGTTGTTCTGTCTTCCAGTTTGTTTATTCTTTCCTCTGTCCTCATCATTCTGCTGTTGAGCCTATCTACTGAACTTTTTATTTACACTATTATATTTCTCAATTTTAAAAACTTTGCTGATACTTTCTGTTTCTTACTTAAGGATTTCTGGTTTTTTGATTTGTTTCAAGCATGTTCGTAATTGCTTATTGAAGCACTTTTATCATGGCTGCTTTAAAATCTTTGTCAGATAATTCTAACAACTCTTTCTTCTCAACGTTAGCATCCATTGATTGTATTTTTTTCATTTGGTTTGAGATCTTTCAGTTTCCAGGTATGAGGAGTGTTTTTTGATTGACGTATAGGTATTTTGGGCATAATAGTATAAGACCCTAGATCTTATTTTAACTTTCTGTTTTAGCTGTATTTTCTTATACCACTCTGGTAGAAGAAGGGGTGAGGGCACATCACCTCATTACTGCCAGGTAGGAATATAAGGCCATTATTTTTGTTGACATCCAGGTCCCCAGTAGGCCTCCACTAATACCTCCTTGCTGGGAAATATAGGAGTGCTTCATTACTGGTTCTCATTTGGCCTCCATTTATAGGGCAGGAGAAAAGGTGTGACCTCTTGATTGGTGATGAAATGGTTTCTTATCACCTATTGGAAATGAAAGTGTTGACTTCTTCCTTGTAGTTTTCTGACACCACCATGACTAAGAGAGTTGGGAGTTGAGCATTGTGCCTCATGATAGACTCAGGAATGTAGAAGTCTCGGTTTCTACTCAGCCTTTGCTGGAATGGATGGGGGTAGGGTAAAGTTTTTTCTGAGTGGTTATTGTCTAAAAGTTTTATTTTTGCTAGGCTGCTCTTCTCCTGTCCTTTGGCTAGAGAGACAGGCTTTTGTTGGGGATTTTTTGTATGCATGTGCTGGCATTTCTCAGTGGTTGGCTCCTTTGACTTTAAGACTGGTATAAATAAGGCAAAAAGGAAACCCAGGGCAGTTACCATAGTGTCGTTCATAGAGTCCTGAAGTTCATAGCTAGACTGCCTTCTACCCATGTTTCTAAGTCTTTTTGTGTTTGTTTTATATGTAATGTCCAAGCTTCTTGGTTGTACTTAGTGAGAAGACTAGGGAAAATTATGTCTACTCCATCTTCCCATCCATGTATCTTTAAAATAAGTGTCTGACCTATTTATTGTCCTGCAATAAAAGTGATGATTTCTTAAAAACAGGTTATGAAACAACTTATAGGATGTAGATGATGATGACATGAATAGCTTAGAACAGTAGCTCTCAAACTTAAAGTGCATTCAAACACCTGGAAGGCTTTTTAACACTGATTATGGAGCCCTACTCCCAAGAAGAAATGGGAACTAGCATTTCTAACAAGTTCCCAGGTAATACTGAAGGTGCTGCTCTGGGGACCATAGTTTGATAATCTGTTTCAGAGAAATGCTGAATAGATGACAGATCATTAGCTTTAAATGATATTAATGGCAAATACACTTGCTTTGAGTAAAACAAATAAAAATTTGTAATAATTAAACTGAGTATTAGATATAAAATATTTAAAGGTAGATACTTAAAAGATGATATCATATTTTTAATGAAATGGGTCTTCCCATTTTCCAGCACTATAGTATATGGCATTTGAGAGGCCAAAAGAGTAGGACACTAAGGGAAATAGTATTCATTTTATTATAAAGGGAAGAATATAGCAAAAAATAAGAGATAAGGTGATCAGTTGTTCTGTGAGCATAAAATAATGCCTATTTTTTGGATGTTAGGCAAGAGTGTTTGAAGGATACTTTAAGCCACACTCTGATAGTTGTATGATATGCAAGATCTTTCTTAAGACTCAGATTTGATGTCAGAAAAGCTCCATTACATTGATCTGAACTAATGATTTCCTGCTAATTACTGCACTTATCATCATAATATACCTTCCTCTAAAGTTCGTCTTTTTTTCTTGAGTTAGTGAATAAAAATGATTCTGGAATTAAAACTACTCCCATCAATAGTATGACCATTAGTTTAGATCAAGGTGAACCTAGAAATATTTTTCCCAGGTGATCACTAACTATAAAAAAGAAAAATTAAAATAGTGAAATGTCAGAATGAGGTCTCTTAGACATTATTCTTCTTACAGAAGTTGTTATAAATGTTAATAAAGAAATTTGCTCGTGAATATTCATCAGATAATGGTTCTGATTTTGTAGCCACATACATTAGAGTAATAAAGCATTTCCTTTTCTCTTTTAGCTCGGTTGGTTTAGCAAAAGCAGCTCTAGAAGCAATTAATGGATTCAACCTTTTTGGCAACCAGGTAAAAAATAAGACCCCCAGAATCTTTGATTATTTGAATTGCACATTTAATTAATTTGGCTATTCATTAACAAAGTCATTTCCTTATAATCAGAGAATGTCCAAAATTTATGTAGAAGCTCATGCTTGAACTTTTCCTTTGAAAATGATTTGCCAGTTAAATTTTAGTTTTCTAACTAAAGACCATTGCTTAATTTCTTTAAAAAAAAAAAAAAAAAGAAAATTTTTTTTGATAAAGAATTCTGATTTCCTTGGTTCAGTGACTTTTCCCTCAAATCTATTACTCATTTTGTAGAAGGTTTCACATTTTTTAATGTATTTGGCATTGTATATATATATTTTTATGTCAGTTTTCATGTTGGTTTCAATGTAATGTATTTCAATGTATATCTCATGTAGAAGAGAATTTGTGTGATGTGTTTAGCCAGATAATTGGGAGTTTTGATCCTAGCTTCACCTTCAACTGGCTATAATCAAATGTCTAAAATCTCATTTTCTCTGGGGATGAAAAAAAAACCCTGAAGGTCGTCTTAAATTTTCATTAGATCTTTAACCAGTTTTTATACTGAAAGAATCTAATCAAGTGACCATGGATTGAGTTGTCAGTGGAAAGGAATAAAATGTAGGAATAGAGGTTACTACTCTGGATCAAGAAGTAGGCCAATTTTCTTTAGCAGTTTTTATAAAGATTCCTAAGATGGTGAAGTAAAGTGAAGTTTCTAACTGAGAATAAAATTAATCCTAAGCTACTGAAATGCTAAGTCAGTAAAGAAACATTTTAGGAGGTTACACAGTTGTGCAAAAAAAACGACATGGTTTTTGTTATGGCAATTATAATACTATCTACTCAAGTCTTGAATTTAAGAATGTTTTTAATTGTAGTATATTAATGCAGCCACCTCTCTTCTCCTTCTTACGTACACAAGCACTCTTCTCATCCCAACTCCCTCTAGAGGATGGATGGGCTCTGTCTATATGAAGGTCATGAGGAATTACCACACACTCTGGATCACCCATTTTCATATTCCTGGATGGATGGATGGATGGATGAATAGATAGACAGACAGGAGTAGGAGGATAAAATGACTTTAAAGAATGGCATTATATTAGGGGTCAGGAGACAGGATCACTGCATGCTCTGTACTCAATTCCACCAGTGAGTATGGCTATTTAACTAAGCCTCAGCTTCCTCGTCTAAAAAAATAAAGATAATGATAATAGGACCTAACTCAGGAGGTTTTCATGCAAATAAAAGTTAGTTAGCATAGTGCTTTGCAGAGATTAAACTTTTAATAAATGCCATCTCTTGTTGCTATTGTTTTTTTTATTTTTGTTTTTTGAGACAAAGTCTCGCTCTTGTCTCCCAGGCTGGAGTGCGATGGCGCGATCTCGGCTCACTGCGACCTCCGCCTCCCGGGTTCAAGCAGTTCTTCTGCCTCGGACCCCCGAGTAGCTGGGATTACAGGCGGCTGCCACCACGCCCGGCTAATTTTTGTATTTTTAGTTGAGACGGGGTTTCACCATGTTGGCCAGGCTGGTCTCGAACTCCTGACCTCAGGTGATCCACCCATCTCGGCCTCCCAAAGTGCTGGGATCACAGGCATGAGCCACTATGCGCGGCCGACTCTTGTTGCTATTATTTATGAAGTAATAGTAATACAAAGGAAGGGAAATGAGAAAGAACTGAAAGCTTTCTAGAGCATATATCAAGGAGACTGAGAGGAGGCATGGATTAAACCAGAGCTGATGTTAACAGCAGTCTGGAAAGGTACAGGTCTTGCTAACCTGGCTTCTGTGACATACCAAATACTGAGCTGAATGGAGCTGAGTGTCTCTTGGTTGGCTGTTACATGGTAGTAGCCAGCTCTTTTTTGCAATAGTGTCATCTCCTTTGAAGTACCTGAGTCTTAGTGTATGTTGCTTACATACCTGTATGCACCCCTTCCTATTGTGTGTATACTCACACACATACATACAAGCTACATTTCCTAACTCTACCCATCTTTCAGTGCTCTACTTTTCCCAGGAAGCTTTCATAAATTGCTCAGCTATAATTCTAAAATCGCTAAATTACTTTACTCTGCATTTGGATTCTGAGTTATAACTGTATTGCTGATATTGTTCCTCAGCCAGTTTCTCAATCTTGACTATGCATTGGAATCATTTGAGGAATTAAAAAAAATACTCATATATGAGCTCTACTTCCAGGGATTCTGATTTAATTGGTGTAGGGGGAGGCCTTGGCATTGAGATTTTTTGGAACTTCTCAGGAATTCTAATATACAATCAAGGGCGAGAACAACTGCTCTAAGCCGAGTTAATTTTTGGCCTTGTTCAGGTCACGTCTATTTCCAGTGGAGCTATGCACCAAATATTTGCTGAATTGACTACTACTTGATTGTTTCAGATAGAAATATGGACAGATAATGTCTTCTTTCTTTCTTTCTTTCTTTTTTGAGACAGCTTCTTGCTCTTGTCACCCAGGCTGGAGTGCAGTGGCACGATCTCGGCTCACTGCAATCTCCACCTCCTGGGTTCAAGCGATTCTCCTGCCTCAGCCTCCCGAGTAGCTGGGAGTACAGGCATGTGCCACCACACCCGACTAATTTTTGGATTTTTAATAGAGGTGGGGTTTCACCACGTTGGCCAGGCTGGTCTTGAACTCCTTACCTCAGGTGATCCACCCGCCTTGGCCTCCCAAAGTGCTGGGATTACAGCCATGAGCCACCACGCCGGGCCATGTCTTATTTCTTTAGCCACAAGAATATCACATGTTGCCAGTAAAGTCCCTTCATCTTCCATTTTTACAAGGTAGTGTCAGTGTCCTTGTTTTACAAATTCCCTTTCGTCTCTTTTTTCTGATGTGGAGAATTGCAGAAATATGACTTTGAAAATGTTACTATTACCACCTCTACAGCAGTTAAATTAATAATGTGCCTGCTAAACAGTGGCACATTTAAAAGTGCATGTGATCTTTTTAGTGTTTAATCATTTTATAATGTCATTGTATATACTTAAAAGAGCTGTGATCTAATTAAAAGTCAGTTGCTGGGAAAAGAATTGACATAAAGAAATGCTTTTATTCAAATGAAAATCCATAGAAACCACCTCAAGACTTGAGGGATTTCAGATCATATTGATATTCACTGTTATTTCTAAAGGCCATTGGTATAAGGTTTTGGAAGACCTGATCGTGTGTCTTTAACTAAATTAATTAGAACTTTCAAAAAGTACATTCCTTCTTGGTGGCAACTCAAGAGAGATGGTAGAGCCCCTCTCTCAAAATGAATGATCGGAAGATTGAGGTAGTGTTTCTCAGATCACACCACACAGGGGCAAAACCAGGAGTAAAACCAATGCCACTCCATAATGAATCTATTAATAGAAGATCAATTTGTTGGTATGGGAAATTTCAGCTGTTGGACACTTTCTACTTTTAGAATTGGGAGCTGTGCATTTTCTTTGAAAACTCTTAAGCTGTTTTTTGCTTAATAATTATTGAGCTTCTGAAAGAGGTATCCATTTCACAAATAGTGTGAAAGGCTTGCCTTTTGCCCCTGGCTTCAGCATATGAGATAAAACAAATGTTAATTTTATTTTTACGGGCAGTTGTTGGGTGGTAAAGTTTTTTGCTTTGGTTATGATTATTATGCGTTCCTATACTTCCTCCTTTTTTTCCAATAATAACTTATTATTCAAGGAAAAAAAAAACACTTTAAATCTTTTTCTGAAACTATTTTCCAAATTTATTTTTCTTTGGGACACTGAGAATAAGATGTGATAAAAAGGCCTAGTTTCCATAATGATTTGTTTACAATAAAAGCCAATTTGGGGCAGAGCTACATTTAGAAACATATATAATCCTCAATATGGGAATCACATATTTCATCATGATCTCAAATATATTCTGTATAAATTTCATGACAAATATATTTAAATATTATTTAAATAATGTTTGATAATATTTAAACAGTAATATTTTAGTCTATCAGAATTTATTTTCATCAAATGTCATAGTCATAGTAAGCAACAGTTTTGTGATTCCTGGGTTTGAGTCTCAGCTCTGCTCTTTTGAGACCCTGAAAATTCATGTTCAAATTTATCTTTCTCTGTAGTTTGAGAATTCCTTTCACAGTATGTGCATGAGGACGAAGAAGCTTGGGTTGTGAGAGGGGCTGCTGGAAAGAGCTGTTGGGTCAGTAAGCAAAAGTTGGCTATTTACACATCTATTGCCACCACAGCCTTGGTGCAGAAGGGAAATTCCTATCAGTAAATACCCTTTCCGGAAGAATACATTTCTCCAGGCTCTGCTACAGAGCTCAGTGACAGCCTCATAACTGAACTAGGGGAGAAAATCTCCTGACCATAGTTTTGCGGTGTGGTTTTGTTCCAGAATAAGAATGTGAAGATCATGTACGATAGGTAGATCCAATGACCAGTTGTACCTTGTTTTATTTTTTGAGTCTAGATGAGGGCAGCAAGTCCCTTAGCTCAGGCTCTGAGAAGTGATTAATGAAGAAAAGAAAGATCAGTCTTCAAATTGTTTTCTTTTTAATTGAGACCAGTGAGATCAGCAAAGTCTTATGTTTACAGTTGGTACCCTTGGCCTTAGGGACTGTCTCAAAAGTGGTTGTTCTGGTCATGGGATTAAGGGAAGTGCAGTGCAGCCCTTCCCCACCACTGGAACTCAAGTCCCCATGACAGTGGTCAGGTTTCAGAATCATCTTCCAGTCCCAGTGCATTTACTAGACTAAAACAATTATAGAAACTTGGCTAGGGAGTAAAGTTTGAGCTGTCAGTCTTAAAATAAGCTCTTTAGGTGGAGTCAGGATATTATGGCAGAATTATAATGTTTTCAGGAAATGGAAGATGAAAATAAAATATCCAAAGTTAATCTGATACTCTGAAGTGACATATACATATAAAACATCCTTTCATATTCCTATCCTTAATTGGGGAAATCAAGATACTGACAAATGAGCCGAGACCAGAATCTAAAAGGTAATGACTAGAGAGATTGCTCATGTTATGCAAAGTGTTCAAAGCAGTGCAGACATCTAGCTTCCTTTGAAATTTGCAGGCCTTAAATTAATGTGTCTGATTATTTAAAGTAGGTGATAATTAATTCCATTTGTGGGTTCTCCTTGATGACTCTTAAAAAGACTTGCTTCTGGATTGGGAATAGCTGCCCATGACCTGGGGAGATTTTACCCTCCTGGAAATCTGGACCGTAATGCCTAAAGCATGGGATATTTTTGTAAGAAGACAGCCAAACAATATAGTTAATCACCCTTTGGTCTTGGTGTTAAAATATGGTAACATTATAAGATTATTTTTCCCTTTGGGCATATTTCTTAGGTTGGCAGAGAAAAATTGAGAGCTGAATAAATACTTTGATGAATTTAGACAAATAAGCCATTTATTTACGGCCAGAAAATAGAAGTTGGCTGTTTACATTAATCAAGTAACATAGAGAATTGCCAAATTTGCCATTTCACTTCATTATTTATAAATTATCCTACTTAGATTGTATCTTTTGAAAATTTAATTCCAGGCAGATAGTTTGGTATGCAATTAACTTTATTAATTCTTGGCCTAAAGATAAATTATAGCTCCTATTTTTTGTGTATTCATAGGCTCCTAACATATTATATCCATTTATTTCTCTGCTGTTTTGTTCTAACTACCCTACTTGCTCCCATTTCACCAAAATTCAGAGCCTAGCTATGGTCCTCACCTTCTCTATGAAGTGCCCCAACTTCCCTGGGGACTTGTTTTATAATTTTCTTCTCCCCCTTAAACCACTAACTTTGGTGAAACTAAGTCATGTGTTGTGGTATGCTGCCTTTTTGTTTTCTTAATAATCTTGTTCAGGACTGTTGCCTGGGTCAGCTTCTTGAGAGCACAGGTCAAATTTGATCTTGTCTGTTTTCCTGAAAGCAGAGTGCACAGTACCTTGCCAGCGGCAGCTGCTGCTGAACCAGTAGAGATGGGAGGTTGGAACTCCGGAGTGACAGAAAGGACAGTTTACCATTCATCTGGTGGTTGAGAGACAGCCTCACCGAATCACTGTTCATTTATTAATTTACTTGTCAGATTTTAAAAAGATTTTAAAATGATATTCTGAATGAGAAATCATTCTATTTTATGAGCTAATTTTCATGTACAAACATGGGCTACTAGGAAAAAAATACCTCTAGTGAATCTGACATCTGGATATGGGGTCTGGTGCTGCTAGATTTTGAAGTTCAGTGTAGGTGATTGGTTGGAGATATTTTTGTTTCAGTTTGAATGCATCTGTGAAGTTGTTGAGAATTAGGATGAGATTCAGAAAATAGTATTAAAGTAACATGAAATTTATAATTCTCTTCTCCCTTTCCCCATGTATTTTTCTGAGTATTCTCCTTATTCCCATCCAGTTCTATGTGATTTCAAATATTTAGCTCCCCAGTAAAGCTGTTGAATATGGAATGCACTAGTTTTAACCTGGTTAGCAGATAGATTAAGATTTTCTGTTACACCTATTTGTTTCATTCAAGCTTTTTTTTTTCTTACTTGAAATATATATATGTGTGTGTGCATATATACGTATATGGGGGAATTGTATAAAAAATATATATATGGGGGAATTGTATAATCTAGTGTTTAAAGAATGGGCCTCTGTGTCAGAGACTT
The DNA here is from genome assembly GCF_000001405.40 of Homo sapiens. Classification (NCBI taxonomy): domain Eukaryota; kingdom Metazoa; phylum Chordata; class Mammalia; order Primates; family Hominidae; genus Homo; species Homo sapiens. The sequence continues at coordinate 47,587,033 of NC_000016.10, forward strand.
GATTTTGAAACTTTACTCTGTTAAAGTAAGTCTTAATGTCCTTTTCAGTAAAATGGGGAAAACAATATCTACATACGGATGTTAAATGAGACAATCCATGTGACACATAAAGCATAGTGCCTGATGTGGTGAATATTTGTTCAGATTAGTTGCTTTATTGTTATTTGAGATTCTCCTGTCTTCATATTTTAATCCAGTATTCTTTTACATTCATCTAGATTGTATCTAAATTTGTTTAGTTTGATCATATAGTCAATATTTATGAGGAATGTACAACTCGGATTTTATGAATCTGCATTCTCATTCTTTGTCATGTTAGCTAAACTAATTGTATTTTCATTAAAATAAATGTCACTAATATATTGGCTATCTTGTAATCAGTACATTTTGATTTATAAGAAAGTCAAGGAAAACTAGGGAAAACAAAAATAACATTTTTATGATTATAAAATTAATGTTTATTGCAGGATATTTGAGAAATATTGAAAGTACAAACAAAATTTAAATCTTCTGGAACTCCACACTCAAGATGCAGACAATGTCAGTATTTTTGTGAAGTTTTCACAGTCAAAATGCCAAAGTTCTACAAGTCTTTTTTCTTAATTTAGGAAATGTTTTTCTTTTTCTCTGTCCAGGGCTGTTCGTGGTCAGTTATATTTGTGGATCTCGATGCTCACAATCGCAACAGGCAAACTTTGTGCTCGCTGTTACCCAGAGAATCAAGATCACATGTGAGACATTTAATAATGATAAATTTAACATGAACTATTGTTTATGATTTCTATGTAGTTATATCTTAATTTCCAGTAAAGTACTCTAAAATGTTAGTGATCGTCCAGAAGGGATAAGAGGACATGATAGATATTGCCCCTTACTCCTCTGGCCTGGGGAGGTCTTAGCAAGTGGACAAGAGTTGTGGACACGGCTGCTTTGGCCTTTGAATCTTTTGCAGGAGAATAGAAAAACAGACTTTTCTTTTGGGGGAGTAGCAACATTAGGCCAAGGTGAATTATTTTTTTGCCATGGTATATTAGAAAAATATTTTTCATAGTGTATATATCTTTTGGATAAAATAACCTTCCATTCCTTATTTCTGTTCTCTCATTCAATTCACTTTTTCCCCTTGCCTGATCAACTTCTGTATGCTTATCCTACCTGATTGCAGAATTTTCTAGGGACTATTTGTGGTTCTGTTATTTAGAAAACACCCAAAGTGGAATAATTTAGTTATTCAAAACAACTCTTTTATGTAAGTAATGTAAGATTATCATTAAAAAAAAAAAAGCTCCCCAAATAAGCAAATAATATAATACCCACTCATGCCACTACTCTAATACAATCTTGACAACATTTGGGTATATATGTTTTCACTTATTTTTAGACATATATAATATTTTTATTTTACAAAGCTATAAGAGTACTTTTTATATTGATTGATAACCTAGCTCTGTGAATGGATATTGGATATTGTCCCATACCAGTAAACAGATTTCTACAATATAAATTTTAATAGTTGCTAATTTACTCAACTAATTGTTGGACATTTAGGTTGTTTCCTCTTTTTCATTATTATAAGCAAATTGTTGTGAAAAACTAAGTTGTGACAACTGTTAAATTTTTGCGCACCATTTTAATTAATATTTTGACATTTGAGCCCGTTGAATCTTGAAAATACTATCAACAAATAAAGTTTTATCTCCTCTGTAAGGTTTCCTGGAACATGCCATAGAAACATCTGTCTGATCCTGGGAGCAGAGCGTGCTCACTTTTGACTGCATAACCTCACTGGCTTTTCATCTCTATCATTCTCCTTGGGCTGTGTTGATCACATCGCTGTGGACACTCACAGTCTCTCTTTCTCATTGCCTCCAGAATACAGATGCTGCCCTGCTCCCCTGCATCAGTTATCCTGCATTTGCCCTGGATGATGAAGTTCTTTTTAGCCAGACACTTGATAAAGTGGTTAGAAAATTAAAAGGAAAATATGGATTTAAACGTTTCTTGAGAGATGGGTATAGAACATCATTGGAAGATCCCAACAGATGCTACTACAAGCCAGCTGAAATTAAGGTATTAAAAAATATTCCATGGTAATCGCATATCAGAGCAATCAAAAGCACAGATTCAGGAGACTGACCATTGGGTTTGAATTCTGGCTCTGCTACTTACTAGCTATGTGGCCCTGGGCCAGTTAATTAATCTCTGTCTGTGTTTAATTTTTTCATTTGTAAAATAATAATAGTACCTATATCATGAGGTTCTTATGACGATTAAATAACTTACATAAAAGTGCTTAGAATAGTGCTTGGCACATAGTGAATGCTCAGTAAGTGTTAGCTCTTATTACCAGTGAGGTATTTACTGATAATGGGCCATGTTCATTTATTGGGTGAATAATTTTTCTATTGCATTTTCAGTCCTATGTTTGCCTGATCCATACTATTTGTCTTATATAATATTAAATACCTGTTTGTAATATTCCTTTCATTCTATTAAGCAAATTCTTTTATTAAAACTGATAGGCCATTCCATCTTCCCTTATCTGTTTCATTTAGACACTTTCTTTTAAAATATAGTCCTCTAAATGTTTAGTTTTAAAATATTTTGTATTTCAAAACACATATACCACTATATGTAGTTTTATACTAGCTGCTTTTAAGCCATCTAGAAAATAGCACCCCAAAAAAGTAAGAAGTCATGCACATTGCTGAAGACTTTGCTTTAATGTAGTGTATTGAAAGGTATTTTGGTTTTTTGTTTCTTTCCTTTTGAGATGGAGTCTTGCTCTGTTGCCCAGGCTGGAGAGCAGTGGCATGATCTCAGCTCACTGTAACCTCCACCTCCTGGGTTCAAGCAATTCTCCTGCCTCAGCTTCCTGAGTAGCTGGGATTACAGGCACATGCCACAATGCCCAGCCCAGCTAATTTTTTTGTGTTTTTAGTAGAGATGGGGTTTCACCATGTTGGCCAGGCTGGTCTTCAACTCCTGACCAAGTGATCTGCCCTCCTAGGCCTCCTAAAGTGCTGGGATTACAAGCGTGAGCCACTGTGCCTGGCTGAAAGGTATTTTGTATGCATGGGCATAATTGGCTCACTCACTGAAGGTAGGTAAGGTCCCTAGGAATCTGTATGTAGAAAATATGTAGGCAACATTATACCTTTTAAGTTGTTTGGCAATTAACATACTATTTTAAAATTTAACATACACTTTTGCAGAAAAACTAGACAAGCTATTTATCATTTTATTTAACTTTTTTTTTTTTTTTTTAATAGAGACCAGATCTCCCTATGTTGCCCAGGCTGGACTGGAACTCCAGGGCTCAAGTGATTCTCCTGCCTCAGCCTCCCAAGTAGCTCGGACTACAGGCATACACCACCACATCCAGCTTTATTTAATTTCACGGTTGACTATCACTTGGAAACCATTTTATTGTGTGCACTTTTGAAATTTTAGCAGTGTTGGCAGTGTTACAGTCTGTTAGGTTGGGCCAAAAGATCCATTTATCTCTTAAACACCTTCAAATGTTTCTTTCCTATTTAATACATTTTCTGTGCCAATATTTACAGCACTTACATTTGAATTGGACCACCTGCAACTAACTACCACCTCGCACACTTCCAACTTTGGATCTGTCCAGCAAGCTTTCTTGCTTTGGATCTGTCCAGCAAGCTTTCTTCACCTTCTGCTGAGCACCACTAAGGAAAGCCACAGCACTGTGGGTAGGAGCTGCCCCACAGTCAGGAGATCTTTCTTGGTTCAGCCTCATCATTGCTGTCGGTTCTTGTCAGTCCTGCTATCTGACTCTGCCAGGAACTCCCCATGAAAGCTTTTCCAGCTTTTTCCTGTTTGTACTCAAGTTCGCAGACTTTCCTTTTTATTTTCTACTTGATAGCCTTTCATTTCTGCATGGTCTCCTCCACTGTGTCTTTCCTTCATCCATACTTACCTCCATCTCTCTTGCCTCACAGAAGGAGCTCTCTGTTCTAAGGCTAACCCATCCTGTGTATACCCCATCCTATTCTCTTTTCCTTTCTTGACACCCTCACTTGTTTTCTTCTGTGATAGAAGGATATCTATTTCTCTTTCTTTTTTCTCCTCATCTCCATTTCTACTTCTCTGTCTTGTTTCCCCAACTTAAATTAGCTTTTTTCGTCATTAAGCACATTGATGTTTATCATTAAGAAACCAAACGAAACCCTTCCTCAGCCCTTTCCCTGTCCACCTCCATCCTCTTTCTCTTGGTGCCACACATCTGAAAAGCATGGCCTCTACTTGGTGTCTCCTTGTTTACATCCCGCTTACTCTTTCCCCTTACAAACTGGCTTACTTCTGAGCACTCCCCAGTAGCTGTGCTGGCTTCAATCCATTTACATTACTGAGTCGGAGTGGATGCTTTTCTGATCTCGTTTCACAGAACTTGGCATTTGAGTGTCTTTGCTGAGTCTTGTTTGTTGGAACATTCTCCATTGGCTGTGACCCCTTTCTTTATTCTCCACTTCTCTCACTTACTTCTTAGTCTCCTTTGCAGGTTCCTCCTCTTCTGCCCCCTCTTAAACCTTGCTCTTCTCCTAGGGCCCATCCACAGCCCTAGCTCTCTTCATTCTGGCTGTGAACTCTTAGCTTCAGCTATAGCTATTAACCACAGATCTCCATCCCTAACTCATACCTCTCCTCAAGTGCCCACCCCCTGTATGCAGCTGCCTTGTGAACATCCTCGCTTAGATGTCTTACAGTTTGCCTGTATTCAGCTTCCACTCCTGTGCCCGAGCCCTATACCTGAGAGTCATTCTAGGCACTTCCTTCTCACCCATCTACCTTTGTCAATCACCAAGGCTGGCAGATTTAGCCTCCTAAAAATCCTAAAATTCTGTTTTTTCCTCTCTATTACTCCCTGGTTTAGGCTAGTGGATCTGGGGCGATTTTGCCCTCCAGGAGACATTTGACAATGTCTGCAGACATTTTGGGTTATCACAATATAGTAGGTACTACTGACATCTGGAAGGTAGATACTAGGAATGCTACTAAACATTCCTGCACCACACAGGACAGCCCAACAACAAAGAATTATTTGGCCACAATGTCAGTAGTGCTGAAGTTGAGAAAGCTCAGTTTAGGTTGTCATCTTTTCTCTTTGGATTTTGCTCCAGCAGAATTCCAGCTGGTCCTGTTTTTTGCCCTACAACTCTCTTCGGTATTACCAGCTGCTCAGTCTAGCAAGTAAATATAATGAGTAAATTTGATCCTGCTGAGTATTCACCTGTGGTTCTCTTTTATTTCCAGACCAAAGTCTTAGCTACTTAGCATGACCTGCAAGGCCCTTCCCGATCTGGCTGGCCTGGCCCATCTGTTGGGTTTCAGTTTTCACTACTTCGTCCTTGCTTATTGCAGAAATACTGAATTGCTGGTAGATTCTTTAACATACTTTGTGATTCTGTGCATCTGTGGTTTGTAACTGTTACTTCCTTTGCCTTGAGTTACCTTAGCTCATCTCCCCAGTGAATTCCATCCAGCGTTAGCTGAAACATCTCCTTTCCTGTAAACATTCCCTGATTCCAAGGCAGACTCAGGTGTTCCACTCCCTATGAGCCTGACATACCATGTGTAGATATTTCCTACTGCATAGTAGTTGTTTATTTACATGCTGGCCTCCCTATTAGGCTGTGAGCCTCTGAGGGAAGTTCTCTGTCTTTTGTCTTAGTAGCTCTCTGTCTAGTTGGTTCCAGGCATTAGTAAGTATTCAGTAAATATTTATTGAAGGACTGCAGTTTGAT